>NC_000002.12:5464545-5767575 GCF_000001405.40 Homo sapiens | reverse complement strand
AGAGAAGGAAAAATGTTGGGATTGCAATTATCTTTGCCACCAATTGTCGTGTGACTCCAGGTGAGCCATTGCAATGTAGGGAAAGGGGTGAGAATCTCAAATATTAATGGAGATTGTCAATATGATGGCGGATTTGGGCCCAGGGGGTCACATAACCCCATGTTTCCCACTTTGAAAGTAAAATGATCAGAAAGACGGGGACTAAAATTATGAGAATGAAAAGAGTGATCAATGCCACTGATCACATTCCCATCCCTACTCACTTTGGCAAGCCCAGAAAACAAAACCAAGCTCCTTTATTGATGTTCTGAAACACATGGCCTGCACGTCTTTTGCAATTAAATATAATTGCATGATTCTCTTTACTTCCTGCATGATGCTCTCACTCTGGCCCTCCTTGATGGAGGCATTGGTGGTTCCCCCTCACTGTCTTCCGGTCACTAAATGCTTTTGCATAGATTTCATGGAGGTGAAGAAATAACTGTCACCATCACAAGAGGAAAGGGTACCTGAGAAAGCTGTTCCCTGTCCCTCTGTTCTATTGTGAGTATGCGTGGCCAGGACTGTAGGTTAGTCATGTCAGGGTGGATGGGATAAAAATCATTTCTCCTGGGAATCAGAGCAGAATCAGAAGGTAGGAGATAACCTCATGCACCTCCTCAACATTTCTTCATCGCTCTTAGTTACAAACATCTCTCTATTGATTAGCTCATACCAGAGGCTATGCAAGGGTAATGACATAATGCTTTGAGCTGTTCAGGAATGGCAGAAACCAGAATGTTAATAGCAGTGATGAAATAAGTATAACTCATGCAAAGTAATGTAGCAGCAGAAAGTCTCAGGAAGAAAAGACAATTTTTGTCAGTTGATGAATTCATCTTAACTTTAAGCATCCAAGTCTCCCAAAACAGGCCTTTGTAGCAAGCATTGCGAGTTCCCCTAAATCAATATGTTTTCTCAGGGACTGTGGGGCCCTCATAAATCATCATTTGCATGACATATTTGTGCTAATAAATCTACCTTGAAGAAAGGGAGAGAAAGGAAACTGGTTAACAATAAACCACAGATCTAAGCCATAAGAAGAAAAACAAAAAACCCAGGTTTCTATGGACACACAAATTTGTGTGGCTGCAGTCAAAGTAAATGTGTCTTCTCCCCTGGGTGGCTGTGGGCTCAGGTCAGCACTGAGCAAATCTGGTGGAATGCAACATCCCTTTGGGATAAGTGGGCTGTGAGCCGTTCATGGGAGGGAAAACAAAAAGAAAGCTAAGCTGTGAGTGAGCCAACTGTAAGTTCATTTTTCTTGGATTCTTCTCAATTACTTTTCCTAAAAGGACAAAAATGGAGCAAGTTTATTTAGTGGTTTGGATAGAAAAGGAAGAAATAGATTACTCAACAAACTGAAATTTCCCTTTGAACCCCAAACGAAGGCTCAGCAACCAGGGGCATTCCTAACAAGTCTGTATTAAGCTGAGAAGCCAAATGGAATGATGAGTTAGTGACAACAGGAAAAGCATAATCATAGTTTCCCAACTTTATTTGTTAATTTATAGGGTAACCTTTATCCTTTCCTGCAAAATGTTTCACACCAAGTGTAAGGAATCATTGAAGACAATAGTGAAAAAAGTATGGGATATGGACCCAGACAGACCTGGTTCCATCTTTTGTGCCCTTATGCCCATAACGTGGGCATTGACTTCTGACCCATATAACAGGAATAATTATAACCCCTTTGCCAGACCATTGTGAGAATGAATTGAGATAACGTATGTGTGATGGTTAATTCTAGGTATCAACTGGACTGCACTGAGGAATACCTGATAGCTGGTAAAGCATTATTCCTGGATGTGTCTGTAAGGGAGTTTCTAGAAGAGACTGGCATTTTAATCAGTGAGCTGAGTAAGGAAGACCCACTCTTACCCAGTGTTGGTGGGCACCATCCAAACAGCGGAGGGCCCTGATAGGACAAAAAGCAGAAGAAAGGCAAATGCTCTCTCTCTTTCCCCCGGAGCTGGGATACTCTTTTTCTCCTGCCCTTGGACATCAGACATCCAGGTTCTCCTGCCTTTGGACTCTGGGACTTGCACTAGAGCACCCCCTCTACCCAGGTTCTGAGGTCTTCAAACTTGGACAAAGCAAAGCTATCAGCTCCCCTGCTTCTCCAGCCTATAGATGTCATATAGTGGGACTTCTCATCCTCTATGTGAGCCACTTCCCCTAAAATATCCCCTTCTATCTATCCATCTATATCCATCTATCTATCTCTATCGTCTCTCAGTCTATCTATCTACCTATCTGCCTATCTCTCTCTCTGTCTGCCTATCTATCTATATATCTTCCGTCTATCTACCTCTTTATCTGTCTATCTCTCTGTTTGCCTATCTATCATCTAACTACCTGTCTATCTCTATCTATTTATCTCTATCTATCTATCTACCATCTATCTATCTACCTATCTGTCTCTCTCTCTCTCTGTCTGCCTATCTATCTGTCTATCCATCTATCCATCCATCTATCATATTGGTTTTGTTTCTCTAGAAAACCCTAATACAATATGTTAATTGAAAAAAAAAACACAAATGACGATACATAGCTCAGAACCAGACATATACCATGTACTCAATGATGTTCACTTTTCTTTTCATTTTTAAATTTAAAAAATCATAGAGCCTGAAAGGGCTTGAGTAATCACTTACTTCATCACTCCAGCAGTTTACAAATGATTGAAAGACATACTCTGAATTTAGAATTCAAGATCTGCCCACACCAAAACTTTCTTTCTTAAAACAGGTTTTTGATGTCTTTGTTTCCGTTTGCCCAAACAAAACTGGCTTAGAGCTAAACATTAACTTTAAAAAAAAAGGTTATAAAAATAAGAAAAATCACCGTAACATCTGCATCCAGAGATAAACACTGTCTAAATCTTGGTATGGGGAATGTAGGATCATCCTACACCAGTTTACAATAGTGTACATGGGAAATAAATGGCCTTCTTCACGTGCAATAAAGGAATCAAACAAAAGTCCTTTTTGCTTTTCAGATGACGGGTGTTCTGTCTTACATCTCATCCCCTCTTGACAAGGCATGTCTTAAAAATCATTACCTGTTTTCCACATGGGAAAGCAAAGGAGGCTGTTCCCACCATCTCCTCTCCCGCCAGACGCCAGAGAGCAAAGACCACTGCTGGCTAAACACCCCACTAGCAGACTCTGTGCTAAATTTGGAATTAATAAAGTTTTCAACTGAACTATTCTTTTATTACAAGGTGGAAAATATGCATTGATACGATTGCCCAAATGTTTAAATTGCTTGGCCTTGTGAAAAGCCAAGTTTAAAATAAGAATCTCTGGCAAGAAAGAATCTCCCGATAAAAACCATGTGTTGAAAAGAAAACAAAAACAGAGTCGGAGTCTATGTTTTCACTCTGGGTTTGTGGACTAATAATTTATCTTGATCTATTTTATAAATGAAGCCCCTGTATTGCCATGTTTACCTAAAAGGAGTTTGGCCTGATTTTTGAAAAGTATAAGATTAGACCATGCAACTACACATAATCATATATTTCATATGTGTATGTGTGTATTCACAGGAGCAAGTGCAAATATTCAACATGCAAACATGTTTGTGTATCTGTAGACATAAAAATAAATAGATATGTATGTATGTGTGTGTGTGTGTACTGAAAGTGAGACAGACAGAAAGAGAGAGAGAGAGAGAGGAGAGAGAGAGAGAGAAAGCTATTGATATTTTATATACCTAAAGAAGATAGCATCAAGAACTGGTTTCAGGCACTTCCAATAGCTCAAAGGGATCAAGGACAAAGGCGATTACCCAAAGAAGTTAGTACTTTGTACCATTTATCATGTGCTAGCCGCTGTACTGTAATAGCCCTATTCCATATGAAAATCCTAAGAGGCAGCTCTCTAGCTTTGTTTTATAACTGGGGAAACAGGCTTAAAGAGAATTCAGCGCAATGGCACTCAGCTGGAAATAAAACCCAGTTCTACACAGATTCAAACATCCTTCTCTTTCTCCTTCACCATTTTTTCTTCTTCGCTGTTCTGCCTCTTGAAGAATGGCAGAATCAGGAGGGGAAAGAAGAGCTTTCAACCAGGTCAAGGAAAAAGCACAAGCGTTTAGTCCAAAGCAAACTGGGCAGTGGAGAAAACTTATTGAATCTTGCAAGAAGATTCTCTAGTAAGTCCATATCTACAGACACTTCACGGATTAATCTATAATTTCCAGATTGTTAGGAAGAAAGCCGCTGTGACTCTTTCCTCCCCCCGAGCAGGAAGCGGTAAACTTGGCATGGGTAACCCAGCCTACTCAACACCCAGGAAGGGCCATTTAACACCCTCCACTCAATATTACAACGCTGTTTTCAGTATCTATCATGTAAAAGTCAGTAATAATCATTTTTTTAGTCATTCTTATTTTAAAACAATGATTTAAATAGAAGAATCAATTTTAATTTTAAACATACACAAATTTAGTGAATGATTTTGTGTTATAAACAATAATCCGCATTTACCAAACAGAAATATGACACTTTCCAGTTTGGACCCCATCTTACTCTTTGAAATTTTAGACACAAATAGGAACTCTCAGTGCTCTCACTGAATGACAGAAATGAAGGTACTCAAGTTCTGTTTTGTCCTCTTCCCAATCATGATGATAGCATCTAGGTTTAAATCTAAATCTATTGTTTAAACACAGGAATATACAGCACCCCAGATATGGGATAGACCAACTGCATCTGGAGTGAGCTTGCTCGATTCCAAACCCTCATGAACCTGCTTGGAAAGAAAGTGTGTAGCTCACACATATGCGGCAGAGCCCAGAGGCCCAGAGGCTCAGGGCCCACCTAGGGATGACCGCCGAAAGCTGTCAAACTTCCTCACTCCAACTTAGTTGGTTTTCTTTTTCCTGCCACCCACAAAAATATAAAGAGGAAAATCGAATTCTTTGCAATCCTCAATGCTTAGCCATTCTCGAAGTTTGGGGAGAAATGGGTCTCTTAATGAGCTCTTTAGCTACCATGCTGACTGGGGTAATGTGAGGTGTCCGAGGCCTCAAGTCAGCATGTCTAGGAGACACGCTAGCTCCAAAACCTGTGTGCTCAGCTCTGCAGAGCCCCGCAGGCTCCCACTGGGTCACAGAGTAGAATACGTGGAACATGGTCACTCTGTAAGGAGACTCGAACGTTGACTCAGTGTGGACCTCATGATAGAGCAGGTAGTGCGGGCAGCAGAGGGGGAAGAATGGGAATCCCTGTGGTTTCTGAAGGAAGATGAGGCTTAAGAAAGACTAAACGAGGCCGGGCGCGGTGGCTCACGCCTGTAATCCCAGCACTTTGGGAGGCCGAGGTGGGTGGATCACAAGGTCAGGAGATCGAGACCATCCCGGCTAAAACGGTGAAACCCCGTCTCTACTAAAAATACAAAAAATTAGCCGGGCGTAGTGGCGGGCGCCTGTAGTCCCAGCTACTTGGGAGGCTGAGGCAGGAGAATGGCGTGAACCCGGGAGGCGGAGCCTGCAGTGAGCCGAGATCGCGCCACTGCACTCCAGCCTGGGCGACAGAGCCAGACTCCGTCTCAAAAAAAAAAAAAAAAAAAAAAAAAGAAAGACTAAACGAACAATGAGACAGAGGATAAAATGAAAGGAAAATCACTATTGTGAGGAGGACCAGGTGATCTCTCACAGGTTTTCTAGAAAAAAGGAGTCATTATTTTACTTATAAAAGAAAGATGACTCTGGGCACGGTGGCTCACTTCTGTAATATCACACATTAGAAGGCAGGGGCAGGAGGGCCTCTTGAGCTCAGGAGTTTGAGACCAGCCTGGGCAACATGGTAAGACCCTGTCTCTACAATGTATACAAAAAACTAGCCAGGCTTTGTGGCGCATGCCTGTAGTGCCAGCTACACGGGAGGCTGAGGAAAGAGGACCATTTGTGCCCGAGAGGTTGAAGCTGCAGTCAGCCATGATCTTGCCACTGCACTCCAGCCTGGGTAACACAGTTAGACCTTGTCAAAAAAAAAAAAAAAAAAAGACAAACATGACTTCAATAGTCAAGGATAGCTTTGGGCATACAAAAACATGATGAAATGTCTTCCACCTTATGTCAGACTTTGACATAAGATTCTCCCTTTCTGTCATTCACTGGTCTTTCCAAAGAAAGCAATGAAGTCAATTAAACCCTTGTTTGCTAAAAATATAAATGCCTATCGGTCTGCAGAACGGCCTCACTCTAATTGACATACCTAGAACTCACTCCAGCTGTGGTGGCATCTGTCTTGCAAAGCTGGACTCCGTGTTTGGAGGAGTGCTCCCTACACTACTTTACGCCGATTAGTTTTCATTTCTTCATTGTATTTGCCAAAAAGCTTCTTTGTTTAATTAGGGAAACAGGTTTGGGAAATAAAGATGCATGAACCAACAGAAAATAGTAGCATCTCAGATGCGGGGTTTTAGAAACATTATCTGTTCATCCAACTCTTTGGCTTCTTACCTCCAGCAGCACCCTGCCAATACGTTTCCACTGGGAAGAACATTTTAAAAACAGCAGGTAATTAAGATGTTTTTGGCATTGAGTAAAAGCTCCCCATGATGTGTCCTAGTACGGGTGGGTCTGAAGGCATTCCCATGTGGCATAAGGATCATCTACAACTTTCAAGGAAACTAAAATCAAGTTAAAATTGCAACCAAAAAAAAAGAAAAGCATTTCAGGGTGGAAAACAATCTTAAAACTATAGCTTAATCCCTCATTTGACAGATGAACAAACTGAGGCCTGATGAGGTCAGCTGGCTTGCCACAGAACTAGCTAGCGCTGCAGGAGAGAATAAAGCCCAGACGCCCTAGCTCCTGAGCTCAGCTGTTGTCCTAGTTCATTGAAGAAGAATAAAATCTGCTCATATTTTATTTCGCAGTTGTAAAACATAAACTTTGAAATATATTTATTTCACAGTTATAACATAAATATACTAAATATATATTTAAAATGCACTTAAACTTGTTTAAGAAAAAAACATGTCCTTTATGAGCATAGTTATACTGATAAAATCACTACACAGTATTCATATAATCCAATAATATTAATACAATATTAAGCTAGTTCACTTATCAGTAAAAAGCAACTTCAAAATGGGAAAGCCACTAGTTCATTAATCAGTAAAAAGCAACTTTAAAATGGGAAAGCCAAAGTAGGAAGGAGAAGCAATGTAAGATGTGGAATCATTTCATTCCTTCACGTATTTATTCATTCAACAAACACAGACCTTCTCCCAGCTTTCTGTTTGTTGCCAATGAGGTGAAGACATGTTTTAGCCAGGGAGACATAGCACAAACCCATGCACCTCAGGCATAAGTGATTGCACCGAAATAGCAGTGTCTGCAAAGTGCTGAGACACAGAGAGGATTCCCCCTGGGATGCACCTGTGGTAAGGAAGTAGCTCTGCTGTTTTTTCAATAGTTCAGACCTATGACTCAAATAGTCAATGGGCACCTCTTATTTGCCAGATGCTAAGCTTGGAGGTGAATAAAATATAGTCTCTGCCCTTGAAGACTTGACAGTCTAGTTGGGGAGGTGAAAACTGGAAGGTAATGTGGACACTGCACGTCTCCTCAGAAGAGGCTGTGTGCAGCTGCTCCTAGCAGAGAGTCCAGAAATGCTTCCTAGGGCAGCAGCAGCCCCAGAGTCTCCAAAAATATGGAGGAGTGAGCTAGGCCATGTCTGCCTTTCCTCCAGGAAAAGTGAAAGAGGAGCTGTAAGGTTTTCAGAAACTAGGGCACAAAATAAAAGGCAAGGAGCGTGGGCAACCAGGCTGGTGAGGTTGGGAGGGGCTGGTAACCAGTGCTTCCTGAGGACAACCTGGAGGCACGGAGGTTTCAGGCAGATACATGAGATTTATACCTGATACCCTCACAGAGGTGAATGGATGGACTCGGGGTAATGACAAGACGGCTTTTAAGACACAAGGTTTGGGGGAAAGTTGACACTGAAAAAGTTGAAGCAAGATATGGTAAACTTATGAACCTGTCAACAGAGACGGGGAAAAAAAGGCGGAGATTTTAATTTAAAACATTGGTGCTGATTGGGAGCATATGAAGGAGACAGGATTTGAGAAGCCCTGTTGCATTTCTCATTTGATGGGTTAGATGGGTGTTGGTGTCATGAACTGAGATGGTGAAAGCAAAAGTTGGTTTGGAGCTAATGTTTAGTGATTAAATAAAGCTGCCGGGCAGTCTTTACAATTTAATGCAATAAAGGAAAAAGGTTTGCAACCAAAATTTCTGTTCATTTACTATAAGTAATTATGATTTTCAATAGAGTAAGGTTAATGATTGATTTCGACAGCTGTTTAATGATTTACTGAGCATTCTCTATAAATACCCAGTCTCACTGGACGGTGGCATTATCCCAGCTCAAGAGGTGTCTTCAAAAAAAATAATTGGCAATACATTGAATGAGAAGAGTCAAAATCCTGAATTCCAGATTCTTCTCAGTGTCACACATTTTAATACTTTAAATTTCAGAATAATCTACATAGTTGTAAACTGGCCATACCTGGGTGATATGAGTCTTAGAATCCCCTTTAAAAGTGTAGTCTCACTCTCAGTTTTCACAGCCCGGGTTCTCTGGGACACAGGACCAGGACTGGGGGAAAGGAGGCCCCAGCCGCTCCCCCAGCCTTCCAGGAATCTCTAGGCTCCAAAGGAAATGTCATTTTGAATGACTCCTGGGAGTCACCAAGGCTGGTCTCCTACAGGCTCCCAATCCCCCAGCGCTCCACTGTGCCTGCATCTCCCACGGTGATGATTTTTGCAGATATTCTGACATTTTGCAGACAAGCCATTCAGCCAGATTTTGCTTGTAGCCTCTCATCCTACCTCAGCCAGGAGTCATGAGGGCAGGTGAGCTCAGTGACCAATGCTGACCTGAGCCAAACTGACCCTCTACTTACATCAAGATCACTTGCTCGCCATCATGTTCACGTGGAATGAGCTTTTTCCCACATGCACCATCCACCTGTCTGTAACAACAAAACAAACATATTTTGAACCTGCTTGGCGCAGGCTGCAACTCCAGCAGATCTTTGCTCAGACACCTCTGCGAGGTATTCACTGACTGCCACAGAAGGTTGTAACCCCTCTCTCCTCAGCACTGTGTCTCTTTTCTCCTTACTTTATTCTTTTTAATTTCACGCAATACCCATTAACATTTCTCTATACATTTAAATTACTTATGCTTGGGGCGGTGGCTCATGCCTGTAATCCCAACACTTTGGGAGGCTGAGGTGAGCAGATTACCTGAGGTCAGGAGTTCGAAACCAGCCTGGCCAACATGGAAAAACCCCGTCTCTACTAAAAATACAAAATCAGCCAAGTGTGGTGGGTGTCTGTAATCCCAGCTATTCAGGAGGCTAAGGCAGGAGAAATGCTTGAACCCAGGAGACAGAGGTTGCAGTGAGCCAAGATTGTGCCACCACACTCGAGGCTGGGCAACAAGAGCCAAACTCCGTCTCAAAAAAAAAAAATCATTTATTAGTTTACTGTATGTTCTTCCTCTTAGGACTAAGCCCCACAAAGACAGGGATTTGTAAATGTTTTGCTCACTACAGTATCACCAGACCTGAGAAGCATGCTTGGAAGGACAAAAGCTCAACAGACATTTGTGAAGTGAATCTGCTAACTAGCAGCCCACAGGTGAGTTCACAACTGCCCTTTCAGTCCATTGTCTCATGGACCTCATAAGAACTCTGTTAGGTAGGGAACTTGTCTTAACCCCACCAACTTCAAGAGAATTAGAAAGGCTCGTCAACTTAGCCCAGGTTCCACAGTGCTAAGTAAGTATTTTGGAGAGCCACAGCTTGAATTCAGCTCTTCCGAATCATGACTTTGCACATTCATGCAGCTGATTAATCGATGGCACCCCTCTGTGGGCTAGCCGGGCACGCTGGTGTGGGCTCCTCATTCCAGGGTGCCCCACAAGAAGATTCAAAACATCTCAACCCAAAGCCGTTGGGGATAAAGGATATTTTCCAGAAAACACTTTAGCAAGACACTTAGGAAACATGAAATAAAAGGAAGTATTATTTGAAATAAAGAGTTGTTTTTGATAGCACCCCTGTTGTACGTTTATCACCATCTTAAATACCATTTATTACTAATATGTAGCACAAAATTTGTGGCTGGGGAAGCTCGTGCCATAGACATTGCTAAGATGCATTTCTGTTTATGTTTTAATTTCTTCCATAAACCATCAGTAATAGGATGTAACTTCCCTGCCTGACTCTGTCTCCTACCTGGGACAGCTTTCCCAGCCAGCTCTGGCCAAATCTCTCTCAAAACCGGCGCCAGATCCAAGGGAATATGGGTGGCAGGTTATTAAAAATAAAATCTTAACATTATGTTAATTTTTATCTTTGCCAACTTCACATAAATTGTCTCTATCCTTTGGAGGAGGAAGGTTAAATCTTTTTAGCGAGTAAAAGTAAGGGTCCTTAATATAAATTATTCAGCATTTTCATTTCTAGAGTGGTTGATTGGGATGAAAAGATTTTTATTTTCTCTCTGGGCTTTCTCATCCTAGAACATCTTCAGACACAAGATGTTACATCTCAATCAGATTCTCCTCCTAAAACCCATTAATAAATTTTCTTTAAAAGTCGCGGATATAGGCTTTGTATGGTCTTTTTATAGTTTGCTGTAAAAGATTTTAGTTGTCTCTTCAATCTTTTTCCTGGTCTTTCCATTTCTAATTTAAAGGCTTAAAAGTTACTTTTGACAGCCAAAAGAAAACACTGTTAAGTCAAGGATGAAAGAAAGGGAGAGATATGGTACTGTAAATATAAATGATTGCCAGATTCAGGCCGACAGAGCTGTGTTCTCTTGTATCAGCATTTTACGGCCTTGCTGAATGGAGACAGGGTCCTCTGGTACATGCTGCTTAAGCTTGTGTTTTTATGGGGCCCTTTCACTGAAAGCACATAAACTTCACATGCTTTCTCAGGAAGCGCCTTCCATGCCTTTCCCACACTGCGCTAATAAGTCGGGTGGAGTCCGTCTTGAAAGAGAGCAGTGATTGATTGTGTGTGTGTGTTGAGAACCGTGAGACTGACTTTCATCAAGCTGCTCCAAGCCGATTATGGCTCTTTCCGAAAGGTGTACTAACTGCAACCCACACGGCAAGAAGGAACAAACAGCCATCACTGAGGGCGGCTTCCCATGGCAGCGACACCACCACTGACGGAGCACGCGCACAGAGGAGACCCGGGTCTGAGCCCAGCAGCAAGAGAAGCCCAAACAGGTAATTCAGGGAAGCGGAGACCAGAAGATCCTGCATTTTTCTGAACACACGAAACAGACTCTGTCTGCACGTGTTGCCAGGCTAGCACTGACGTTCACTCTGGTCCTGTGCATGGAGGCCGCTGCCTCCTTTGTCTTTGATCACCAGGGCTCCAAGGTGGCAGGTACAAGGTTGATACTTCAAGCTGCTATTTAACAAATGCTTCATAGATAAGTGCCCAGCCCACTGTACAGCTGTGAGGGAAGGGCTGCAGAGTTGTTAAACAACTAATCAAAATAGGAAAGAAAAAGAACCCGTGGTGACTTCTGAGCAGGGTGGATCTTTGCCAAAGCTGGAAGCTGTAATTTCTGGTGTCTGTGTATATGGAGAACCTTATAACTTTGACAAGTTCATGGTGAGCTTGAAAACAATATTCTTATTTCCTAGGTAAGGAAATTGAGTCTGAGGTTGAAGGCTCTGAGTTCACACAGCTAGTTAATGGGGAAAGCAGTAGCTGAGCCCAGACACTGACTCCATCTCAGTTAACCTCCCTACCCTGATTTTGGAAAGCAGTTAGCCCCACTCCCTCCACACCCCAACACTGATTTTGGAAAGCATCTCTCTCTCCTGTGTTGTGGTAAACAATGTCTTAGATATCCTCACTCACGCCACAAACAATAGCCTGCATAAAGCAGGTGCTCAGTAAATGCTTGGCACGCAAATCCATAGTTGCGTGGATGGATGAATGAAATTATCAGTATAAATGTAAATGAAATGGAGTCCTAAAATTTGTAAAATCTTATAATTCACTAAAAATAAATCACTCAACTAAAATAAGACTTTAGCTGAAATATTTTTTCTCCTCCCTCACAGTTCACCTGAAAAAAACTAGGCAGCCAGAATCAAGATTCTATCTCCTTCATATGTGGTGCCTATAGCCCCAACCCTTCCCACACCAGCCAGTTAAACACAGTGAAACAGAAACAAGGAGTGAGGAGCCATAAAAGTTAATGGGTGGTTTGATCATGGTGCCTCTGTAGCGGAGGATAGACTCTTGGAAGGCAGCAACCACTCCTGCTTTCTTTCTCTTCTTCTGTAGGGACGTATGTGAGGAACAGAACGCTATGCACTCTGCAAGGCCTCCAATTAAAACCCTTGTCAGCCATATTTTAAGTGCACTCAAAATCTCGTATAAATGAATGCGATTACTTGACATCAGTACATCTCCCTCTACTGTGTAGTGATTTCTACCTTTGAAAGTTCTCGTGAATGTTTTCTTTCCTCTACATCCCTTCTGCCAATGTCAAGCTGACATCTTCTCTGTATAGAACCTGGCAACAACTTGAACTGTGTTTGAAAAGTTCTTCCTCTCTCTGCTTTGTCCATCATATACTTGATCCTGTCACTCTCCTACTTAAAATCCTTCTGTAGCTGCCCGTTGCCTATATGAGTACCAGACACTTTAGAACATGCAGAGTATGAATTGCAAGAGAAGGCCCAGATTTTTCTTTCCTTATTTATTTTTTGAGACTGGAGTTTATAGGTTGAACTCTGAGCCAAACTGTCTGATTTCAAATCTCCGTTCTGCTGCCTAGAAGCCATACAGCCTTGGAAAAATAATGTGAGCTCTCCTGGAGAGTGGGGCAATAAGAATACTTCCCTCTTGGGCTGTTGTGAGGATGGAGCGGACCAATATGCACCTCAAGTGCTTGGAAGCATACGCCCAGCACGTATCCAGCCATGTATTAGCATTGTGGGGCAGCCACTGGAGTCAGTGCAGTTCTCACTACAGAAAAGCTTAGCTGCTCGATGTCCCCATCTGCCAGGCTAACAGAAATGGTCATCCCACTAATTAATGGGGCTTCTGGTCACAACCCAGGATTTTGTGAAGATTCTGGGGTTAAGCACCTTGCTGAACAGTGCGCCCCGGGATGTGGGCTCTGTGAATGTGCTCCAGCGCCAGTCCTGCTTGGCCCCCTGGAGCCAGGTCGTCCTTTCCATTGCCCCTTTGTCTGGTGGCAGCCCCTGGGCTTGCCTGAGGCTGGACGACTCACCCTCCACCTCCAGTGTCTCGTTTCCCTTAATTTCTCTTCCTCAGTATCAGCCCTCTCTGCAGTCCAGCCTCCTCCTTGCGAGGCTGTGAAGGGACAAGATTCTGGACACACAGAACCCCTCCCCTTGAGTTAAAATTCTATTTTGTCCAAGGCCTTTTTCATTCAAACACTTATTTGTCTTTATAAGAAACAGGTGCAAGGTGGGGGGAGAAGAAAAAAGTTGCTCTCATTATGTTACACAATTCTATGACAACAAAACAAAGTGAAAATTGGTACTTCAAGAAATGATCTGGTCCTCTGTAGAAATGTCTGTGTTAGACCCCTGCCACTTCCTCTAATACCCTCCCCTAAAAGCAGGCCTCCTGCCCTCCCTGGGCTCCATGGGTCTGTGAGTCTCTCTTCCAGTCTTGTCTCCCTTTCTCTGGCCAGTGAACTCCTGGCCATGCTTCAAAATATTTAGCAAATGCCCCATCCTCTGGAGAGTACTCGAATTTCTTCCTGCAGAATAATTTCCTTCCTTCACCTAGATGTACCTCCAGGATTCCTGGTTGTTAAAGAAAAATAAAGTTCCATAGGTGGCATGAGACTCACTGCCTAAACAAAACCAGTGAGGACCCGAGAGCAACATGTCTGCCGGCCCAAGCTTCTCCAATAGCTTTGCACTCGGCGCTGACCAGAGTGTGAGCCAGGTCTTTACGCCCCTTTTTCCCTCATTTGTACCTGATGAAACCAAATCCCTGGCCTCCTGATGCAACCAAAATTGTTAATAAATCCTCTTTTTTTGGAGAAATGTGAATTAAAACCACAATGAGATAGCATCTTACACCAGTCAGAATAGCTCTTATTAAAACGTCAAAAAACAGCAGATGTTGGCAAGAATACAGAGAAAAGAGAACACTTTTGCATTGTTGGTGGGAACATAAAATTAGTCCAACCTCTATGGAAAATGGTATGGAGGTTTCTCAAACAACTAAAGATAGAACTACCATTCGATCCAGCAATTCCGCTACCAAGTATCTACCCAAAAGAAATAAATCATATGGAAAAGACACCTGTACTTGTATGTTTAACACAGCACTATTCACAATGGCAAAAATATGGAACCAACCTAAGTGTCCATCAGGGCTGATTAGATGAAGCAAATGTGGTGTACGTAGACCATGGAATACTACACAGGCATAAAAAAGAACAAAATCATGGCTTTTGCAGCAACATGGATGGAACTGGAGGCCATCATCTTAAGTGAAGCAACACAAGAACAGAAAGTCAAGTACTTCTTGTTGTCACTTATAAGTGGGAGCTGAAGAATGTACACACGTGGACCTAAAGAGTGAAATAAAAGATGCTGGAGACACAGAACAGGAAGGTGGAGGGGTGAGAAATCAGCGAATGGTACAACACACACTTCTCAGGTGATGCTTACACTAAAAGCCCGGACTTTATCACTATGTAATATATCCATGTAACACAACAGCACCTGTAACCCCTAAAGCTGTAAAAAGTATTTTAAAAATGCTCTGTTTCATTACTGCAAGCAGCAATTCCACACATTCAGTTTTCACAAGGGTGAAATTTAGAGTGTAAGAAACGTGACTTCCCAGCCGGGCTTTGTTGCTGACTCTCTAAGTTCTCCCCCGCTAACGCCTCCGCCCTTCCTCTGTGCAGCAGCCAGGGGCTCTCTGTTGGATGCTCTTATGGGGCTTCCTGGAGGCAACATAGAGTGTTAATGTCCCTTTCCTTCTCTCTAGCCAAACAGCACCTTCCCCAGATTGCTGTATTGTTGCTGCTGTTCAGGGATAGGGTGGTTTTGTCATTTAACAGCCCTAATAAAGAAGACTCCATCTGGGTAAGATTCATGGAGGAATTTTTGTCCTGCAAGGAGGCCCTTGTGTTCCCTCCCCAAACAGCACATTGTTCTGGCTACGCATGAGCTGCCTGGACTTGAAAGGTACTGGGTAGCTTGGTAGCTTTTCTTCACCCTGGGGCTCTCATTCCAGCTACTGAGCTGCCAGATCACAGGAAAACAATAGCAGGCAACACAGAAGAATCTTCTTTCTTTTAATATGTGTTCCCCATAGTCTGGGAAATAAGTTACATTTCCACTAATTGAGTAAGAACAATGGCCTCCACGTTTTCATGCAGCACATGACGATGTAGATGATGCTCTGACTTTATTCCCACAGAGACTCCGTGAGTCAGGCAAGGGAAGCGTGCCTGTTCCTATTTCAGAGAGGAGGAAATGGAGGCTCCAAGGGTCTAGTTCACCTGTTCAAGGGGACACACAAGATAATGAAATAGCTGGTGAGAAAAAGTAGGTTGTCTAATAGTTATTGGGTTTTATTTCAATTACACCATGCTGAAATAAAAATAACTGCCTTCCCTAAATAAAATTATTTTATGAAAAATGACTATACTGGTAATAGTTACCTATATTATAAATGCCTAGTACAAACCAGGTACATTCTTTACCCTGTTCTATTTCTCAAAACATTCTGGAAATTTATATTAGAATCTGCATTTTATAAAGCAAACATTAAATCTCAGAGAAGTAAAGCAACATGTTGGAAGTCACAGAGCCAGCAGGGGAGAGCATCTGGGCTTATGAATGAGCCCCTGCTGTTTCTGATGCCCCACGCAGCCCCTGCTGTGCACCAGGGAGGAGCTGAGACCCAGCACAAAGGTTTCATGGCCCCTTGGACACCTGCTGGCCATGTGACCCAAGCAATCTTCTTAACTTTGCTGAGTGTGTTTTCTCCTCTACTAAGGGCATAATAATGTCTCTGCCGACTGCCTTACAGGATTATTTGAAGGGCTAAATCCATTTATTCAACAAATGTTCCTTCAATAAATATGCATTGAGTGCCTACTGTGTGCCAGCCACCATTCTGAGCTCTAGGAGTACGGGGCCGGACAAAACTGTCAAACACCCGTGCCCTCCTGGACGTTATGTTCTAGTAGATCAAATGAAGGAATCACCACAAAAATTATGTTGAGATGGACATTATTCCATTACCAAAAGGTGACAGAAATCGCACGAGGACCCCTGATTTACCAAATGTGGTCTATTCATATTATTCAGCCATGAAAAGAAAAGAAATTCTGATTACCTTGAAGACGTTATGTTAAGTAGAATAAGTCAGTTATAAAAAGACAACTACTGTATAAATACACTTATATGAGGTACCTAGAGTAGTCAAAGTCATAAAGACAGAAAGTAGAATAGTGGTTGGTAGGGACTGAGGGGACAGGGGTGGGGAATTATTGTTTAATGGGATCGGAGTTCAGTTGGGGATGTTGAAAAGAGTTCTAGAGACAAACGGTGATGACAGTTCCACAACAATGTGATTGTACTTACTGCTACTGAGTAGTACAATTAGAAATGATTAAGATATGTAAATTACATGTTGAGTACATTTTACTATAATTAAAAAAGTTGTTGAAATTTTAAAGCAATACAGACCTGAACGTACTAAGGTACTAACACTGTCTTCACTACTGGAAATCTCTTTCCCTGTCACATCTCCCAATTTTAGCCCTTCTTCAAGGCCCAGGTGAGATGCTACCACCTTTATCAACCTTTCCTGATCTTCCCAGCAAATGTAATCCCTTCTTAACTTGAGTTACCGAATGCCATATTCCTGGACCTGTTACATCCTTCTTGAGGGCAAAACCCCAGTCTGTTATGTGTCCTAACCCCGTAGCACCTAGCATAAGACTTTGCACATAGAAGGTCCCTGATGTTTAAAGGGTGAGTGAACAAATCAACAAATAGAAGTTAATTGCTCTGTCTTTGATATTATTGTAGCTTCAAGAATCCCAGCAAGATTGTCAGTCTCAGTGAAGCCTTTCTGCAAAACCAAGACCTGAGCTCAAGGAAGCTGCTATTTAAAACCAGACGTGAGAGTCAAAGACAATTATCCATTGAACAAGTACTTCAAAATGGCACTAGGCAAGTTTTACTTCATTGAAGTATCACAATCACTTCACGAAATGTGTAATGTTATTTCCATTCTACAGCTGGGTAAAGGCTTGAGGATGTCACATAGCTTGCCTGAAGTTCAAGTACAAGCAAATGGAAAAGCCAGGGTTGGAATCAAGTGACCACACTGTATGCTTACCTACTCTCCCATATTGCCAATAAAATAAAGTCTATCTGACCTCGCCCCTAGTGGCTTTCTTAAAATGGTAAGTTAGTGTTGAGCAGAAGAACCTGTGGGCATGTTCGAGAATATTTGACTCAAAGGTTAGCAGTAGCTCTTGTGAAAGGCATGCTGGCATCTCTGCTGCGAGTGTGGGTTGTGGGGAGTAGATGGGGAGAACTGCTTCTCCATTCAATTAATTTTAGGTTCCCATTTCGTCACTTTGTGAAAATGACTGCTATTTTTATCAAATTTTCTGCAATTTTAAAAAAATGATCTTAAAATGTCAAGGAGTTAAAAAAAATCTTCTCAAAATGGCCTTTCCTTGTGGCAAAAATTTCTAAATCTTAAGTGTACAGAATGTTGGGTGATAAGCCTGGCAGCCAACATTGGGAGCCTAAGCTAACATTTCATTTGTAGAGCAATTTCAAACTCTGTTTGGGGGACAGGGTTGCCCCAGGCAAAAAGTGACAAATGGGTTGGGAAATTAAGAGAGTGAAAGAAGTCCCTGAGCCAGAGATGGGCAGCACCGTCTGACAAGCAAACTGGGGCAGGTGCCAACCGCCGGCCGAAAGCCAAAGGCTCTGCATTATGAATGTGGCAGCTCAGCAGGACAGACGTACCCTGCCCTGACTCCACCATCCAAGCATGGGACTATTCTCAGAAAATGTCCAGGACCCGGGATAGGCCACTGCTGGCGGTTTCATTGTAGAAGCCTGCCGCTGAACTCAGCAAAGAAGGAAACTTCAGCCTCTCACCTGAACAAGTTACTATGACTTCTCCTGGAGCACAGGAAGGAGGGCCGAAGAAGACCTTTCTCCTGCTGGGAGTTCAGCTCTAGCCCATTTTGCTTCTCTGAGACCAGACCAATGCTGTGATTCTGTTGGAAAACCTTCCGCAAATGCAGTGCCTGGGCTTCATCAGTGTTTCAGACCTTTGGTCCTAGCAGCTCACCACTGAATGCTTTCAGATTCCTCGGAAATGAGTTCACCCAACAAATATTAACTGAGAAATACTGTGTCAGTCCCTGTTCTAGGCTCTGGGGTTAGGGAAGTCAAGAGGGCACTGGAAATACATACAGACATGAGTTTACAAACTCGTGGGGAGGAGAGAATAAGCAAGGAAAGGATATAGTAAATGAGGGTTAGAAAGCACTGCTGAAAAGAAGGCAGGCAAAGGGAGCAGGGGATGGGCTGGGGAGTGCCACAGCTTCATAGGGTGGGTGGGTTCTCCCTCAGGAGGAAATATTTCACCAGACTTGAAGGAAAGGGGTAGGATAACAGGGCACCTGGGGAATGAGTCCTAGGCAGAAGGGAGAGAGAAGTAAAGGCCCTGAGGTATACTGTGGCCAACAGGTGCAAAGAGCACACAGCAAGAAGGCCAGAGAGTCCAGGGCAGATGGAGAAAGGGTGGCATCTTAAGATGTGGTGTGAGAGATGCAAGGAGCACAGGGAGACTAGGGGCTGCAGGGCATTGCATGGCTCAGATGCAGTGAGGCACAGAGAGATCAGGGCTGCAGGGCATGACATGGCTCAGATGCAACAGGGCACAGAGAGATCAGGGCCCCAGGGCATTGCATGGCTCAGATGCAACAGCGCACAGAGAGAGCAGGGCTGCAGGGCATTGCATGGCTCAGATGCAACAGCACACAGAGAGATCAGGGCCCCAGGGCATTGCATGGCTCAGATGCAACAGCGCACAGAGAGAGCAGGGCTGCAGGGCATTGCATGGCTCAGATGCAACAGGGCACAGAGAGATCAGGGCCTCAGGGCATTGCACGGCTCAGATGCAACAGCACACAGAGAGAGCAGGGCTGCAGGGCATTGCATGGCTCAGATGCAACAGGGCATAGAGAGATCAAGGCTGCAGGGCATTGCATGGCTCAGATGCAACAGTTGTCACCAGTGAAATGGGGAAGACCACAGAAGATAAAGGCCCATGAGTGGGAAACAAGGAATTTAGCTTTGCTCACGCTAAGTAGATGTTTCTTAGAAATTCAAGGGAGAATATCTACTAGGCCAATGAACATACGAAACTGGATTTTGGGGGTGAGACTGGGGCTGGAGACGGAAAGTTGGGTGTTGTCAGCAGACTGAAGGTATTTAAACAAGTAGAGACAGATGAGGTCATCAGGAGAACAAGCCAGGTAAAAGAGAAGATGTTCAAAGTTGAACTTTGGGTCACTCCAATGCTAAATGGTTGAGAAGATGAGAGAAGCCAACACAGGATGCTAAGAAAAGCATCCACTGACTTAGAGGCAAAACCAGAGGAACATGGTGCCCGGAAAGCCAGGTGAAGAGCTTTCCTGGGGGCAGGAGTAGCCGGTTGGGCCAGGCAGTGCTGCTGAAGCTCAGGATGTAGCTGGTGAGCCCACCCTTGGACTCAGCAGTGAGAGGCCACTGTGACTTTGGAGGAGCTTCAGGCAGTCGTAGGATGATGCTCTGATGGGAGCAGGTTTAAAAGGAAACAGGAGAGAAGAACTAGAGAAGGTAAATTGAGACAACTCTTTTCAGGAGTTTTGTTTTAAAGGTAAAACTAAATGGGATTGTAGTTCAAGGGAAAATAGGGTAAATAACATGATTTTCTTGTTGTTATTATTGTTTAATTATTTATTGAAGAGAGCAGAAGGAACAGGATGTTTGTGGGTTGATGAGAATGCTCCAATGGAGATGAAAAAGTTTATGATCAGGAAATGAGAGAAGTGTCTGCAGCAATGTCCTGGGATGGGTACCAAGGGATGGGTGGGTCCAGAGGAGGGGTGCACCTGAGACAGGTAAAAGGTGGGCCCTTTTTTATCTGCAAGAACAGGATCCACATCCTGGCAGGGAAGAGAGATGGGCCATGAGAGCTGGTGAGAGGTTTTCATGGCTGCGTCACTTTTCCCAGCCAACAAGGAAATGAAATCATTGGTTGCTGATGTGGAGGATGGAGGAGGATGTTCAAATCTGCGGGAGGGGTATGAAACAGTTGTCTAGTAGAGGAGAGTGAATGGCCCTGGCAAATGCTGGGTCACTATCCATGCCCATTTGAGGTTAAAGATCATGCATTAAAAGTGGGTCCAATTCCAATGGCCATACTGCTTTACTCCAGGACATTCCACTGCCAGGTGACGGGGTGTCTAAGAAAACCCTTGAAACCTCTAATGTTAATAATAAAAACCAGGATATACTCAGATGAAGAAGGGTACAGCTTTTCAAAAATATTTATCTGGATGTAGGGCTTAACAGTTTATGTGAACTTGAGTGTGAGTTCATTTTAGAAACAAGTGAGTTGCTGATGCATGCGGCCATCTCATGATAGCTGGCTCATAAATGACACAGAAAAACGTCCGTGGAAAGTCCAACTGCTGGGATGGACAAAACATCAAACCAAGTGTATGGAGATTGTGTTTTCGATGCCACATCTGGCCATCCAGGGTGGTGCCGTCTCCAGCAAATCATCCCACCTCTCTGATTTTCAGGGCTTTATCTAAAAATGAGAAAAATTGAAGGTGACCGTGTCCTGGCATTAGCACTGAGAGTCTCTGGGAAAACCTTCAGCCCAGGTTGTGCTGAGATGGTCATTCCCTCTTCTCCAAGAGTATTGAACCAGAGCAAAGAAAGGAACTGGAGACAGAACTGGGGATCCACAAACCAAAAAGCTGTTATTAGGGTTCACTGGGCCAAGCCTGGCTGCCCTTCCAAGAATAGCTTAAAGAGAAAAGCAGAGGAAAGCAACCTCCTAACTGTGGCTCCAGGCGCTGCCACTCATGGTGGAGTTGATGTGGGGTTCAATGAAATGCAAGAAACAATCGAGTGAGTTTTTCACAAAGTGATTTTGGTCCATTTAAACTCCAGTCCTTCAAGACTGTAACCTTCTGCTTTTCGGTATTGAAAGTTTTTTCTTTTATGAAAAGGGGTCAGCTTGTTTCTTAATTCTCTTATTTGGCAAAAGGCGGAGTTGTCAACTTTATGTCTGTCCTCCGGCTTCTTCGGCACATTTTTCTGCTCTGAAATCCACAAGGCTGAGAACCCGTGCCTTACAGTCCATGATAAGCTCTGGAATTTACACAGCTCACCTGTCTGCCCCAAACATGGTTCTGCCTCCCTCCCAATCCCTGAACCACCTGAGGTGTGCTTCCGTGAGGAGTTGTGGAGTTGTGGCTGCCCGGGCGTTCTGACAGCCCCTGCAATCTGTCCTCCTGACACACTTAGCTTTTGAACTTTAAATAGGCTAGGTCAGGTCACTTTCCATACAAAAATACTCATTTCTTTGAACTTCTCTCACAGATCCAGCAAGACCACATTCAGTGGCATTCAGAAGATGCCTTCAAAGCTGGCCCTTTGTATTGGGCCTTCTTCTTTTCAGGTATGTTATAAAAGTTGGTTAAGTTAATCAAAAAATATGTTAATTTTCTGCATTTAAATAACTTTAAGGCTAGCCTTAGGTGAGGTGGGCTCAGAATTCAATTGCAACCCTTTCTGGAAAACAAAATCCTTCCTCCTGACCAATCTTCAAGGAAAGGGGAGAAGAAAAGAGAAAAGCAAAAGAAAACCGGCAAGCCCTGGAGTATTTACTAGATGGGGGTGGGGGGGACTGAACCTTCCATTTGATCTGCAGATTGAAAGTGTAAGTGAGGGTATGTTCAGCCTTATTGTACACATGAAGTTCAGGAAGTGCAGACCACTTGCTCAAATCACACAGCTAGCAAATGGCTGAGATTTGAAACCAACAAAACAAAGCCACACTCATCCAAAGGGGCTTTCCCATGATCTGTGAGACACATTTATCTAACAGTTTCTTGTTCTCCTAGCATTTGGGTTTATTTTGGTTATTTGTTTTCCTCTTGAAGCAAATAGGGTTGCCAAGATCATTGAGGGTGGCAGAGGCTTCAAAACATTGAAGGTAGCAATGGCTCTTTGCTCTTTAAATTGTCCTTTGGGTTTTGGTGTCTCCAGAATCCCACAAGACGATGTTTCAGGCCCAGCCAGTACTCACCGAATGCACATTCACATCTAGCATTCTGGTGAGCATAGTGAGGCTGCCCGGGGAGGAGTTTGAAAGAGCTTTTAGATAAGTTATTTTGCAGGGATTGTCTCTAGCTGACTCTAGAACAGCATTCAAAATGCAGAAACTCTTCCTGATGAAAGGCTCATCTAGATGTCATCCCCAGCATACAAAACAAATTAGCCGGCCGGGCGCGGTGGCTCACGCCTGTAATCCCAGCACTTTGGGAGGCCGAGGCGGGCGGATCACGAGGTCAGGAGATCGAGACCATCCCGGCTAAAACGGTGAAACCCCGTCTCTACTAAAAATACAAAAAATTAGCCGGGCGTAGTGGCGGGCGCCTGTAGTCCCAGCTACTTGGGAGGCTGAGGCAGGAGAATGGCGTGAACCCGGGAGGCGGAGCTTGCAGTGAGCCGAGATTGCGCCACTGCACTCCAGCCTGGGCGACAGAGCGAGACTCCGTCTCAAAAAAAAAAAAAAAAAAAAAAAAAAAACAAATTAGCCTGAAAATACCATAAAGTAAGCACCTAGGCTATGCTTTATTCCTTCCCTTAGCCATCATTTTAATCCGCCTCATATCACAGACTAGTTTCTGAGCTCATCAAGTCCTCCAGGCAGCTCTCTGGGTCCCAAACAACCCCCTCGCTGGCAACAAACAGCCCAGCCAATGTTCTTTAATGGCCTATGATGTGTTAGGGCCCAGCATTCTGCCAAGTCCCTACCAGCATTTCCTGTTTTAATCCTCACTCTAACCTTAGAGTAGGAAGAAATGTGATCTGAATATCACGGATGTGAAAATTTAGGCTGGGAAAGGTCTGTGGAAGTGCCTAGGATAGGAGGATAGCACATGCAGAAGTGGCTTCAGGCCGAGGTGCTCCTGCCCACAAAGCCCACAGCTCTGTAACCTGAGAATCCAGGCTGCTCCTCTACCTTGACATTATGCAATGCAATCTGCCTGGTCCCTCTCAGGCTTCCCTTCCCAGTGCCTCTGATGGCCACAGTCCTCCTTCGTGATGTGGTGTCTCAGGTGAATCTCCTTCAGTGGCTCTCCTCACCCTGGGGCCACCATGAGAGACCCCTGGGGAAACTTCTCCCTCCGTGGCTGAGGCTTCTCCTCTCTCCAGCTCAGATTTCCTCACAGGTTTCAGAGGAGCGCCTCTGCCTCTCACAAGCCCACACGGTCTCTTTTGCATCCTCTTCTTCAAGCATCTTTCTTTCTTTCTTTCTTTCTTTCTTTCTTTCTTTTTCTTTCTTTCTTTCTTTCTTTCTTTCTTTCTTTCTTTCTTTCTTTCTTTCTCTCTCTCTCTCTCTCTTTCTTTCTTTCTTTCCTTTTCTTTCTTTTTTTTCCCCAAAGCATCCATCATCTTGGGCTCTGGCAGCAGTGATAATCCTTTCTCAGGAAATCTCCCACAGTGTCCAGGACAGAGGCTGAGAGTGGAGGCCAGAGATTTATGAGAAGAGAAGACTAAGGAATAGAGGGCAATCCTAACCCAGGTCACAAACCAGGACACACCTGTCTCACCTGCCTGCATGCTCTACTACTAGGGTGGCAGGGCAGGGGCTGGACAGGCGCCTGGGCTGCGGGTGAGGCCTAGGCCTCTCCCTATCTTCACCAAGAGGTCCTGGCACCAGGAATCTGATTTGTAACAAGCAGGCCAGGTGATGCTGATGCAGGTAGGTGGCACATTGCACTTTCTGAAGTGCTCAGGCCTTGGCCACAAGAATCCTGCAAACAGCAAATCAGAATGCCCCAGTGCACTGGCAATACAGTCCTACAGCCTGCCACTTTTCAATTCCCTCCTCTTATAAATCTCTGGCCTCCACCCTCAGCTTCTCTCCTGGAGACTGTGGGAGATTTCCTGAGAAAGCCTGATCACTTCTGCCCGAGCCAAGATGAAGCTTTGTGAAAAAATATAACATGACAGTTGAAGAGGATTCAAAAGAGACCGAGAGACCCAGTATATTGAACAGGTACCCTGGGCACGTAGCTGCTTGGGAAGGTCTCATAAGGAAGAGATGGTATGGGATGAGAGAGGATTCCGGGAGGCTACCTTAGGAGGCTTACACTGGGAGTTAGGTCATGGAGGCCCAATTGTCTCATCTGCACCCTGCACTTAACAACACCCCCATTCCAAGTTGGTCATGAGCAGAGAGAAACCCCTTTGCATGAGACCTGGCACATATTATAGAAGGAACTCCATAAACTTCCATCAAATGAAGCAAAAATATCAAGAGCTTCATGAAGGGTACCATGACAAATACAACTTAAAATTATGTATTATTAGTTTTATTTTGAATAATGTGCTGTTACATTCAAGTGTATGTTTGTTTCTATTTGACAACTAAAATAGACAAGTCTGTTAAAGGAACAAAACAACACTTTCTGTTATACTGACAATGATAGGAGAATGATAGAGGTGAAACGCAATATTTTGCCAAAATCGCTCACATTTGAGAGGGCAGGAAAATTCACAAAAATTCACATAAAGAAGGGCTTCTTTGGGTGTGTGCACATACCAAGAGTCTAACCTCCAAAGGAGTTTTGCCCTGTCAGAGAGGAAGGAGAAAAATCCCTCATCTTGTTTTGGCTTGTGCAACCGGGCAGTGTTGGGATCTGGGAAAGAAAGCCTGTATTTATGCTCCGCCTTCAACTGATTTACTGTAAGTGACAAGCCAGACTGAAACGAGGAGCTCTGTCTAGCAAGGTTCCCCACCTTGCAGCTCCTGCTTGGCAAAGACTAGAGAGCATTACCTGGCAGATGGATTCCAAATGCAATCTGCAGAGTCCCTCTCAGGCTTCCCTGGAGCAAGAAGGGGAGGAACCCCGCTGATTTCATACTTCCTGGATGTGTGGCCGGCAGGCCTCCCATGTCAACAGAGGTGGTGTGAGAAGAAGCCAGATGAACCACAGATAAACTGCAATTGGGATCGTTTACTCCTGAGAAATTAAAAAAATGTATGCATGTTATAGCTATCTCAGTGATAATGTATACTTTCAAGTCACAGCTCAATTAATGAGAGTCTCTCTGAGTGAAAGGTTCTGTGTTTTAGGGGTTGGGAGACATAAAACTGGAAAGAGAAATATTTTTGTTTCTTTGTCTACTCTTAAGCCTGAAGTATACTTGGCCACATAATCATCTACTCCACCAAAAAATAGATTTGCAGCATTTTGCTTCTCCATGTCCTTACAGCTTCATCTGCCTTCCTTCGTGGTTCTCTAGAGAAATAAGTCTTTTAATCACTTATCCATGTATTTAAGCAGACATTTATTTTTTCCCTCATTTCTTCATTTACATAACACATATCCATGGAGCCAGGTTTGTGTGAGCTGCACAAAATACATTGATGAGCAAGGGAAGCATCGGGCCAGTGCCTCTCTGTCCTTATTTTGTTAAAGGAGATGGACAATTGAGTAAGTGATGTAATTCAACCTGAAAAGTGAAAAGACATAAAATCAAGTGCAGTGTTCTACAGAAAGCTCAAACAAGAGCATCAAGCCCAGTGGAATGCAGGCAGGGCGCGTGGCATGGATGGAAGCATTTTGGAGAAATGGACAAATAAGGTAAGACTCGAGGGACAAGTTTGCAGTAGATGCTAGCCAGTCTGTAGACAAAGAGAATGGCAAATACCTATCCTCAGCTTCTGAGCAACTAAAACAAGTTCACCATGTGGCAGCAAGCCTGGCCTACAGAGACAAAGCCAAGAAGCTGAATGGGAGCCACACAGCAAAGGCCTGAAGGCTCCCATAAATCTAATGAAGGAGTTTGGACTGAGGGTCGTGGGGAGTTTTTAAGGGTCTGAAGCTGGAGCACGGCTTGGTCAGGTTTGCATTTGGAAGGTCACTGTACAGCACAGGAAAGGTAGGCAGCAAAGCAAGAGGCGGTCTCAAGGGTCTGGAGAGAGGATCTGCCTGCAACCTGAACAAGAGGGTGGCACAGAGATGTCAAGAAATAAAGGAGAGCAGGAGTGGGAGCCGGGAGGAGAGCCTTCACACATGCCAGAGGCTCTGCTGCCTGCGGAAGCAGAGGATGGAAGGAGGCTGGGTTGGAGAGCTTCCAACAGCAGCATTTCTCAGCCAGTCTTGGCCAGGCTGCAGGGTGTCCTGGAGCAAAAAGAAGCCCATTAGAGGAATCCTACGGGGCATGGACATTGCTGGGAGCAACCAGGGAGGGAGCAACCAGGGAGGGGATGGTCTGAGCGTGAGCCCACAGCACACTGAGGCCTGGCAGCAGCTGAGGGCAGCTACTCGGCTCCCAGCAGTGGTCATCTCCTGCGGGGGGCAGTGAGATAGGAGTGGTGAGCTTGCTTCCATGGCTGTCTTCATGACACCTGGGTCTCATCCCTGCCTTGGGCACCGGGGGAGGAGTGGTGCCATTTATGGAGAAGGAGGATAATAAAGAAAAGGCACATTTTTCAGGGGACAGAGAAGTTGCTAATGAGCTCAAATTGGGCTGTGTTGAGTTTGGGGATGCCTTTGAGAGCAGAAGGTGAGCGGGCAAGTAGAACCATGCACAGGGAACCCAGGAAGAGAGGTCCGGGCTGGGAAGACATTGTGGGGAAGCGTGTTATGAGTAAAGTGGGATTGCGGAGGGAGAAGAAAAGCCAGAGGCAGAATGGGTAAGGAGATCTTCATTTAAAGACTGAGCAGAAAACAAAAAAGCAATAAAGTGACCTGAGAAGAAGGCCCTAGATAAGCAGGCCATAGTCAAAAGGAAGAGTGGAAACACCGGCCAAATGTTCACAGCAGCCAAGAACAATAAGGATTTTAAAGTACCCTTTGGATTTGGACACGCAGAGAAAGCTCCAACACTTTGGCAAGAGTGTCTCAGGGCGGGGATAGAAGTGAGACGTCAGGTGAGGAAGAAAGAGCAGAGTGTGTAAACATGTCTGAGAAGCTGACGAGAGAGAATGTGGTGACTAGAAGGGAATGTGTTTTGGGGACTTTGAGGTTTGAGTTTTTTTCTTTCATGTTTGCTGACACTTGAGATATGTGCTTAATGGCAGGAAGGAACCAGTATGCAGGGAAAGGCTGAAGATTATAGAAAAGGAAGATAAAAGTGAATCCAGAAAGGTGCCAGGAAGGGTGGAGCTTGGACCCAGATAGAAGAATTAGCCCCAGCCGGGAAGAGAGATGCTGTTTCCACTGCAAGAGCAAAAGAAGCCCAAAGGGAAAAAAAGTTTTCCATCTTTGGGAAAATAGGTGGATAGAAATTGCACCTTATGGTTTCCAAGTACTGTGACACACCCGAAATGATCTGTTGACAATGGGGAGATAGGTGGCCAGCTCTACAGGTGGGCAGAATTAGGGATGTTTTTGCAAGGTTACCATGGACACAGAAGTGAGAGCCATCCGGGGACTCCTGGGAGATGGCCAGCAGCTGTGAGGACCAGCCACCAGTCTGCACAGGAGATAGAGTCCTGCTCCCTGGATGTGGAGTTCTGCGAACATTTCCTTTGATAATAGTGATAATTTAAGAAAAGTCAAACTCTCCATAGTACCATAAAATCATGTGTTCAAACTTGCTATTTGATCCAATCTCCTACCCTTATTTCTAATGAATAGAAATACATTTACATGCTTGTGAAACTGTAGCATGAGGTTTTGAAACTGGCTAAACTACCTCTGAAGTCTTTTAAGGCAACATCAGGGAGATGTTGGACGCCCCTTAATAATACATATTGCAAAGTCCTGTCCCTGAATCACCTTAGCTGCTAAGACACCAACTGGGTAACTCTCTTTATGCACTGTACATTGCAAGTCTTAGGCATTCATTAGTTTTGCATTAATTAATGAACCTAACATGTATTTATCACATCTAGGCATTGAGGTGACAGGAGTGGGAGAGAAGTCGGGAGGCAAGAATACAAAGTCACAACTCAACACTTAACCTAAAGGAGAAGCACCTGCGCCACTGTTGAAGAGAATCAAGTGACAAGGTCACCAGTAGCAGCCACCACGCCTTGGTGCTGAGACCTAGAAAGGATTCTCTGGCACATGGAGGACTCTGAAAGTCAGTTTACAAATGCTGATTTGTACCAGCCCCCGTATCGTGCTCCAGCATGTGCTCCTTGGAGGGGAAAGTTACACTTGCTTAAGGAGCCATATTCCAAAATAAGGGTTGGACGCTTGCTACCAGCAGAAAGATTTTCAACTGCCAAGGCCTCTGAGCCCTGCTGTGAGGGCATGAGGCTTAGAGAGAACTTCCATGGGAGAAGATACTATAGACTAAGAGATATGCATTTAAAAGAATACAGCCAAAAACATTCTTCATATTTCATATTTACATTTGTGAACCACAGGGCTCGGCGCGGTGGCTTACACATGCAATCCCAGCACTTTGGGAGGCCAAGGCAAGTGGGTCACTTGAGACCAGGATTTCAAGACCAGCGTGGCCAACATAGCAAAACCCTGTCTCTACTAAAAATACAAAAATTAGCTGGGTGTGGTGGTGCACACCTGTAATCCCGTCACTCAGGAGGCTGAGGCATGAGAATCACTTGAATCCGGGAGGCAGAGGTTGCAGTGAGCCAAGATTGCACCACTGCACTCCAGCCTGGGCAACAGAGTGAGATTCTCTCATAAAAAAAGATTTTAAAAAATAATAAATTTGTGAGCCATTCCATGTGATTTATCATCGGCTCTGAACACTCATAATTGATCCTTTACTCTGATGTAATATGCTCTTAAAGACAGATTTTCTGAGTTTTTAAAAATTTAACACAAATTCTTAATATTTGTCCTTAAATATTGAATACTAGATTATGTTGGAATATTACTCAAGAACACCTCAGTGTCAAAAATGTTTTAAAATGTGATAATAGTGCATATTTGAAAGGTAGCTAGCAATAACATTCAGCACGCTCCATTCAAGGAGAGTGAAAGCTGCATGTTTTAAGGGAAAGGTGGAGCCTCGCCACTGACAAATGGCCGTTCCCTCTAATGTGATTGTAATATTTACCTTCCTCACCCCTACTCATTTTTTTTCATCCCCAAAGGCATCCAAGTGCGTAGTCAGTGTATCAGGTGAGGTTTAGACGTTAACTTTTTTTTTTTCAAAGTTAAAAGAAGTATTAGGAAGATCAGAGAAATGAACGGAAAGAAAATAAAAGCAAGACTATAGATTTATATGGTATGTCCCACAGAAAGTCAATTGCTACCCTTTGATAATTGCATGTGGCACTAAACAGGCCCTTCTATACTCACTTCCATTTCCTCCTCGGCCACGCCCTGTGAACTGGGGATATTACTCCCATTTGACAGATAAGAAGACCAGGCTCACTCGGCCAGACTAAGCAGCACCTTGCGGCAGAACGTACATTTGTTTGACAGCATCAACCACCATTCTTCTGCAACAGCGTGCTGTCTCCTTTATCTCAGCTTATTGACTTCTCCAAACATGCTCGTCAATTAAGAATAGCTCTCCTTTTTTCAGCGACGACCTGAATACATTCATTCTCAACCTTTAATATTCGGTTTAATCACAGCCTTCCCTGGAAGCCTTCTTGGGTTGCTCCTGCCCTCCCGGGCTAATCAAATCTCTCCCAGCTGCTTTGCATCCACCTCGGTTGCAGCTTTATCCACACTGTGGTGAAATTAATTAGTTTCTGTGTCTGTCTACTATTTCATGCTGCTTACAAGCCTTTTGTGGACATTTGCAGACTGAAAGATTGATGAAAACAATGAATGAATGAATATATTTATTTTGAAATAAAATGTACAGAATTCAGTAAGTATAAAAATTTGAGAAAAATTTCTTTACAAGTGAATTACTAGAGGCCACTGCAGAAACGGCTTGTCTAATTATGGTTGCAAAGCACAATGAGAAAGGACTCTTGAGGTGGCATTTATTTATAAATGGATCCTCAAGCAAATTCTAAAGTACAGTGGCCTCTGCAATAATAAGCCCCTGCTTACGATTATCCTGAGCAGTTCACTTTAGGGGCCTGGCTGGTTTTATAATGTAAAACTGAGAAAGCAATGAGCCGAGTTTTCATCCCTAAATCCAGCTGATAATTTTATCCAGATGTTGCTTTCCCCTCTTGCTAAAAGTCCAGATTCCATATTGTTTGATGAATGTTTGGTGAATGTTGCCTAATTGTGTAATGCAAATGCATGCTGTGAGTAAAAGTGGGTCATTAGCTTGAGTAAATCTTCAAACCCCCAAAGTATCTAAAGAAGGCAAAAAAAAAAATGGCATGCCCATATTTAAGACAAGATTTCAAAGACTGCATTTTCCTGTAAAAGTCAAAATTGGCCATCAGGATAACAAAATACCCCATCTGCCAAATTTGTATTAAATTGATGAGGTCATTTCTAAGGAAGTACCAGGTAAATTTTTAGCTAATCTTAGTTTGATAACAGTGATCCAATATTGAGCCTTTAGAAGTCTGAGTAATGGGCCCTGGATTCTTCTGTGCGAGGCTAATGGGCACTTATACGCTAATGTTTCTGTAGCACTTACTGTACACTGTGCATGAGCGGTGGGACCATAAAACCCTGCTGCTGTTTTCCTGCTCCTGGAAATAAATGTTCCTTTTAGGGAAAACTCTTATATTTTTAATGTCTAGCACCACACAGTTATACCTTATTAGTGCGTAATAATGGCTAGTCATTCTAACATGAATATTTCTTCAACAAAAATTGTTATAGGAGCTAGGAGTTTCTCTCTTTTTAAAAAAAAAAAATCACAATATTGTTTCTCCGTTTCTACAAAAAGTGAACAGATGCCTGGCTTGTTTTTGCAAAGTTGCCACTTTCTCATGCACAAAAGGAAAAAAAAAAAAGAAAAGCAAATTTACATTTCCTAGAAGTTCACCACAGAGACAAGGCGATCATGTAGAGTAAGAAAGATAGCTTTTTAAGTAGCCTTGTTAAACACACACACACACACACACACACACACACAGGCACACGTGACCATGCCAGAAATTCAAAGGATCCATGCTAAGCAGTCTACATTTTGCCCTAAAATCTTTGAAGAAAATGAGCACTCTAGTTGTCGCAGGGAAGCCCTCGGAGAACCCTGATTTAGTGTAGTTCCTCTCTCCAGAGAGTCTCCTACCTCCTGAGTCATAGGCCTGGATTTTCATGAAGAAAGTGGAGGGCCCACTGTGACTATCGCCACACCCAGGAAGGGAGCACATTGACTTGATAATAATATTTCAGCTGTTCCAATTTCCGAGGACAACCGCCTGTCTTTTCCCAGCATCAATATCTAAAATATTCACCCCAGTTACAAAATACTCTAAGACTTGCACACGGAAAAGCAAAAAACAAACAAACAAACAAAAAAAAAACAAACAAACGGTTTAAAAAAAAACTAACACTAAACAGAAAGGAGGAGAAGAATCCACTGCCGTAAGACAAACACCTCTAGGTTTTCAGTCCAACGGGCTCCCGGGCACTTCCTTTCCCAGTCGCTTGGTGGGAGCACTGAGGAACTTGGTGAATGCTCCTTTTAGGTACTGAGTGCTCAGTTTCCTCATCTGCCCTCTCTTGTTCACCTACAAACTGGTGTTGGCAGTTTTGGGGGTGTATTTACAACTGGGCCAAGTGACTGCAATGAAAGGAACATCTAGATAAGGGCTACTGCCGCGTCTGATACATGTCACTGCATCGACATGCATCCAGTTGTTCTTCCTGAGGAAAAGCCACGCCAGCAGCACAGTGATGGAGCCACCCAGGACTGCTAGGGGTGCAGGCCGTCATGACAAAGGACACTTCCAGGGCAGATGCCACAGATTCCCAGTCACACCTGGGCTGGATCACCTCCAGCCAGACCCTGGCTAACAGGGAACAGTGAGTCCCAGAGCCTGGGACCTGCACACCAGGCCACACTGGACTTTGTAAGGGTCAAGTGGCAGCAGGGTCCTTCTCCCACCCGACACTCCCATGGCTGGCAGAAAGAACAGACACAGCTGCGTCCCCAAGCCCGTGGCAGGGCACTGTGAGGGCCCAGGGGCAGGCCAGGTGCCTCGAGCTGGGAGTGGGAGTGGGGAGGTCCAGATAAAATCACTTGGATTATTACACAAGCAGCATTGATGTGGAACGGCTTGTTTCCTGGGCTTACAGCACTCACACCTGCCCCACACCTGCCCGCCACATTCTTGGACATTACAAGTCCCCACACCTGCCCTCCACATTCGTGGCTGCTCTAAGAGCTTGCAGAGGGTTCTCCATCCTTGCCGGATGAAATATCCAGCTTTCCCCTTCACTTTCTCTAGTCCCTGCTTACAAACCGACGCAGGCCCCCCATTGCCTCCCAGACCCATTCGACTCAGAATGTGCTGTCACTTCTGGCCATCCTTCCGGACCTAGCTGCTGCTCTCCTCTGTCTGAGCTCTGCTGAGCCAGTGACATTCACAAAGCCTGTCTGGCCCCTCATGCACCTGCACTTCCCATGCTTGGGGTCAAGGAAGCCCCTCTGTAAGTGGAGAAGGCTCTGTAAGTGGAGAAGTCAAGGAAGCCCCTCTCATCCTTCTGGACGTCTTCCCTGGACAGAATCCAAGCCTCCCTGTATCAGTTTGCTAGGATTCCACATCACAGTAGCATAGACCTAGGGGCTTAAACAACAGAAAAGTGTTGTCTAGCAATTCTGGAGGCTGGAAGTCTGAGATCGAGGGGTCAGCAGTGTTGATTCCTTCTGAGGCTGTGAGAGGGACTCTGTTCCCAGCCTCTCTTCCACCTTCTGGTGGTTTGCCGGCAACCTTTGGTGGTCTTTGGTGTGTGCAAGGACCATTCCGGTCTCTGCCGTCACCTTCACATGGCGTCCTCCCTGTGCGTGTGTCTGTGTCCAGATTTCCTCTTTCCATAAAGACACCAGTCATATTGGTTTAGGGGATAAAACTTAATGACCTCATGTTAACTTGATCACTTCAAAGCCCCTGTTTTCAGATAAGGCCACATTCACTGAGAGTAAGAACTTATCTTTTAAGGGGGACGTACTGAAGCCCATAAATTCTACCTTTTATTCTTTTTTTATTATATTTTAAGTTCTGGGATATGTGTGCAGAACATGCAGGTTTGTTACATGGGTATACATGTGCCACGGTGGTTTGTTGCACCCATCAACCCGTCATCTACATTAGGTATTTCTAATGCTATCCCTCCCCTAGCCCCCCCACCCCGCAACAGGCCCCCGTGTGTGATGTTTCCCTCCCTGTGTCCATGTGTTCTCATTGTTCAACTCCCACTTATGAGTGAGATCATGCAGTGTTTGGTTTTCTGCTCCTGTGTTCGTTTGCTGAGAATGATAGTTTCTAGTTTCATCCGTGCCCCTGCAAAGGACATGAACTCATCCTTTTTTTATGGCTGCATAGTATTCCATGGTATATATGTGCCACATTTTCTTTATCCAGTCTATCATTGATGGGCATTTGGGTTGGTTTCAAGTCCTTACTATTGTGAATAGTGGTACAATAAACATACGTGTGCATGTATCTTCATAGTAGAATGACTTATAATCCTTTGGCTATATACCCAGTAATGGGATTGCTGGGTCAAATGGTATTTCTGGTTCTAGATCCTTGAGGAATTGTCACATTGTCTTCCACAATGGTTGAACTAATTTACACTCCCACCAACAGTGTAAAAGCATTCCTATTTCTCCACATCCTCTCCAGCAACTGTCGTTTCCTGACTTTTTAATGATTGCCATTTTAACAAGGTTGGAGGTTAGAGATGGTGTCTCATTGTGGTTTTGATTTGCATTTCTCTAATGACCAGTGATGATGAGCTTTTTTTCACGTTTGTTGGCCACATAAATGTCTTCTTTTGAGAAGTGTCTGTTCATATCCTTTGTCCACTTTTTGATGGGGTTGTTTGTTTTTTTCTTGTAAATTTGTTTAAGTTCCTTGTAGATTCTGGATATTAGCCCTTTGTCAGAGGGAAAGATGGCAAAAATTTTCTACCATTCTGTAGGTTGCCTGTTCACCCTGATGATAGTTTCTTTTGCTCTGCAGAAGCTCTTTAGTTTACTTGGATCTCATTGGTCAATTTTGGCTTTTGTTGCCATTGCTTTTGGTGTTTTAGTCATGAAGTCTTTGCCCATGCCTATGTCCTGAATGGTATTGCCTAGGTTTTCTTCTAGGGTTTTTATGGTTTTAGGTCTTATGCTTAAGTCTTTAATCCATCCTGAGTTAATTTTTGTATAAGGTGTAAGGAAGGGGTCCAGTTTCCGTTTTCTGCATATGGCTAGCCAGTTCTCCCAACACCATTTATTAAATAGGGAATCCTTTCTGCATTGCTTGTTTTTGTCAGGTTTGTCCAAGATGAGATGGTTGTAGATGTGTGGCATTATTTCCGATGCCTCTGTTCTGTTCCATTGGTCTATATATCTGTTTTGGTACAAGTAACATGCTGTTTGGGTTATTGTAGCCTAGTAGCATAATTTGAAGTCAGTCTACCTTTTATTCTTTCAGGTGCTATACTCATCCTACCTGGGCATCCCCACGTCCTCCCTCCTCGTGACTCAGATCATCATGTTTAATTCTGCTACGCCCAGGCTCACAGAACATGGAGTTGTTTCATTTTGTGATTCCTGCCCCACTTCTCCGTGCACCCTCCAAGGGCTGGAACAGCCAGGACATGTGTGCCCTACACAGGGGCTACAGGTAGGTATGCAAAAGAAAAAATAATTGTTAAATCCACCTATTGTTTTGAGTTCTTCTGATCTTCAACTCAATGTTATCTCCCTTCTAAGATTGTAAACACCTTCAGGGAGGGATCCTCATCCTCAGCTTTTCTCCCATGTCCCACAGTACTGAGCTAGACATGGACACTGGAGGAAGCCAGAAAAACAGGATTTTTCCCATAAACAGACCCAAGGGGATGCTGGATCTACCTTTATGCTCATTCTGCAAAAGTTTCTCAAGGAAACAGGGTGCATTATTTCAGGACCATGACTGCATCTTTCATAGAAACGAGGGAGAGAAGCCCCAGTGACTAGCCTGATTTCTCCTAAAGTTCACTGGCCTCTGAGAATAGAATTTTCCTTTCTGGGACTTCTCAGAAAGCACCCTGCATCCAAAAGCACAGAGTAGGTATTTTTCTAACTATATTTGTCTTGCTAATCCCTTGACCCTTCAAGTGAATCTTCAGTAAACAATTTTTAGCATTTAAACAAAAGTAGCCAGTGTCACTAAGTAATTTTAGGCCAACTCTCCAAGACAGAGCATGTGACTCTGGGAGAAAAAGGCGTTTCCTGGCTTTAATGAGTAAGTTGTCTGTTTTCAACAAACTTTCATCTCAAGTTTCAAGGTGTGCTTGAGATTGAAATGACAAACATCCTGTACTTTGTCCTATGGCTACACCTTCTAATGGAGACAGGCACAACACAACACAAGCAGATGCTTTCTTTATCTGGCCCAGGGAAATGTCACAAACGGGCACTTCCTGCTGTTGCCGTGCACGTGGAATTGTTTAGAAAGCATCATTCCTGGCTCGGAGCAGTGGCTCACGCTTATAATCCTAGCACTTTGGGAGGCTGAGGTGAGCGATCACCTGAGGTCGGGAGTTCAAGACCAGCCTGACCAACATGGAGAAATATCATCTCTACTTAAAAAAAAAAAAAAAAATTAGCCAGGCGAGGTGGTGCATGCCTGTGATCCCAGCTACTTGGGAGGCTGAGGCAGAGGAATAGCTTGAACCCCGGAGGCGGAGGTTGCGGTGAGCCAAGATTGCACAATTGCACTCCAGCCTGGGCAACAAGAGCGAAACTCCATCTAAAAAAAGAAAAAAGAAAGAAAGAAAGTAAAAAATTATTACTCCTGGTCCCAGTCCCTGGTCACCACAGCTGTGGCTTTCACATCCAGTGTACATCCTTCCTCAGACTTACACCTCCTAGGGGAGGAGGAAACAGGGAACCAGGAAATGGAAACATGGTTCCATGATTGTTATTTTTAAGTAAAAATGATATTGCGATATAATTCAGACCATAACATTCACCCTTTTAAAGCATACAAGTCAGTGGTTCTCAGTATATTTCAGTAAATATAGGGCACAGGAACAGTTTTAGAATGCTTTAGAATATGTTAATACCCCAAAAGAAGCCCTGAACCCATTAGCAGTCCCTCCCTATCTCTGTCCCTGGCAACTGCTAATCTACTTTCTGTTTCTGTGGATAAAGAGGAAGATTAGCTTGAGAGATCAGCTTGTATATTTAATGCTATGCTCAGTAAACAAGGACAAAATACAAAAACCTGGCACTAATTCAGTTTAATTTTCTAAGAAACTCATTCTGTGTTATTTTAAAAAATGTGATTTCATTACGACTGATGAATTTAAAGTCCTGGTACTGATGGACAAGCCACTGGGCAGAGGTGAAAGAAAGCTTTGAAACCTTCTCCTTAGCCATTGGGGTGTGATCTGGCCCCACGCAGCTGGGAGCTGTTACCACCCATTGCATCTGTAACTGACTAGAGGATGGTTCTTAGGAAAGATCATCAGTGGAGCATAGTGAAATCAACAGCAGATTCTGTTTGTTAGATGGTGTTGGGTTCACAAGGCTCTGCTCTTCCATCAACCTTCGTAAGGGAGCTGCATCCTGACTGATTAATCTTTCCAGTGATAACAGAGTTTGGGCAGGCCAACCCCTTAAGAGGTGAGCTAGAGGGCAGGACCTGAATTTCCAGTTTCTTTGAGCATTCACTGGCCTGCATTGTGCTGACTTAGGTAAGTAACACATAAATATTTTCTGATGATGGCCCTGGCATGTAAAAATCACAGTTCAAAATGACTTGGGGATACTGCAGCCACTCACATATCCATTGTTTTATTCAATACATATTGATGATTGTCATGAAATTACACTGGCAACAGATGCTCAGGAGACAAACATACCAAGTAGACATGGATCCCATCCACAATTACTTCACAGTTACTTCTGAATATCTGTAGAGTGGGGGAGAGAGAAGGCACTCTTAACCAACGCAATATTAGACGTCAAAAGTGAGACAGGCCAGAAACTCAGTCCTGGGAGGAACAATAGAATAAAAGTAAAAAGAAATTATTTCCACCAACCTGAGCAGCTATATGAATATCTGCCCTTTACCAGACACATGTGTGAGCACGCATAACACTCACATACACACACTCTCATATGCACTCACAAACTCATTCAGACACAATCAAGAATTGCCTAGTTATTACTGAGCACTGGCTACTCATCAAATCTCTACTAATAATTTTATGTTTATATTTTCCTAATGTCTGCCATTACCTTAAAAGGTAGGAATATCATTATCCCTTTTTTTCTCAAGGAAACTGACAAACTCCAATCATTGTCTAGCTAGCAAAAGGACGGTATGAACCCAGATTTGTCTGATTTTAAATCCATGTTCTCATCCTATAAGTGAAGTGGGCTTTCTGACTCATGGAAGAAGAATCAGCAGGGCGAGCTCTCAGAACAAGCAGTGTTCTGCTGTGTGAAGATGAGAAGGGCATCTATCCAGGTGGAAGGAAGAGAGAGTAAAGCCCTGGGGGATGAGAGGATGGGGAAGGGGAGTGAACCTGTTAAGCCCTATGCTGCAGAACTGGAATTTCAGCTCAAATCTGCAGACACAAAAGCCACTGTGCTTAACTCCCTCAATGCCTCCCATAAGTAGCAGAAACTATATACACTTCACATTTATTGCAAGGGTTTATAGCATTCGGGGCACATGAAAGGCTTCCAAAGCCAAGCAAAACCCTAGCAGGGGCACAAACAGAACATCCCTGTGGTAACCATGAGCTTATCTTCTTGTTTAATGAACACAATCCAGGCCTTGCCCTGTCCAGCCCACACTCCAGGCCCAGGAACCATAGGGAGGAAGTACAGAAGAACCGTGGGCTCCATCGGAGAGCCAGGTATGAGGCTTCTGAGGAGGCCTCCAGGACGGGCAGTCACTCATCCTGCCGAGAACAAGCTGAAGGAAAGTGTAATGAGTCTTCAAGAAAAGAAAGCTCATGTGCTCAGAAGATTACGGTTGGATCAACTAATTTCTGAAGACTTAGTAGATCGCAGCACTTTAAAACAACTCAACCTCCAGAGGCAGCAGTGAATGACTTTCAACCCGTGTCCTTAGGCCTGGATGATTAAGAGCAGGAACGCTGGACCCAGAAGACCTGGGTTTAAATCCCATCTGCAGAAAGTGGAGAATACGACTAGAGCTGTGAGGATCAGGAACATGGATCCATGGGAGATGAGGAGAGCAGGGCGGGCACACATGGAGCCTGGCCACTATCTGTTTTTCTCTTCCTGGGACCGTGGCTCAGTTCTTCTCTTCCCGGGACTTCCCAGACCACCGAGCTTAGAACCTGAAGCCTGTGCTCCCCATGGGCTGGCTCAGACAATGGGGGTTCTCAGAATAGGATGTGACTCTCCAAAGGGCATGTGAAAGCTTATCTGTAAATATCCAAAGACATGGTAAGTTTTCAATAGTTGATAAGTATTAATCTATAACATGGCCCAGGGATAGGCTAATAGATTCTGCAGACACCTTGCAAATCACTGATTCTCTTAAATGCCATTTCAAATGAGCTGAAAGCAAATTATACTGCTGGTTATAATCTAATATTGGGAGGAAAGAGTGCTTAGATGCACCAATTACACTATTTTCCCTAAAAAAAATCAATCATCTCACTATTCTTTGTCCATCCATCATCCATTCATTGATTTAATAAATAATGCTGAGGACAATATTCACATCTGCTACGCAGCATAGATTATAAAAAGGATAAATATGATGGTGTTTTGAGGCCACATGCAATTTTATAAGGGACATTTTATACAATTATTAATGTAAAGAGACTTAAAAATAAGTCACTTGCAAAAGAATAAAATTACAATGTATAGTTTATTTTTTCCTAAGATGGTGAACTTGAATCTAGTCAAGCTTTTAGTTAAGTCAATTTCAGTTTATAGGTGTTACAGTCTGTAGGATATACGGGGGACAAAGGAACAAGGTAAGCAACACTGACCTGGAACATTCTACAGGACTGCTGACCTGCTCTCTTCCACAAATCAGTGGCCTGAGAAGAACCATTCTAGATGAAAAGAGATGAAGGGACATGACCATGTTCGATTCATGATTCTGAAGGGGATGCCGTTTTCACAGACTGTGCAGAATATTACAGTGACAAATGGGGCCCTGAGGGATGCTGCTATGAAAGTTTAGATTTACTTCCCTTTTAAACTATGTGCATACACTTAAATAAAATAAAAAGTAAATTTTAAATTGTGAGTGAAGCAGTGTCTGTAGTATATGCTAAGAATTCAGAGGAGAGAGAGTTAATGGAAGATAAAACTATCAGGCAAGACAAAATAGAGCACAAAAAGCATACATTGGGCCTGCAGAAAGGAGAATTGGTTGTACACGAGGAAGACCTTTCAGTGTGTTGTGGGTCTTTCCTGGGTGAGAGGTTTAATTTAACTTGAATGCAGCTCAATCAATACTTACCGAACCACGTATTTTATGCACCATATTGTGTGTATGTGAAATATTCAGTACAGTGCCTGCCCAATGAGAACATCTAAATGTTGATAGACACTCATTATCAAATTTGCAATTTCCCTTTAATAAAAACATTTATACAAGAGAAACTTACCACCTCCTCTTCCAAGAAATGAAGCCAAATGGTTACTAGCCTAATGATTCCTAGCACATATTCTGGTTCCAGAATGCCTGGTTTTGAATCTCTCCTCTTTACCCACTGGCTTAGTAATCTTGGATGAGCTACTTACAGTTTCTGTGCCTCAGTTTATTCATGCCATGGTAACAGCAGTGCTTACCTCATAGGGTTGTAGTGAGTATGACATGACTTACTCTATGAAAAGTACTTAGAACACTGCCTGGCACATGGAAAGTTCTAAGGCAACTGTAAATGCCATGAATTTAAAATAATAAAAAGGGTAGAGGTTGGGAGGAAGGAGAGGATCAGGAAAAATAACAAAAGGGTACTAGGCTTAATACCTGGATAATAAAATAATCTGTACAAGCCCCCATGACACAAGCTTACCTATATAACAAACGTGCACATGAACCCCTGAACTCAAAATAAATGTCAAATTAAAAATAAAATAAAATAATGAAAAATAACCAGTACTATCTAACATCAAATTCACTTTAATACTTTAAGGGGGATAAACAATGTATTTACAATGCTTAACTCTGGATTGAAGAATTACATGTGATTTTCATTTTTTCTGTATGCTTGTTGATGTTTTCTCAATGTACTGCAATTAATAAGCAACACTTCTACAAGGAGAACAGAGTAATGCAAATTTTATTAGACCTTTAGCTATAAGGAATATGTTATTTGTGAATATATTTAAAGATTTAGAGCAATTAGCATATATTTTTCTATATGAATCACAAAACATGCTGCCATTATTCCCATTATAACAGTGAAAATAACGAGTGAGGGGCCGGAAGGGTTAAATTTATTTTCTAAGGCCTCAGAAACGGTATTGGAGTTGGTCTTTGGAGTGGCCAAAGTTTTTTCCCTTTGCTTCTAATTTGCAATGAAAGATATAGAAAATCAATGTACAGACCTTCTCAGTGATATTTCACAGCCCCTTTAGATATTTGTAGTATGCTAATATGTCCATGAGCGCTCAGAATTTTCAAGTCTGTGTCAACAGGAGCCGTCAGTGTTTGGGAAGGAGGCAGCCCCAGCTCCTGCCCACGCCCTCTGCTTTCTTATGCATGCTTCCCCTCTAATTCTGAAAACCATGACAAAGCCAGGAGGGCTTAGGCGGTGCAGGGGTCCTCTGGGCCAATTCAAATGCCTGCGACCCAGTTTTCAGTTGTAGGATGCCTGCAAAATGTGGAGAAAATGCCCATGGCTGGGTGGCAACGGCTTTAAGCTGAGCTCCGCCAGATCCTACATGTAAGATCTGCAGTCACTCTTTTCCGTCTCCTTCATGAGGTCCTTCCCACCTCGAAAGCCATGCTATTGTCTAAGCTTGGTTCTCTCCGAGGAGAAAAGTAAGAGAAGGACTTGGCTAATGATTGGTAGCTGATCCATTAGGGACTGTGACACACACCTTCCCTTCCTGTGAAACCGGAGCCAGGGTCTCCATGGATGCCACAGGGCCCGCAGAGCTCTGCAGGAAGGAGGGCGGGGTGTCCGGGTCCCCCCGACACCCGCCCAACACGGACGCTGGCACGTCGCTCTGCTGCCCCCAGTTTCCCTTGCAGTTTCGCTAACTTGATACTCCCTTTCGCCTCCTAAATTGTTGTTTTACATTTCTACATTCCCTAGCTGACGTGATTGTTCCCTGCGACTCAAGTGGGAATTCTCTGAATGCTGATGGAGGAAAAACGAAAGGACTGAGGACTCCTGGGGGAAAGAGACTTAAGTCCATACCACATAAAAGACATTGTTTAAAAGGGGGTGAAGGTAAAAATATAACCAAGAATTTGGTTTTTTCCTTAAATCACTGGAATACTCTATTACTCATTACTAGATGGACAATTTACATTGACCACTTTACTCTTTTAGTATGGAAAATATTTGTACTCTCTCTAGCACTGTAGGATCATGCAAAAATGGAGGCCAGGAATAAGATTCTTTACATATATATTAATACCTTTTCCTTTAGTAGTACTCCTTTTAAAAATTGTTCACACCTAGCAGAGCACAGCGGCTCACGCCTGCAATTCCAGGATTTTGGGAGGCTGAGTCAGGAGGATCACTTGAGCCCAGGAGTTTGAGACCAGCCTGGGCAATGTAGAAAAACCCCATCTCTACAAAAAGATTAAAAGTTAGCCAGGAGTGGTGGTGAGTCCCTGTAGTTCCAGCTATGAGGGAGGCTGACGTGGGAGGACTGCTTGAGCCAGGAGGGTCAGCTGCAGTGTAGAGGCACCACTACACTCCAGCCTGGGCAACAGAGTGAGACCCTGTCTCAAAAACACCCATCATGCACACCTATATTATCTTGTTCAGGTGCCACAGCATGTCCTGAGATTAGAGTAGTGAGAAGCCCAACAATGGGAAATCCTTACTCTGTGTCAGACATCAGGCTCAGAATTTTGTATTTTTTATCTTCTTTAATCCTCACAAGAACCTGCTGGGAGACAGTCTGTTATTCACTTTTCACAGATGAGGAAACTGAGGCAGAGGGAGGCTTAGTAACTTGCCCAAGGGCCAAGTAGTGTCAGCAGGATTCAAACCTGGACTTCTCTTTCTAGGCCTAGAGCCTTAAATCTTAATCACTCCACCACAAATAACTGCACATAAGGAGGTTGAGGCCCAGAATAGCTTAAATGATTAGCTAGGGACCACAGAGCAGGACCCAGGCCTTCCAAACTGCAAAGTAATGTGTTTCACACACAGGCACACACACTTGCACATACACACCTGCACACACACACACACACACAATCCATCCCTCCTCTGACTTACCGGATACACTACACCACTTTATAAAATAGTTGATGCAGTTTGTTATTAACATTTTGGGCTGGAATCTCCACGGCTGCACACAGTGTAGTTGGGCGGACTGGAGAAGCTTAACACAGAAGGTGCCATGCACCAACTTCATGCAGCAAACATTTGCTGAGCGCCAATCATCTGATAGGCCTAACGTGAGGTGCTAGGAACACTGAGATTAATGAGACAGGGCCACAGCCTCCAAAAAAGTAGTTTAAACAGAAGGGACATGAACCCTGTAATCAATGTAAGCAGTTGTACAAACACATAAACACAAGTGATGAATGCAGTTGCAGAGGACCTAAGTCCAAGGGTTAAGACTGCCAGAGGGTAGCCAGGTTGCCCATAGATGGTCAGCAGCAAGCCTGCCTGCTGTTCTCTTGATTTAGGGTCGAGCTGCCTCTGAAGGAATCCCCTTGTGCTTAGGTGGCTTGCAGGAAACCCTCTGTGGAGCACTGAGTACCAAGAGCCATTAGGCATGGGCCACCCCTCTTGCCCGGATACCCGTACGCTCCATGCAGAACAGCCAGGAGCTCCGATTAACCCCTGGGCAGCGCAACTCTTGATGCACCCAGGCCTGGCAGCTTAAAAATCAGCACTCAGACCAGCCAGACAGCACACTTCCCCATCACAAACAGCTCCTAAATCTGATTCTAAGACGTTATTCTCAGCGTCGACCTAATTGGATGATCTCATTCATAGATTTATACTTAAGGATATCTTCTAAATGGCTCATGAACAGCTGTGTTGGCCAAATCGGAATGGAGAGAGCTTGGGCTGAAGAGACCTGGGCACAACGTCATTTACTTACTGAGTGTCCTCAAGCTACTCATTTAGCTCTTCTGTTCCTTGGTTCTCTTACCTGGAATATCAGAATATTCCCATTATCGTGGCAAAAGTGCATGGTGGGGTGACATGAGATAATGTACATAAAGAATCTTATAATATGACTAGCCTCTAATGCTATTCAAGGTAAGTTCTAATAAAATATGCCAGATATATTATTGTAAATATATATGTCTAATACATCTCATACATAGTTATATATCGTCTCTCTAATAAACAGACATCTAATAAAAATAACAATATATATAAGTGTAGTATTCATTAGACTTAAAAAATATGTATTTTAAAGTGAAAGTTGCCCTGAATTTTGTCTAACAAGGTCACCTTTAATATAACTATATTTTTTGTTAAGTTCTCCAAATGCTAGGTAAATCCTGTGAGAAGAGACCATGTGGGGAGAGTGGAATCAAAGAAGTGATATTTTATGAAAGTCATTCTATTCAACATACTCATAAATATAAAACACCTTGCCTATTTGGCTTCAAATATGGCATGTGGACCAGGGATTTGAAACATTTATCATAGAAATTTTCAAACATACACAAAAATAGAGCCAGTGAAGCCATGTTTCCACCATCCAGCTTCAATAATCAATAATTCCCAGCTATTCTAGTCTCAGTAATAGCTCAGCACCTGGATCATTGTGAAGCAAACCCCAGATGTCACATCATGTCAGTGATTTTTAAATTGTCCTGTTTATATATTTACACCAATACAGAACTTGTCAGCCAATGGTTTTTAATGATTAATTTCTGTTACATTTCCTTTGTAAAGTACAGATTGGATACCACCAAATTTCCTATCATACCACAGAGATGGATCACTGCTTTTCAGTGAATATCTGTTCTGTGCCAGTGCTAGCCTACACCAAATATTTTCAAGGAAAATAAGTCTCAGGTGAAATATTTTGCCCAATCTTTAGTAGCTAGTAAATGGCTGACTAGAGATTGGATCTTAGGCCTATAGGAATCCCAAGATTTTGCAGTTGTCACATAGGAAAATCTTCTACTGAGATTACACATTTCCTGGGACGTGTCTACATGTTTGTCTGGATAATATTTTCAAGGATTAATCCATGCAGTGGTATAATGTCTTTTGACCTTGCCAACCTTTCCATTCAAATTATAAATTGACTTTTACTGTCTTAAGAGTAGAGTTGTTATTAAAGAAATGTAAACATAGAAACATAAGCAGTCAATTTTTGGCTTTTCTAGGCTAATAATGTCTAGATTTGCAGAAATACTTGCACAGTGAGTGTGCAACCACCTCCAGGAGACCAAGCCACTCACTCCCGATCCCCATCCCCATCCCCCCAAGTCCCAACCCTCTGCCCCACAGCCTAGCCCCATCAACCAGGCTGAAGCTAGCAAGGGGCCAACGTTCTCTCATGACCACCAGCCAGCTATGAGCACTGTGAAGGAGAAGTGATGCTTGGTGGCGGGGTTGATCTCATCTCCAGCATTCTGAAAGCATCCTCAGTTTATCAAAAATGAAGTAAACTGTTTTCCCTTTCAATGGCGCTGAGAACAAGGCATGATCGGGATGAGATGAGGACTCCCACACTCCAGCAACTGCCAGCAGCATGGTGGATAGGTGCCTCCAGTCCACAGTGCAATGAACACTTCAGAAAACACCCTCCCGGTCTTACGTCTATTCCTGGGGAATTTGCATCCCTTACCACTAAATCCAATTCGTCACTGCAATTTATATAAAACCCTGAGCAAAATAAATATCTATTTGACTAAACCGACCCTAATTTCCAATATTAAGTGCTACCAAAATGCAAAACAAGAGCTTAATAGAGAAATTGTCTTCAGAGATGGAAAACAAAGAAAATTATGATGTTTGCATAAAACCAACTTGCCTATAGAATCTTACCTGCTTATTAGTATTACATAATGCATTTGTGGTTTTTTGTTTGTTTTGTTTTTCTTGAGACGGGGTTTCACTCTTGTTGCCAAGGCTGGAGTGCAATGGCATGATCTCGGCTCACTGCAACCTCTGCTTTCCAGGTTCAAGTGATTCTCCTGCCTCAGCCTCCCAAGTAGCTGGGACTACAGGCATGCGCCACCACAGCTGGTTAATTCTGTATTTTTAGTAGAGAAGGGGGTTTCTCCATGTTGGTCAGGCTGGTCTCGAACTCCCAACCTTAGGTGGTCCACCAACCTCAGCCTCCCAAAGTGCTGGGATTACAGGCGTGAGCCACCGCGCCCAGCCATAATGCATTTGTTAATTGCAATTTTTCACTTTATAGAATAGACATTACCTAAACAATGTATTAATCCTGAATGCTTTTCTGTAAATATGTGCAGCTTTTCACTTTCTGCCCATAGAGTCATACTTCCTGGACGACTGTGGCTGTGGGGGGGCCATGTAACAGGTTTGAGCCCATGGCTGTGAGAAGACATGACATAATTTCTAAGCCAGTACCCTTGTTGCTGATTCCAGACTTTCTACAACTCTTCCTCTGCCTCTTCAAAGAGTAGGCTGGGCCTTAGAGAGATGTGTGGAATCATGTCCCTGACTGATGACAGACGGGAGACATGAGCGATAAATCCACCTTTGTGGTTTTCGGCCATTGGGAATTCAGGGGTGGTATTTGTTTCCTGGAGTTTACTTCTCCATCATCAAGAACAACCTAGTGCGTCCTGACTGGTTCAGGTAACTTTCCCATGTGGAAGACATTTAGAAAGCCCCAGCTTCGTGGACTTTCTTCCTGCAAACTCTGTGCTGCAGATTAGAAAACTAACATCCAAAAGAAACTGACAGCTTTTTGTTTCACTTAATATTTTAGAAAAAAAAGTTTAAAATACATTTACTTTAGAATAGTATGCTATTTTTTTAAGGGGGGGCTGTCGTGGTTTTCACAAGGGAGGAAGCAACTCTGGCATGTTGACACAGGTAAGAAGGTAAATATTGTATCATAAGCCATGCTGCTCCTGTGACCACTTCTTCACTTTGTGAAATAATTTATTTATGGTGCAGCTCCTGCTTCTCCTGTGGATGTTGTCAAGTTTTTTCACATACTCCCTGTGCCAGGCTGCCGAGGTGAAGGCAGCCACACGATCCCTCACCCAGCCACCTCCATCTCCCTGCACTGCACTCCTCCATCTCCGCCGGGTATACAAATCGCTCCCTCAGACACTCCAGCTGTCACTACGGATAGACATTGTCTTGGGGGAAAATGCACTGGGAGTGGCAGAAAGGGTATATTTCTGACACTGGTTTGAGTTGTCATTCAGTCTCTATGTCTTAAACCAGTTCCTGGATATGACAAGCCCAACTGTTTGATATCATTTGCACATGACTCATCACTGCATAGCAGACTTTTTAAACTTTTCCAAGCTGAGAAGCTGTTCTCAGGAAAATATCCGTGCTGTGCTTGATGAGGCAGCACTTGTACAGCAGCCTTCTTTCCTGGGGTTCTGGGGTGAGCTCTCCCTAAGCGGCTTAGGCTCTCAGTAGTTCCTTTTTGGTTGTCTAAAAATGTGACAAAATCTCCAACCCCCTAATGCTTTGTCTCTCAGTGTTCCACCCTTATGGATGGATACCCTAAGTACATACTGTCATTTCTGTCGGAATTTGGAGAAAAAGGAGGTGTGCAGTTGGAGGTACTTAATTGGGAGGGTGCCTTTATGTCTGCAAAGGAACCGAGAGCTGGTAAACATGCTGTATGAGTTCTCTATGGCTGCTGTAACAAGTACCCCAAAAGGAGTGGCTTAACCAACAGAAATGTATTATTTTGAAGATCTGGAGGCTGGGAATTTGAGATCAAGGTGTTGGCAGGATTGATTCTTTCTGAAACTGTAACAGAGACTCTGTTCCAGGCTTTGCTCCTGGCTTGCAGCCTTTGGGGCTCCTTGGCTTGTAGATAGATGCTTCAAGCCCATCTCTGCCTTCATCTTCACATGGTGCTCTTCCTGGGTTGTGCCTCTATGTCTAAATGTCTCCTTTTATTATATAAGGACACCAGCCATATTACATTAGGGCCCATCCTACTCCTTTATGACGTCATAATAGTCACATCTGTAATGACCCTATTTCCAGATAAGGTCATGTTCTAAGTTACTTTGGGTTAAGATTTCAACATATGAATTTGATCAGTTTGGAGCTATTATTCAGATGTGACTTTAATGTCACATTCAGCGGTTTATGCACAGAACTGTGGGTATGTATACACAAGTCTGTGTTTTTTCCTGGCATAGTTGGGTTTGAAGATTTCCATATCAGTGAATTTTCAGCAACTCGAGATTCCCCTTTTAGTATTAAGTTATTTAAATGTAAGTGAAATTATTTTAGATAGAGAGCTTTTTAAATACACGAAGCATTTTCTTGTTTTCATAATCAGGGTACATAGCTATGCATATTTCTCTCTAGCTAGATTATGAACTCTGGAAGGTTGATGACGCTAAATTTCTCATCTTTCCATTCCCACTGTCTGACATAAGGTCTCCCATGTACTAAGGGCTCAATAAAGGTGTTTGGAATTAAAATAAATGGAATGCTGAATATAAACATAAACTCATGTTAACAACTTGGGGTGATCATATAAGCATCAACTATCATACTGTATATAGTGAAATCCCTGCAGATGGCCTTGAGGTGTGAGAGACAGTTCTGGCTTAGACCAAATGTCCTAAAATGACTATCTTTGCTTCGTCCTCATGTCCGCGTTAGTTTTTCTAGCTCCTTGCTCAACCGCCTTCTTCACTGTCCTTCTTCTTCCCCAGGAGCCACATCCCATCTCCTGTCTTGCTACGTCGTGCGGCAGCACCTCCCTTGCTGCTGCTCATCTGTGCCATGTGCACCCCCGCCCCAGGACCTTTGCACCTGCTGTTCTTCTTCCTGGTTCTGGCCAACTATTTCCATGGCTTGGACCCATCCTTCATTCCTGCTCTGCCCACATGACATCTGGGCATAGGGACCTTCTCTGCCCATTCTATGTGAGTTTATCCTTCCCACACAAACCTTCTCTATACCCCATCCAAACGTACAGTTTTTACACCAATAGATACACATTTCCTTGTTCATTGAGTGTCTCTTAAGCCAGTTCCAAAAGAAGGGCTTTGTCCATTGTGCTCACTGTTGTTTCCCCAGAATCTTGTGATGATCTCGTCACAAAGAGGTGCACAGTAAAAATGCTCTGCCTGAAGGACACAGGGAGGATGGGTAGGTCTCTTCTAAGATCAGAGTAAATATATCATTCAGGAGACACGGAGGAGGTCTCCTACAGGTCATATTAATGAGGTTATGAGGGACAGACTGCTTTGTCTGTTTCAACTAGCCAGAGGCTTGTGCAAGTGAGGAAGGCGGGAAAGCAGCATCCTCTTCCAAGGTCTAGGTTGTTCTTCCACAGTTGAGGTCTCAGAAGGAACTTCCCGAGAAGCGCCATGTTGGTGGGAGAACTTGTCAATATAAACCCACCTTCCAGCTTGTTTGCTGCTTGTAAGCACTTCGTTCCCTGGAAACATTGAAAACACATGTTTTCCACTAAAAGGTGTCCAGCCAATTATTTATTTTGTCTGCAAGGGTGAAATTCACGGTTTTTGACTCCTCACACACTGACGTGCCCTGACAAAGCAGCTTGAAGGTCTTGGGGGCAGTGGCCCAAACTGGCTCCCAGGAAGGAGCGCTGGTGGCCCTCCTGCCCCAGCGGCTCTGCGCATGGGAATCGCAGACCCAGAGACTGTGGTCTTCCTCAGCGCCTGCTTTCTAAAGTGTTTCACAAAGACTCAGAGTCATGTAGGGACTTATCAGGGGGCTATCGGGCAGAACTAGGGTTTAAAACAAGTTTGTACAAACTTGGGGTCCAGCCTCAAGGATCACTTCCCAGACCCCTGGGTGGAGTCTTGCCCTCCTGTGGTGTGCTCCGGTCACACCTGTGCTCTCCTCCAGCGTTCTTATAAATGCAATGTGTACGCCTGTAATCTCAGCACCCAAGGCAGGTGGATCACCTGAGGTCAGGAGTTCAAGACCAGCATGGCCAACATGGCGAAACCCTGTCTCTACTGAAAATACAGAAATTAGCCTAGTGTAGTGACATGTGCCTGTAGTCCCAACTACTTGGGAGGCTGAGGCAGGAGAACCACTTGAACCTGGGAGACAGAGGTTGCAGTGAGCTGAGATCGTGCTGCTGCACTCCAGCCTGGGTGAAAGAGCAAGACTCCATCTCAAATAATAATAATAATAATAATAATAATAATAATAATAATAATAATAATAACGTAATGTGTACATTACTTTTGGAGCCACAGAATGAACACTTGTCTTCCTCAAATTAACTATAAACTGTATTCATTTGTTTTATTTCTGTATTCCTCCTGATTGTGTTAACAGGCTAAAAAATAATTTAATCAATTTACGTTGACCTAAATGCCTGTGGCTCAAGCACAACAGTATAAGATCTAGCAAAAGTAGGCTGGGTGTGGCGGCTCACGCCTGTAGTCCCAGCACTTTGGGAGGCCAAGATGAATGGATCACCTGAGGTCAGGAGTTTGAGACCAGCTTGGCCAACACGATGAAACCCTGTCTTTACTAAAAATACAAAGATTAGCTGGACATGGTGGCAGGCACCTGTAATCCCAGCTATTTGGGAGGCTGAGGCAGGAGAATTGTTTAAACCAGGGAGACAGAGGTTTCAGTGAGCCAAGATTGTGTCATTGCGCTCCAGCATGGGTGACAAAGGGAGACTCTCTCTCAAAAAAAAAAAAAAAAAAAAAAAGGTAGCTAAAGCAAGCCCTGCTCTCATTGGCCAGGAATACAGGAATACAGGTACTTTCTAGGGCTGGTAGGTGCAGATATTCTTATGCTTAACAACACAAAGACATTCTGGTTGAATTCCATTAAAAAACACCCATCTGCAAAAACTATGTTACATGCCTAGTAACAGGGGAAAGATTAATTACATGATAGTGTAAACATATTACATTAATCTTTTGAGATTATTTTTGAAGAAAAAATAGTAATATCAAAAGCCTACTGTATAATAGCGAGTGACTAAAGAAGGGATGCCAAAGCATATTTAGCATGCTGCAAATTTTTAAAAATACTGCTTATATAGGTGTGCATGTTTGCATGTGTTTAGAGAAGGAACAAGAACTGTATCAATCTTTAACCAAGGTTGATGCTGAGGATGTAATTGCGTGAACTTTTTATTTTCTGTGTTATTATTTCCCGTATTCTGAAATACTCTATAATGTATGTATATAAAAAATAACAACATAAATTTTCTTTAGTTGTATTTTCTTCCTTCAAAGGTACCTCAAATAATACAAGAGTTTCATAAGAGATTTCTGGTGTTAAACTTTACTAGACCATCTGGAAAGCAGAGCTTCTGTGTTTTTTTAAAAATACAAAATAAAACTGATTCAGAAGCCTGGGAAATATATATATATATATATGAGATATATATTACATATATAATATACATATGGTATGTATAATATATAAAATATATGATAGCATAAATTACATATAAATAATATATATATTTTGATAGCATAAATTATATATGTGTGATCACGTGAATGTGTGAGTTCATATATGTGCACATACACACAGGTACAAACATATACATACAACATTTGTCTATTTGTTTTTTATTTCTCCCAGCATTATAATCCTCTTGCATTAAAATCCTCTTCCTAGCTTTAGGAAATTCCCTACCTTGTAAGTATTGGGTGGGGGTAGCGTTGAAGGAGGAGGGAAAAGCCCGCCTATCACTATTAGAAGCTGAAAAAAAGACCAGGTTCCCAGCCAATCGGTTGCACTTATTCTGAATGTGGATCAGACCTGTGGAGGAATTCCATGGTGGTGGGTGGTGCAGTGACACCACATTTCCAAGGTAGTGACAGCTGCAAGGACTAGGTAAGGGTCTGTATCTAGTCCTGACACAGAGGGTTCCAGCTGTGGCACTGGTGACTGTCACAGCAGCCAGGGTGGCCCATAGAACTGCTTTTGTGGCAGGATTTTCTGGAGCGGTGGTGGCTGTATCTGGACTCCTCCTTGTTTCCATACCAGGATCTGCAGACTTCCTAAAGTTTCTATTGTTCAATAACTTTGTTTTCTGGCTTTTCTGTTTGTTTGCTTGTTTGTTTTGTTTTGTTGAGACAGAGTCTCATTGTCACCCAGGCTGGAGTGCAATGGTGTGATCTCAGTTCAGTGTAACCTCTGCCACCCAGGTTCCAGTGATTCTGCTGCCTCAAACTCCCAAGTAGCTGGGATTACAGGCACCTGCCACCACATCTGGCTAATTTTTTAACATTTTTACTAGAGACGGGGTTTCACCATGTTGGCCAGGCTAGTCTCGAACTGCTGACCTCAAGTGATCCACACGTCTCGAATAACTTTTGTTTTCCATTCGTTAACCAGAATTGATTTCTACTTCTTGCCACTGGAGTGACGAGGTGAGTGGGCTTCATGACAGCATTCAGTTCAGTACCAAATGTGACCTGGAAACTCATATGAACTTGTAGTTCAGAAAATATTGCAGACACCCCATGCACAAGTGGTACTGGCTTAGATGCTAGAGAGATATACAGCTCTCCAATTAGGAAGCCTGAGTCCATTAGTGAACTCCACTAATAGGTCAGGAAAAGTAATAGCTAATAAATATTTTATTAGCATTTGTTGAATCTCACTAATGGGAAAGCCAAATATATCAAAAGTAGCAAGAGTCACATTAAGTATCCAGCCATTACTCAATGCTGTGTCTGCTGTTTCCTATGACTTCTTTGTGGAACAATTAGAGAAGTTCAAATAGAATTATGTGCATAACCATTAGTATTTTTACTTTTCTATTGTAAGCCATCATATTGTCTTGCTTTGTTATTTACCTACATAATGTATTCAATATTACTTTTCTATCTATGGTACAGTAAATTTATAGCTATGTTAATATATTAATAGTTCTCTATTTAGGAAATACAACACATTTTTTTTGCATATTTTTTTAAAAAATTAACTACTAAAATCCATTACATATAATATTAGAAGCCTTTACAAACAAAAAGAAAAATCACCACCATGACCACCAACAAAACCCCAGAGCTAATAGAACCACAATCCATCACTGCAATAGGGCTATAATTGTTTTGCTTTCTTAGACTATTTGAAACCTTACCTCTCAGGGGAAAAAATATATATATAAAATATATATTTATATATATATATGATATAATATATATAAAACTTAAACTACTATTTAAAAAACTGCCAAACTTTTTTCTGTTTGGGGTTTTCAAGGGTAGACCAGTTAGAAATAGTGGAGCTGTCATTCTAGATATTTAGTGTTTGAAAATAGAAATGAGGGTCCAATCTGGATTTCCCAATATTTTCTCTAAAAGTTCTTGGTTGTTCCTTCCTGGAAAATGAAGTGCTGAAGTAGACAGCTGTCAGCATCATACACACATTCTGGAAGGCATGCATCTTTTAGCAGTTGTTAGGTAAATCTTGCAATAGCAGCTTCTCTCCGAAGAAAAACAAACCTCAAAATCTCTTTCTGGGGGCATTTACTTTCATGTAAACGAAAGGCAAAATATGGTACTTCTCAGCTCATCCATTCATGCCACAAATACTTGTTTAAGAACCTGAAAATACAAATGCCCTCCCAAATCACAGCCATAGAAAGTTTTAAAGAAGGAAGTAATATCATCACAACAGGTAGATTATCAATTAGGGCATGTGCAGTGCTGGTGTGGTCTAGTAGATGAAACACATGTTGTAGAACTGAGAGGTTGTAGGTTTGGGTATTGGTTCTGCCATGTAATTATCTGTACTGCCATGGGCTAGTCAGGCTATGCGGCTTGCTCATAAAAGTAAGTAATACCAGTTTTGCAAAGATAGGAAAATAGCTACAGAGAGAATATATACATATATATGTACATGTTTGGTACACTGTATTTGTATATGTATATGTTTGGTACATTGAAGATATTTAGGATATTGTAACTTTTATTGTTATTGGTATAACTGGCCCAAATAACTCAGGCCCAAGCTTGAGACTATTGTCTAATTGTAAGATTCTGTTTTAACAACCAGTGACATTTCTATCCCCATCCGGTCCTTAAGGTTGGATAGAATTACCTGAATTTTAAAATCGCACACATTAAAACCAATGCTACCCCATTGATCTTACTTGCTACCCTAGATTTATTTAGGAAAAGATGGTTTGATTATATTCGGTGGTCTCCAAAACTCATTCTTACAACAATTAATAAGTAACTACTATTATAGATTCTTGGAAGAAATAAAGAATCTTAGTTTATAATTTACATGACAGAATAAGGCATGATTCTGATATGAAACACCTAGTGGTAAATACCACCATCCATGGTAAATGGCAGTATACGATTATACAAAATTAATGATGGGTTAAATAGTTAATAAGGCTCTAAGAAAAAGTAGAGATCACCACAGGTTGAGTGATTAGGATTTACTGGAATTCTCTCAATAGCAAGCCCAACTCAAACTGGCTGAGCCAAGAGCTGGGACATACAGGCTTACCCAAGAAGTTTAGAAGTAGGTGGCTTCAGTTTCCTTTGCCCTGGAGGCCTAATGATGTCAACACTCATCTGGTTTTTCTTGTTTGCCACTTAGGGCATTAGATTCACTTCAATCTGGCTTCCCTCTGATAGCCAAATGGATGCAGCCACTCCAGGCTTCAAAAATTCCCACTTTACCATCCAGAAGGGGTGAGCAAGCTTCCCTCCTTGGCCCGAATCACGTTGCCTGCCTAGTTCTGACCAATGCTGTAGACAGTGGATGGTGTTATACTAATAATTCTGGCAAAGGTCAAATACCACTGCCTCGCAAGGTGTGTAGAAAGAAGGTGGAGAGGTTAGTGGTTGGAATTACTTAGTGGAGGGGAGTAGATGTTCAGCTTGTGGTCACAATATCCACCACAGATAGCTTCAGAAAAATATGGGATTTAGAATCTTCTACAGTCCAACTCTCCAAACTATAGAATTGCAGAATTAATTCTGTCCAAAGTCACGGAATAGCATTAGTTCATGTTAGGGAGAAAGTTGGACTCTAAGTAAGTCTGCAGAAGCCAGACTGCCTAGGTCCAATCCCCAGCTCTGCCATTGACTAGCTGTGGGATATTGTCTAATCTGTGTCACCACCCAAATCTCAGGTTGAATTATAATCCTCAGTGTTGGAGGTGAGGCCAGGTGGGAGGTGATTGGCTCATGGGGGCAAATTTCACTACTGATACTGTTCTTGTGAAGTAACTGAGTGCTCGTGAGATCTGGTCATTTTAAAAACATGTGCCCCCTCCTCTCTCTCTCTCTCTCGTCCTCTTGCTTTGGCTGTGTGAAGACACCTGTTCCCACTTGGCCTTCTGCCATGAGTAAAAGCTCCCTGAGGCCGCCCCAGAAGCTGATGCTGTCATGCTTCCTGTACAAGCTGCAGAACCATGAGTCAATTAAACCTCTCTTCTTTATAAATTACCCAGTCTCAGGTATTTCTTTACAGCAGTGAGAGAATGGACTTATACACTTTGGGACCTCCAGCAAATTATTGAGTCCTTCTCTGCAAAATTGGAAGAATAACAACTCCTTCTTTGCTGGATTGCAGTAAACACTAAACAAGCTATTTAATGTGAACCCACAAAGAGTGATGCCTGACACCCAGTAAGTGTCATCATTATTGTTTCCCTGTCAGGCTTCTTTCTACAACAGCATCCTACCTGCCCAGGCCCTGAAGAGATGCATAAAGAAAAAGGGGCAAAAAAGAAGCAGGGGATTATATTGCAAGGGGCAATAAATACAGACAGATGTCACAGAATGAGTGCTTTCCCAAAATGACAGTAAAAACAAGTTGACTTTGGGGAAATGATTTGGTACCAGGTAGCAGAAGCTTGAATGCCAGGTTAGGGAGTATCATACATACTGCTCCCCAAGTGGCTACAACAGGTCCAAAAAGATTTGGAAATATTTATATCACATCACCTCCTCTTTCAGGCAGAATTCCAAATTTTCTAGGGATAGATCCTTTTCACATTTATATCTTTCTTTTTTTATTAGACTTTACTGAGGGCTGGTTTCTTTGTTAGTTTGTTTTGAAGAAGGAGATTCAGCAAAGTCTCTTTCTTTTTCTTTCTTTCTCTCTCTCTTTTTATGATAGGGTCTTGGGTCTCACGCTGTCACCCAGGCTGGAGTGCAGTGGCGTGATCAGGGCTCACTGCAGCCTCAACCTCCTGGCCTCAAATGATCTTTCTGCTTCGGCCTCCTGGGTAGCTGGGATTACAGGCATGGGCCACCAAGTCTGGCTAATTTTTAAATTATTTGTAAAGAAGAGGTCTCATTATGTTGCCCAGGCTGGTCCTGAACTCCTGGGCTCAAGCAATTCTCCTGTCTCAGCCTCCCAAAATGTGCCTGGCCGGTATCCCTCTTTTAATAACAGGTCTCTCACCTCAGGTGATGGTTTATTTTATGCGTCACCTTGGCTGGTCAAACATTATTCTAAATGTGTCTATAATAGTGTTTGAGATGAAACCCACATTTAAATAGGTGGACTTTGAGTAAAGCAGATTAGACTGGCTCCCCTAAGGAAGAGAAGATCCTTCTAGCAGCCTGTCTTTGGACTTCATCTGCAAGCTCAGCTCCTCCTGGTCCCACAGCAAATGGTGTTCAGACTCAAACTGCCCCTCTTTCCCCTGTCCCCACCCTGGACTTCTCCCCCATCCAATTTTGGACTTGCTTACCAAGCCTCCACAACCAAGTGAACCAATTCCTTAAATGAAATCTCTTTCTAATGCATGCACATCCCATGGATTCTATTTTTTTGGAGAACCTTGATGAATAAACCTTCTAATGGAGCTGCCCTAAAGAGTAATTGTGTCAGTGGAATTTGATTGGGGAAATGGTGGCTCCTATCAGCAGGAAGATACTTCTGTGGCCTCCCGTATTTCTTTGTGGTGTCCTGTTTCTTACCCTCCCCAGCTACTGTCTGTGCCAGCTGAGCAACTGAGTGTCCACGTGGAACCACCCCAGCAATGGAGCCATACGGAAAGGGTCTTGATGACGTCACTCATCTGGGTTCCTGTGTGACGGAGTTAACTCTGTTCTCTGTGCCTGGCCAATTCCTTGCATGTTTTTCCATTTTACATAATTTCCTATTGACCTTGGCCTTCAACATGCATGTTCTGGGCTTTGGTTCTTCTGAAGTCACCTTCTGTTCTTGTTGGGTGTATGTTTGTGTGTACTCCAAGTCAATAGGTGACAGTCTCGTGTGGGAAGTGCACTTGTGTTTTTCATTCTTCTTTTTGTCTGAAGTGTATAAACACCACTGTCACTGACAAATTGTATCTCATTAGCATGATAAATCATTTTGATGTACAATATCACCTCCTCCTGTTCTTCCTACCTCTTTGACGTGCCTGTATTGACATTCCAATTCTGAGAAGCCTTCCATCAACAATCTGGAAGAAATAATCCCCCAGAATTGATATAATTATAGAGGGGCTAGTTTTTTTGTTTGTTTTTAATCTGCTCCCTACAACTATGTGGCAAGCGTCCTTTTCATTGTCTTCTTTGCCATCTCTTGCAGAACCATCTTCAGCTTCTGCTTCACTTTGCGTGTTAAAGCATGAAACACGTTGTCTGTCCCAAAATGAATGGCTCCATTTCTCCCCTTTCCTTTAGTCCTTAGTTCTAGGGCTTCGTAACATGCTTCGCCAGTTTTCATAGAGTTAATGTAAGTCAGGAGGTCTCAAAAAGCTTTACAAATATTAATTAATTATGCGACAGAACAGCCCTGTGAGACAAGGATGATGATCCCTATTTCACAGGTGGGGAAAATTCCAAACACACAAAGCTTGAGTGACATGAATAGCTGGCCATTATTAAGAAACTGCAATCGTGTTTGTGGCTGTGCCTTATGGTGTCAGTGTCTGGCGTATGCAGCGTGATTGCCCCACTTTGCAGATGAGAAAATGGACTGAGAGGTCCGTTTCTGTATCAGAGGTTTATTCAACCTTCAGGTTTGCTCAGATTATTCACAGGCCTCTGGGGTTTCCCATTTTTCTTTATTTTCTCAGCTTTCCCCCCAATACAGCACTATTAGTCAGTGAGCCAGCAATGGAAAAATCCAGGTGTGCATTTCATATGACTTGGTTTGCCCCAACTCTCAGACCACATCTGTAAAACATGGGTCTCAGGTCTGATCACAGGGGCCAGTTAAAAGAAGAGACTTAAAAAACAGGGATCCAACTCTACACAAGTGTCCTGTGTCAGAACAAGACCAAGGATGCAACCAGCACATATGTCCTGGCTATCTGCATGGTGCCTTGCTATTCTCCCGCTCTGCGGCCCAGGAAGAGCAAACAACGTACAGTTCCAGGGCCACGTTCAAGGTCTCCAACTTCTTGCCAGTAGCTGCCTGGAAAGCCCACCTCTGTCCTTTTCCTTCCACGCACCTTCAAGACTCAGGCATTATTCCTGCCTCCCCAGCCGGGGCTGCCTTCCTGGGCTGGCGACTTGCTCACCCCAGTGCCAGCTCTCAGTGTGCAGGTGAGCATTGCAGATGGCCTCTCAAACTCGGCTCTCACACATCTGGCTACTACAAGCCCCTGGAGACAGGAACCGTCTTTCATCTGCGTGTGCTCAACAACACCCAAAGCTTCACGCACAACAAAATTTTGTAGAATGAGGCATGACCAAAGCTATAGAGGGGGTGAGGCAGATTGTGCTTATTAATAGAAAACTTATTTTTTGGCTCAAAGAAACTGATTTTTGACAAAAGGATTGTGTGTGTGTCATTCCTTCACTGACTTAAGAGCTATGATTGGCAGCCACTGGTCTGTGGCTGAACAGCCTTTGAGTTAGTTGAATGCATTGGTTAAAGATATAGACTCCAGGCTTTTTTTCAAATACATGGAATCTGTATTCTGGGAAGTAGACTCAGAAACCTGTACTTTTGATTGTGTGATTTTGATGTTTGTTTGGTACGTTTAGAAATGAGATTTCTGTTTTATGAAACATTATATTATCTTATTAATGCTATAATATTGGTATGCTCTCTCAGTTAAAGAAGTTTGTTAACTGAAATAATGATATAAAAAGAAGCTTTTTTTTTTTTAATTACCTCAAACTTGAGTTTGAAAATTTGCTGTCCTGGAAGACAATTGTTTCTCTTCTCCCCATTGTAAAGTTCACAATAGCTCTGTCCGGGAGCAGAGTAACCAGTGACTTCAAAACCACTGACCATCCCCAAAGCAACAAGATAAGGGGGCCAATGGCCATTCAGTTTGACCCACTGGGTGTTTTAAATGTTTTGAATGTGAATATCCTTAGTTGAAATTTGCCTTCCCCTGTTTCCACAGGCCCCAGTCTCACTGTCTTGCCCTATCTCTTCATTCGCTCTCCCTCCCAGATGTGGAAGCTGAATTTATACTGGTGCCTCCAAGCTGGCACTCTGAGTGCAAATAAGCAGTGGCTATTGCATTATTTATTGGACCTGAAAGAAACCTCCAATATGATCTAGTTCAGCCACCAATTTATGCGTGAGAAAACAAAGGACCAGAAAGGTAAATCAAGTTACCTAATACTGCACAGCTGACCTGGAGGCTCACCAGAATTGAAAGCCATTCTTCGGATTCTTCATCCACTGCCCTTCCAGTATAGCATAGAATCTGCTCTGTATTCTAGAACAGAGGCTTGGAATCTAGTCTCATCAGGCAATTCTATCTGTTAAGTCTTTTAAGCAGATATCCCTAATATATGTATTATTTTAAAAATCATACACATGTACAATTGTTAATCTAGTCATTAAATGTTAATGAAGCATAATATCTTTATTTTTTGTAAGCTGGAAAAGAAGTACAAATAAAGCACTCCAATTTGTGTTTTTCTTCATCCCTATACATGATCCTGCACAGTTTCTGAGGACGGTAGCAATTGCTTTCAAAGACCACTGTACTAGAAAACAATTTCTCAATGCATCGTGGTGTGGGCAGTCTTCTGTGAGGTCTTTCACAAATCATTTCTAACTAGTAATTGAAGCAGACCACAGTTTGGAGATGATTGACTTGCTTTAGCAATCACAGTGTATTTAAAATCACTTCCAGCTCTTCCTCTCACTCTTTCTTCTGTGTGTTTCTTGGTGGGTGGGAGGCTGAACGTCCTTTAACCCTTAGTCTATCTTATCTACACAAGAGTCCAAAGTGACCCACCATTCCTGATACGATGTTAATAGAGCAATTGCGAATTATCGAAGTAATTGCGAGAAGTTGTTGCAGTATTCTTTCCACTGGATCTTTCCGAATTCGTATCTATTACACATGTGAATGACAGCCCTCGAGTGTGCCAGAGCCGAAAACGATGGCTACACTCTGCGCTAGCCAGGATCTCCCGCCCCTCAATAAACTACTAAATTCCATCTTCCTCTCCGAAGAGGAAGGAAATACAGAGCAGAGGTCACGGCTGCCGTCTCTTTTCGTCGCAATTTCTTTTCCAGAACGGAGCTGGTGCCAGCCCTGACACGCTGCGCGTTCCCCACGGGGCCTCTTCTTCCCCTTGAGGGTTCCGCGCTCGGAGTCCCGACCACACGTTTTCGCGGATCCCGGCGGGAAGGAAAGGCAGTCGGCTCCTCCCGGCTCCTTCATCCGAAGCACCTGCCAGGGTCCCAGGCTCTGGAGAGCAGAGTCCACGAGGCAGGGGGAACCCCGTCCTCACAGGTTAGAGCCAGAGGGCTACGTCTCCACGGACTTAGATTTCCTCCAGTCCACACCCTCTCCTTGACCTAGAGGAGACCCAGGCACGGGGCAGGTTAGCAAAGCTCCAGAGTCCCGCGGTCGAAAGCAGCGGAAGGAATTCCGGAAACCAAGTCGTTCAGGCCTCAGAGCCCAGGCTCCTCCGGGCACCAGAGGCCTTTGCCGCGTGACCCCCATGAACACCCAAGACCTCCCGCGACCACCGATGCCCTGACAGCGACAGGACGCACGGAGAGAGGAGGGCCCCGTCCACGGGACCCGCGCAGGCAGGGAGGGGCGCTGCCCAGGATCGTCCCAGGCACAACCAGCACGTTCAGTGTCCAGCGAGTGGCCCCTGGCTCCCTCCGGGGCGCCGTGCCCCACCTGCCCGCCCTTCCAGGTCACACCTGCCCAGCTCGCCGTCAGACTCACGGACACCAGTTCTTCCCTTACTCTGAACGCAACCACATTCCATGTTTTACTCACGTTGAATTCATCCTTCCGCCACCACTTCCACCCAGTGTGTCCTACCCTGTGTGGCTGCCCCAGCCGCCACCCCCAGGAAAGACTGACCCTGCTCCTCCACCCCAGCCTCCCTGCTCCTCCACCCCAGTCTCCCTGCTCCTCCACCCCAGCCTCCCAGCTCCTCCACCCCAGCCTCCCTGCTCCTCCACCCCAGCCTCCCAGCTTCTCCACCCCAGCCTCCCTGCTCCTCCACCCCAGTCTCCCTGCTCCTCTACCCCAGCCTCCCAGCTCCTCCACCCCAGCCTCCCAGCTTCTCCACCCCAGTCTCCCTGCTCCTCCACCCCAGCCTCCCTGCTCCTCCACCCCAGCCTCCCTGCTCCTCTACCCCAGCCTCCCTGCTCCTCTACCCCAGCCTCCCTGCTCCTCTACCCCAGCCTCCCTGCTCCTCTACCCCAGCCTCCTCAACTCCTCCACCCTGGCCTCCCAGCTCCTCCACCCCAGCCTACCTGTTCCTCTACCCCAGTCTCCCTGCTCCTCTACCCCAGCCTCCCTGCTCCTCTACCCCAGCCTCCCTGCTCCTCTACCCCAGCCTCCCTGCTCCTCTACCCCAGCCTCCTCAACTCCTCCACCCTGGCCTCCCAGCTCCTCCACCCCGGTCCCCCCAGCTCCACCCCTGCCTCCCCTCCTCCTCCACCCCTTCTTCCCCTTTTCCTCCACCCCTTTCTCCCCTGCTCCTCCACTCCAGCCTCCCCAATTCCTCCACCCCGGCCTCCTCAACTCCTCTACCCTGGTCTCCCAGCTCCTCCACCCCAGCCTCCCAGCTCCTTCACCCCAGCTCCTCCAGCTAGGTCTCAACTCTTCCACCCTGACCTCCCCAGCTCCTCCTCCCCAGACTCCCAAACTCCACCCCTTCTCAGGTCCTCCACCCCTGCCTCCCTTGCTCCTCCATCCAAGTCCCCCCAACTCCTTCACCCCGGCCTCCCCAGCTCCACCCCTTCTCGGCTCCTCCACCCTGGCCTCCCCTGCTCCTCCACCTCGGCCACCCCAGCTCCTCCACCCCTGCTTCCCCTGCTCCTCCACCCCATTCTCCTCAACTCCTCCACCCTGGCATCCCCTACTCCTCCACCCCTTTCTCACCGGCTCCTCCACCCCTACTCCCCTAGCTCCTCCACCCTGGTCCTTGCAGCTTCTACATCCCTGCCTCCCCTGTTCTTCCAACCTGGTACCCCCAGCTTCTCCACCCCAGCCTCCCAGCTCCTCCACCCCAGCCTCCCAGCTCCTCCACCCCAGCCTCCCCAGCTCCTCCACCTAGGTCTCAACTCTTCCACCCTGGCCTCCCTAGCTCCTCCACCCCTTCTCAGCTCCTCCTCCCCAGCCTCCCTGGATCCTCCATCCCGGCCTCCTTGGCTCTGCCACCCCAGCCTTCCTTCTTGGGGCTGGGCTGGCACTCCTCATTCCCGCCAGTTTTGTAGCCATCTCATCTGCCTCTGCTCCATCTTCTGGATTATGCAGACTCGGACTGAATTGTAGTATCTCAGTCACACGGGGTGACTTCACTGGAGTATTCTATTCCACCTCTTTAGTTCCCACAAAGCAAAACTTCTTCCCTGTGTTATCTTCTGCTAGCTCTTGGACCAAAAATACGTTCATTTAGAGAATACTCTCAAGTGAGAGGGTTTTGCCAAAAGTGATTCTTCCTAAACATTTTGGTTCCATTTAAAATGTCGGGTAGAATACTTAAGCAAGATTTCATACTTCCCTGCCTCCGTAAATAAGCCGTAATGAACACGATGCAAGCATCTTCTGAGAAGTTAGTGTCAATATTATAAACACTGATCTTTGTAACATTATCTAACACAGTGATGCACTCAGGGGTCATTTGAGTAGAGATGTTTATCTTTAAACTAAATGATCCCAGACTTTTTAGCTTTTTGTTTGCTTTTTATAGCCACCTTGTTAATAATTTTTTTTTCTTTTATTTTTTTCTGGCTCTTTCTCCAGGTTCTCAATTCACCACTCTAAATATATTACTTTGATATTCTTTCTTTTTTCGAGAAAGCATGCTTACATTGGCCTTCCATTTCTTATTTATTTTGTATAAATTTAAGGGGTACCAGTTCAGTTTTGTTACATAGAAATACTGTGTAGTTGTGAAGCCCGGACTTTTATTGTAACCGTCTCCCAAATAATGTACATTGTGCCCAATAAGTAATTTCTCACCCCTCACCCCTCTCCTGCCCTCTCACCCTTCCTGGTGTTCAATGTCTATTGCTTGCAATATTCTATGAGTTGGAAAACCAAAATTTTTAACTGTTGGGAAAAAATGGGAGTAAATAGTATCTGAGGGCCCCTTCATTTTGAAGATGCCATCTACCGAATCAAGTGAAGCTTAATTTAATCTGAAAGGATTAGATTAGTGAGAAACTATTCACCTAGAAGAGGTACATGCTGGCAATGGAATCAGGAAATGCTTGAGATGTGAAGACAAAGAGTGATCTTGTATCATCACCAAGCTGAGAAGCTCTGCAAATGTATAAGCAATTCTCAAACAAATCTTAATCGAAATATTTATATAAAATAAACATAAAATGTAAGTGGAAATCTGGTGTCCTATTTGTGATTGTACAAATTCTTGACATTTCTTTCTTTTTCTCTTTACTTTTTTAAAAAATATTTTCATCAACTTTTGTGAGTTTCACTAAAGTCTCCCCATGTATTAATATTTTAATATTAATACAGTGTTTAAAACATCCTCCTCCCTCTTCAGCTATTTAAACTCTTTGTAGTTTTACTCAATGGGGGAAGAGAAACACAAATCCACTCAAATAATCTCAGGAAAATAGAAGTTTTTTAGAGTTTTGGTTTGGCTACATTTACATCCAAGTAACTGTAGCTTACTCAAACACAACGCAGCAGTTGGCAGTGATTCAGTGGCTCAAGTTTGTCATGGCTGGTCAAGGAATCTGAAATTTCTTTTTCCTCTTTCCTGATCATAAGATCACACCTGCAGCTCAAGCCATCTCACCTACATCCCAAATGGAAGGAAGAAACAAATGCAGAAAGGTGCATACCCACTATGTATGCTTCCTTGTAGAGGGGTTTTCCTGGTCACATGGTCATCTCTCTCTGCAAGGGAGGAAAGGGAATGTAATTTTTTGTCTGGCTTTGTTGCCACTCAAACAAAAAAATATGTTTTTGTTAGTAACAAGGAATAGCCAAATACCTCCCAGTCTGCCAGCAGCCTGGCCACAGATCTGCTGCAGGAAACCCCATGGAGCTGGGGCAGAGGGCTGCCAAAGCCCGCCTCTCCCAGATACCCCAGATTCCTCCTCTCAGGGCTCCTGTGGTTCTCCCTTATGATTTCTCTGCTTTCTAGGTTTTCCTCATATTTCCAACCTCCTCATTTCAGCTTGTGGTGGCTACGGCTACCTCAGGCTTCAGAGTTCCTCTTGGCCTCCTAACTCCACTCTCACCAAGAACTAGGCCTGTGTGTGTGTTTCTTAACTGCAAATCTGGGACTGAGGAGTCTGGTTATTAGTGCAGTTCAAATCTTAGGACAGAGTGAGTGAGTCCCAGGTTCTGAGCAAGCCTATTGTCCATGAGCTGCTGTTTGGTTAGTAGCCAAGGGGCACTGGGTGGAACATGGTCATTTAGTCCAGCTGGAAATGTGAGTTTGCAAAATCCTTCAGAACAGAATAAGGATGGCAGAAATGATTGGCACCTATGGTATTTAAACACAGGCTAAACGCACCTTGGTGATTATTTAACAGAAAGAAATCTTTAAAGGTTCAAAAAATCTTATCTCTCCTAACTTTTTTCTCATGTACTGCCTTTAATGGTTAGATTCAGTTGTCTGATGGTAGGTCACAAAATGTGTAGCTTTGCAATTCAGTGCTATCAAAAGACTCAGTATAAAGTGGCATGATGAGCTGCTCTGCTAGGACCTCTTTCTACTCTCCATGTTCTCAACACACCGAAAGAATGGCCTTTTTAATGAAATAGTATGTGCTCTGACCAATGTTATAATCAGGATTCAATTTTTTCAAGTTCACCAAGCTATTCATTTTATGAAAGAATTTACTTTTGAGGAGAACCAACATATTCTCTGACAAGGCTATTACTATCCGTATTTGGATCATGACATTGTGTGAGCGTAGACTATATTTAGGACATCTATAGATAAGCTATCACTGAAGGAAAGATCCCTTCAACTCTTCCTTTCACTCCTAGATTTACTGGGAGAAGATCAATGTTTCAACATTTTACGTTTTCTTAAAAATTGTATCAGTGACATTTTAACCAAAGGTGTCAATAAATTTATTAAATTTTAGAAAAAAAAATCTATTTAAGAAAAACACCACATCACTGAAAGGCAAATTGTATAGCAAATAGTACAAGGAGTCCCAATGGGGAATTTGACACATATTGAGGATCTATTAGTGTTCATTGCAAGGAACTTCTTTGCTAGATAAAAATTCTACAGGGTCTATGTTTTGTTTCCTTCAAAAGGTAAATAAAAATAAAATCCTACCAAGATGAAAGACATTCAAAAATATTCTGAAATGAGGCCAAGACATTGAATAAATGATGTAATTATTAGAAAAAGTTGCCATAGATAGGTCTGATGTTTGTTCTTTGGTCTGTAGTGGAAATTGACATAACCAAGAACCTAAGAGCGGCTGTGTTAATTGTGCACTTTGAGATTTTTTTACAATACAACACAAACGTTTCTACAAAACCAAATTTAATATGCAACACACACTCACCATGTAAACACATCTTTTAAAAAATCTGATAATAATTCCAAGGATCACTTACAGGCTCTCATAAAAGCATTTTATATCAAGAATCTCAATACAGAATGATTTCTATGTCAAAATACATTTACACTGTAAATTGTTTATAGGAAAAAAAAAAAGACACTGAGGAATGGAGTTTGCTGGTATTGAATTCAATAGCAGCAACTGCCCCTGATATTTTTCCTTCATTTTCTACTTCAGACATTTCTGACAAAACATGTTAATCTACCCCTCTACACTTTGTCTGTGGTTTTATTCCCTCTATCAGCCAGTTTAATATATTGAGATGTAATCACCATGCTCATTCTCACTGTCAGCAGCTCTCCAACCTGCCCAGAAAACTCACTTTCCGTGGTCTTCCTCCTGCCGAGGCTGACAGCCGTGCTGGGTGCTGAGACATCAGGAATCTTCAAGCCTGTCCCTGACATCTGGTTTGAGACAACATTTTCAGAATTAAACAGCAGTTATCAAATGCAAAACTAGAAAAAAGTCACATAAAAACCACAAGTGAAGATTGATCACACAATTTTATTAGAGTCTTTTGAACAAATGTAATCCTCTGTGAAAAACTCTTGCAAAAGAGACATTGGAGTGTACTATTTTCAACCCTGAGCATTAACACTGCATACCAAGGGGGGGTGGGTCAAGAAGCTGGTTAGATCGAAGCACAAGCACAAGCCACTGATATTCTCTATGTGATCAGGTTTTTACAAAAAAATACATAGTTTTCAATAAATAATGCTTAATTTTACAACTTTGATACAGCAATGTCATACACCGTTTCAACACACTACACTCTGCATGCTAGATAGTCTACGAGAAGACGAAACTTTGCCATGCATTTTCTTTCCCCCCTAGTGCTATCAAACACTTCATCCTCCAGCGCACTGCCTCAGGTAGCTTTACCTTCTCTCTGTTTCACAGCAATAGGCCGTGCGCTGGCATGCAAACTCTAAAAAAGGTCCCCCCCACAAACCACTCAGACTTCTACACAAAAGGGTTTTTCAGCTTTTCTGCTCCCAAACCTGGAGTGGCTAAGAAAGTAAGTTTCATGTGGCCTTGGAAAATACACACTTGTTAACAGTGTCATGCTGAAAACTGCTCTAAAACATCAGGTGGTTCTGTCCTGGTGGCCGTCACGAAGCATTATGGGATGCCATAACCACTAGGAGTCCCAAACCGGAAAAAATAGGCCTCCGTTTTAAAACAGTCAATTCAAAAAAAGGTGTCACAGAACAAATGCAAAAGACTCTTAAACCCACAACATATGTACAAGAGTAAAAGTAGACAAAATGGGAAATTAATGAGAATGGAGTATAACGTTTCTCCCTATGTGATTCAAGGGAGGAGGCATACTGTTTTTGAACAAAAGCTGGATGAAGAAAAATGTGACAGAGGGCCCTTTGTCAATATCTATTTGATCAAAATTCTTTATATGATAAATTACTTCCAGTTGTCCTTTTTTTTTTTTTTGGAAGGGGAAATGTAACGTGTCTAAGAAAGTAAGACAAGCATCATATTAAAAAAATCTCTTCGAGGAGCCTAGAGGAAATCCTATTTTTTATGCATTTTTAAACTTTTTGTCATATTGCTTTATTTTTTCATTTTCACAGCAGAAAAAATCAAGTCTACGTGACTACATAAAAGAAGTTTGATCAAACAGTGAGACGGGAGCCTCCACATATGCACATCCAGGTTGCTTAAATTCACCAATTGCTCATTGGAAACCACATCTCAACTCGGTCATATTGCTTTTAGTGGTTTGTTTCTCTGTAGAGAAGTTCTCTGTTCACAACTGCAGGCAACCAAAAGTTCCCAAATCATTTAAAACAGTCCTATCTGTGCACTGGCAGAGGTGCTAGATCTTGTAAGAATATCTCTACCCAATAAAGTTATTACTTTTATACATGGAACATTATGAGCTTGTGTCTCCCTTTGTAAGCCGTTTTATACTTTCTGCACTTTTGTGCTTTTATTGAGTATAAAAATAGGTCTCCTTTAAAATTCTGTTTATTTTAAGTTCACTAAAAAACTACTTGTTTGTGAAATTCTCTTATAAACTCACTGCATCCACATGGAACAGATAAAACTAATTAGGCAGCTAATGGATATAGGTAGTGTTAAAAAAGTACAATGAAAAAAACGAAGGTATGGTAGGAATCAAGGAAAAAAAAAAAAAAAAAAGCCAGCAGTAAGTAAAATGGAAGAGAGCTCAGTTTCATAAATTTTGTTTCATCTTTATTGTGGTTGAAAATGTAGGCTCCACAGGAAGGGGCAAAAACCAAAACTGAACAAAAAAATCCTGAGTTGTTATCAAAGAGCAGAATTTTCCAGATCATTAAATAAAAGGGGATGTTGTAGAATAAATCAAATAGAATGAACAGTGAGAAATAACCAATAATAAAAATAAGCCAAATCTCAGAAAAGTATGTCAAGAGTTACATGGAGACGGTTACTTTGGGAACTTGTAAATCCCTGTGTTAGGATAGGTAAGGCTCATTCTTGTTATCCTCACAGGCTTAGGCTATACAAAGGGTATTTGAAACTGACATTCCTAATGGAAATTTTACAAAATTTGGCCCTTAGAATAACTGAGAAATATCCTGAAAAAATCTTCCCTGAAACTGTAATAAAGAAAGTTTCTTATCTACTGATAAAATTGACAACTCAGTAAACTATTTTCGCTGGTCTTCCTACATAAGAAAAAAGCACAAATATATTTGCCTCAGAAATCTGTTAAAAGCAGGGAACCACACAGTAAAAGAGTATAAAGATTCTATAAATGGGAGAGTCCAAGAAAACCTCTCTCAAAGTGTCCACAAGGATACATATGCCCATTAGAAGAAAAGTAAGAATATACATATTATTAATCATATCAGAGAATAAAAAAGTTAAGATTGATATAATATATTTATATTGAATGACTACTTTAAAATAGAGCAACTTATTTGCCTTATTTCTCAAATTCCTTGGGCAAAAGTCACTTAAATTCTGAAGTAAAAAACAAATGTAAATTTCTTGTACTGTACTAATATCAGATGATTATGATTTCAAGTCCCAGAAGAGAAAAATAAGTCTTGTCTTTTGAGTCTTTTTCTTTCATGAAAAAAGCAACTAAATCACCCTGACTGCTACATTTATGCATATTTAAATCACTTCCCCTTGATTAACATTAAAAAGAAACATCTCTGCCCAAAAGAGTTGTAATGATTTCTTTCTCTAGCTAAAGGATAATCATTCTACAAATAATTTGCCCAGTGTCTGTAGTCATTCATAACATACACAATATTTGCAAAGCACAGTTTAAGTACACTGCCTTTTATTAGCATTTTTTTTTTTTTTAAATAAAAGGGATGCGTATCAGAGTGTAAGAACTGGAAATTACTTCCACAGTTTAAAGAATTAATAAGAGAATGCTGGTTCAATTTCTTAAAGATGGAAAGCTTACCAAAATGCCATCAGAGTCTGTGAACTACTTATAATAAACAGCAGGATCCCCACTGGCTAGGCTGCCGTGCACACAGCACCCACCCGCCACCCCCAGGTTACCATTTTAAGATATTCTGTCAATGCTTAGTTAAAAATAAGACTTACTTAAGAGACCAACAAAAAAAAATCAATTAAACTTTTATTGAAGACTATCCAGTGGCAAGAATACCATGTGTATTATACTATGTTTTAGACACTCAATAAAGAATTCATTAAGATGATTCTCACAACGCACTCATCAAAACAGCCTTAAATATTGTTAAAAAGCGCATTGAAGCGCCTGTCCTGAGTTCTAACAGGTTTTAAATTTAGATTGCCAAACAATTACTTTTATTTTTGTATCAAGTTAGGCCACATGGCTTTAAAAAAAAAAAATCTTGACTATCTCTTCCCATTCTGAAGCCAAATTATTACTTTACTAATTTACTTAAAGTTTCCACCTCACCACAGAAAATGTCCAAGATTCATCTATGATTAAAACAGAAAAGACATGCCAAGTTTTCAGGCTTTCAAAATACATAGATCAGCCTATCAATGGGTTTACGTTGCCAACAAGTTTCGGAACTGCAGCAGAGGGCTGCCACATAAAATCACCAGCACGGAGCACGTGTCAATTGTAAACCGCTGGTTCAATTATCCGTGGCTAAAATAAATGTACCACCAATGGCTGCATTAGTCTACATGTTGAGGGGGTGTGGGGTAAGGTAAACAACTCCAGAAATCCAGTTCTATATTGAGAACCTGGTTAACGCCATCAGCCCCTTCTTTTCCCAAATGTACTACTGAAATCTGATGGTTTATCGAAAGGAAAAAGCCACAGAAAAGAAACCTGTCCATCTGCAGCAAAAGCTTGCTGGCTTCGCATCCCAGGGGTGGGGGCTGGGGAGGAGGCTCGCCCAGAGCGGGAGGCTGGGGGGCGGGTGAGAGGCCCGAGTTCTCAGTCGGGGGGCCGGGGGAGGGGTGGTGGTAAGATCGAGTAAGGCAAAAGCAAGCGGGAGGGGAGGCGGGAAGGGCGCCGGGGCCCCTCTGGCCTAGCAGCTGCAGTTACTGTGCGGACGCTTCCATTCGGTCTCGCCAAATCTCAGTAAAAATGGAAGGCCAAACCTCGGTCAATCATCTCAGTAGGTGAAAGAGTCGTGGTGATTTTGCAGTGAGTTTCAATCAGCCACTGAAAACCTCCTCCGCTGCGGGCGCCGCAGCTCGGGAGGCTGAACTCCGGGGCTGGCACGCTGGGCCCCGAGCGGCCTCCCAGCCTCCCTCCTCCCAGACCCAGCAGAAAAGAGGCGGCGGATGCTCGGAAGGGGGGCGGGAGCCCGGGGCGCGCGTGCCCGGCCGCGATCGCCTGCTCGGGCCTGCCGCGAGGGCTCGGGGACACAGGCCGGTCAGGAAAAATGGTGGGGAGCGAGGGGGTGTGGACAGGCAAACGGGGTTCAGCGAGCGGGGAGCGCCAGCGGGATGGGTCGCGCCCGCGCCGCCGCCGGAGCCCCCAGGAGGCTCCCGGAGAACAATCAAGATGCGGATCCACCTTCGTTGCGGCGGCCCCGGGGAGCTGATTCCGGGGCAGCCCCTGAGCCGGCGCGCGGGGAGGGCGTGGTGAGGGCCCGGGGTGCGCGGGTGCGGCAGCCGCCTGCTCCCCGGGTTTGCTTTCTTCCTCTCACCCCGCAGCCCCGAGGCTTCCCTCCCCGGCCCGCGGGCCCGGGAAGCCAGCGCTGGTGTCTCCGCGCGCCTCAAGGGCCCGCGGCGGGGCGCGCCCAGGAGCACGCGGTGGCGAGGCAAGAAGAGCCAGGCACGGGGACCCGGAGCGTCAGGGCTCTGCCTTGCGCGTCCCGGACTACCGCCCGGGTGCCCTCTGCCACCCCCTGCTCCCCACGCCCTCACCAGTGGTTCGGCCCTCCCAGGCACCCCGGAGACCGCGACTCGGATCGCACAGAGGCCATGCCATGTTCCTCGGGGTGCCCTCGGCCGGCCTGCCGCGTCTTCCCCCGACTCCCGCCTCCCTCCCGCTCGTAGCCTGGGTCCCGCCGCGCCCCGCGCCCCCTGCGGCCCCGCACCGTCCTCCTTCCCTCCGACAGCTCCACGGCCCCGGGGGACAGAAGGAAACAGACACCGACCACTTCTCTCCTTTCCTCTTCCCCTTCCCCCTTCACCGCTAGAGGTCAAACACTGCGGCGGCGTTCTCCGCCAACAACCACCTCTGAGCACACGCGAAGATGCAGCGTTAAAAATAAAGAACAGAAAAAATTCAAATCTGGAAACGGCTGTCCCCACCCTTTGAGAGGCGGGGATAGAAGTGCCCCGAGCGCTCGCTGCCAAAGGCGGCTGTCACCGCGAGGCTCAGCGGGGACGCGGCCCGCCGCAGAGAACACACAAGCCCCAGCGAGCAGGACCCCGACCAAGGGAGCTGGCAACCCAGGCCCCTCCATCCGCCCCTCCCCGGCCAGCTCCCGAGCCTCCGCGCAGCCCGCCCGCCAGGATGGGTGGGGAGAAGAGGCAGGGAGTGGAGGAGGAGGTGAGAAAGGAAATGGGGAGCTGGAGATGGAAAGGGAGGGCAGAGAGAAAGAACACCCTTCCCCTGTCTTTCACAACTAGCGGAAGAGGAAAAAGAAATCAGCCTGCTAATTGAACACTTTTCAGCCTAACCCCCTAAATGTAGAATTCTCTCCTGCCACCTCCCCTCATCCGCGCACACAACAGCCTCACCACCGAATGCTCTGCGACAACAGGACCTCCAGTTTGACTTCCATAGAGACTATTGGCGATGCGAGTTTCTATCAGTTCCAGCTGATTTATTAAAATTGTCAAGATACAGACTTCCAGCACAAAAAAAAAAAAAAAAAAACAGGCAATGATGTCGACAGTGCATTGAGTCTGCTTTGCCACCATTTGCTACAAAATATGCAGATGGTCTGTACTTTATTTAGATTATATTGCACAAAATGAGAAACTTTTTAAACTATGTGCCTTTTTTTTTTCTTTTTTGCTAAAAATCGAGAATCCAGTTTCAAACCTTCCATCTGGGGCCCCATCCACATCACAGCGTATGAGATACATAAAGTCCTACTATAGTACAGTACATATACAATCTTTAAACTAAGATAACAGCTCTGAGGTCTATATCACCATTTTCAATAAATCTTTACCTACAAATATTGAACAAATCTCTACTATAGCTGTACAAAAAAAAGTTTGCTTTTTTTTTTTAAACCACAAGGCCTTTAGATGCAAGGATTATTTTAAAATTTTAATCCTTTTTAAACCAGGACATAACGTACCAACATACTTGCATGCTAAAAAACAGAGGAAAAAAAAGAAATCAAAAGGGAAGAAGTGCCTGAAAGTCTTACTGAAAAAACACAGCAAGAATGTTCCCTTTTCACTGTACAAAAATACGCCTGAAAATATATTAATTTTTAAAAAAGACTGAGGTCTGTTATGTATCAAAAATGTTTCAATACCTTTTGTACTGAGGTCTAGGCTGTCTGGTATTCAATCAAGGAGGTATAAGGGAACAAGTTACAAAAAAAAAGTTGGCAAGTAGAAATCACATTTGTAAAACCATAAACAATTTGATCTGAAAAGTAAACTCTGATCTTAAGTCAGTTCACAGTTTTTTTTTTTGTAAGCGTTTGTACAGTCTGCATTTTTTCAAGCTCCCTGCAGTTTTGTTAAGAATCGGATGCATAGAAGACATCAGTTTTCTCCCTCCAAAAAAAAAAAAAAAAAAAAAAAAAAAAAAAATTAAATTAACAAAAGTTGCAATGGTCCCTTTTTTTGTTAAAAAAAAATCACCAGTTCTTTAAGTTCTCTTAAGAAAAAAAAATATCTCCACCAACTCCCTAGAGTAACAGTTGTGCTGCCAAAAGGGTCCTCTGCAGACGTCTTCCAGACTTCAAAGACCGACAAGCTTCAAACAGCGCCTTCCGGAGCGGGTCCTACCTCCCCTCCCCCGCCCCGCCCCCTCTGCCTTTGTTGCAATCACGAATTTCAGGAAAAAGAAATAGTAATTACAAAAACACATTTTTTGGGAAAATAATCACAACTCCAGACTAGGTATGCAACTACCTTGAGACACGATAAAGGAAGGGAGGGGGGACAAAAAAAGGACAGGAAAAATGTTTAAAAACTACTCATTTCACTTTAACTCCACCAAAATTTTCATCATGTTTTCCAATTTCTTTGCGTCACGACATCTTATCAATATCATCAGCATCTTCTTCTCTCCCCTCCACCCTACCACCGCCACCATCAACACCACCATCATCATCATCATTATCATCATCATCATCACCACTACAACTTCCTCCCAAGGAACCCAGCTCTGCACCCTCCGAGAGAAAGAGCGAGCAGCGGGCGCCTTTCAATATGTGAACACCAGGTCGGAGAAGTTCGCCTCCAGCCAGTCCCCCGCGATCATCTCGCTCAGCTCCGGCGTGCAGTAGTCGGGGAACTCGAAGTGGGAGCCCAGGCTGCCCTCGCTGAACGAATCCAAATCCTTATCCACCAGCGACAGGGACAGGTTCCCGGCCGCCGCGCCGCCCCCCAGCTGCTGCTCGCTGGCGCTGTGCGCGCTTTGAGAGAAATTCAAGCTCAGGTCGAACATCAGGTCGTCGGCGTCCTCGCCGCTGCTGCCGCTGCTGCTGCCGCTGCTGCTGGACGAGGAGGTGGACACCGAGCGCGAGGACGCGGGCGACAGCGCGGGCTGCGCGAGCGGCGGCGGGTGCTGCTTGGTGATGTTCTTGAAGCTGTAGTAGAGGCGGCTGCCGCCCCCGGCGCCCGAGGTCGCGCCGGCCCGCACCTCGTCGTAGAGGCTCGCTCCCTCGGGGGACTCCGCCGAGCTGCTCAGCGTAGGGCTGGCGGGCACTTTGGCGACGTTGTAGCGTCTCAGCAGCTGCGACGGCTGCTGCCCCGGCGGCTGCAGGAGCTGCTGGTGCGGTGGTTCCTCGTCCTCCTCGTCCGGCTCCTGTTTGATCTGCAGCTGCAGCTCGTCGTCGTCGTCGTCGTCGTCGTCGTCCTCATCCAGAAACACGCACTTGACCGTCTTGCCCGCGCCGCCGCCGCCCGAGCCGCTCACGCGCAGGCTGCCCAGCACGTAGTCGTCGCCCGCGCCCCCGTAGTCCCCGGACTGGGCCGCCTTGCCCGCGCCCGCCTTGGCGCCCGCGGCCGCGGGGGCCTTGAGCTTGCCGCATTTCTTGCTGGAGCCCTTGGAGGTCTTGGCACCGCCCGCGCCTCCGCCCGCGCTCCCGCCGCCGCCGCCGGCCGCGCTCTTCTCTGGGCTCTGGCTGGCGCTGGGCTTGGCCGAGGGGTCCATTTTGGGCTTTTTCCGGGGCCGGTACTTGTAGTCGGGGTAGTCGGCCATGTGCTTGAGCCGCAGCCGCTCCGCCTCCCGGATGAACGGGATCTTCTCGCTGTCCTTCAGCATTTTCCAGCGCTTGCCCAGCCTCTTGGAGATCTCGGCGTTGTGCATGTCCGGAGACTGCTCCATGATCTTCCTGCGTTCGATCTTGGACCATACCATGAACGCGTTCATCGGCCGCTTGATGTGGCCCGACGCCGTCTTGCACCAGTCTGGGTCGCTCTCGTCCAGGGCCACCGGGCTGCAAGCCATGAATTCGCCCTCCTCCGTGTCCAGCGCCTCCCGGGGCAGGTTGCTCTCCGCTTCCAAGCTCTCCGCCTGCTGCACCATGATCCGCTGCAGGGCTGGACGCTCCAACCCGGGCCGCTGGGTCTCGTGCGGAGGTCCCCCTCCCCCTCCCACCCCTCCACCTTCCTGGGCAAGTTGCAAAGTCCTCGGCACCCCGCTTTCGCGGCTCCCCCCCTCCCCCCCGCCCCCCCTTCCAGGCTGCACACAGCGGCTGTGGTGGCTTCGGCGACGACGGCCGCCGGCGCGGTGGGAGCTGCGGTCGCGACAGGAGAGGCGGTGGCGACGGCGGTCGAGGCAGCCCGGGACCCCTCTCTCCGGCTCGTGGCTCCTACCGCAAGCGCCGGACCCCGAGCTCTCCCAGGCGCGCGCGCTCCTTCTGCAAAAAGTTGAGGTCTCTCTCTCAACTAGTTATCAGGGTGTCATATGGGTGACATCACTCCCCCAGCTAGCCAATGGCTGGGGGCCGGCTCCGCCCATCTTCCTTTATTAACTCGGAGGCCCCGCCCCTCCACCCCGCCCTCCGGGCTGCTTTGCAAAGATGGGGGTGGGGGGAGAGGAGGCATGTCTAGAAATATGTTATTTTTAAAAAATCCGCGTGTGTGCACAGATGCGCCTGTTCCCGGGATGCTCGGAAGCGGCGCGCGGCACCACGGGGAGCGGGCGGCCCGGGGCGAACCGGGATGGTTCGGGCGCCGGCGCTAACCGAGGACCGGGTCCCGGGAGAGGCCCCGCGCGCCTTTGTGCCCAGTCCCCGGGAGGCCCGACGGCGACAGCGGACGGCGCGCGCTCACTCCCCGGGTGCACACACTCGGGCACGCGCCCAGCCTGAGACGGCGGCCTCCGCCCGGCTCGCGGTCAGCCGCGCCCGGCCTGCCCCGGGGTGGGCGCAGCTGCTCCCCGGCGAGCCCCTCGCGGGGCTCGGCCGCTCCCCCGGGTCGCCGCCCCGAGCCCGCCCGGTAGCCCCGCGGCGGCCCTGGCCGACGGAAGGTGGCGCTTGAAGACAGCAACCTTCCCGGCACGTGGGCTCTGCTCTCCTTTTCCCTTTCTCCCTTTTTGTAAGGCAAAGAAATCAATTTAAAGCTCGAGAGGCGGTGAGCTCCCTCCCCCGTTTTGCATTTTTCTGTTTTGTCCTTTTTCTCCGTCTGTTTTCCCTCCTCGGTGGTGTTTGGGGACGCGGCTGTGCGGGTTGGGCTGCGCCGCGCCCCCGCGCGCCCCGCCCCGGGCGGGGGCCGGAGTAACGGTCTGCGGGGCCCTCGGGTTCAAGCTGGCCACTCCCAGGGCTGGCTCCGGAGCGGGCTCTGGGTCCCGCAGGCTCCAGCAAGCCCGCGCCCCGCCCGGCGTCCCTGCGAGGGGCCCGGCGCCCTCCTTCCCTTCTCCCTCTGCTCCCCGCCCCTCCTCTCCCCGCCCCGTCCTCTCCCCGCCCCTCCGCCGCTCCTTTCTCCTTCCCAGGCCTCCTCTTCCTCTTTGTCCTTCCCCCATCCTCGGTCGCCAGCGCTTCTCCGGCAGCCTCGTCCTGAAATCGTGCGATTGTGAGCTAGAAGCCTTCTGGGTCACTCATAAACCAAAGAGAAAATAAGGTGCACTCGAGTTTCCCGTCTAAATATTTTCCCTGGAGATGGAAAGGTGCGCTGGCGGCCGGGGAGCCGCGACCTGGGGCGCGCTGGGCCTCGCAGAGCAGCCGCGGACCCCGGCGATCGTGCCGTGTTCGTCTCCTTTGTGTTTCTTTATTGAGTCCCTACTACCTCTACGGATATTCTGGGGGCAATTAAAGAAAATCACCGCTTCATAGGTATGGTCTGTCGCCACCCTCGCCTTCTCCACACCCCCCAGCACTGGGTATCTGGGAACTTTGAGCAGTTCCTAAGACACTGCCCGGATCCCTTCACCAGAGAAATCAGCCGTGTAGGACTGGGAAAATTATCCGAATCTGCTTCCTTTCAGGTGCCCTCCTGCAATTAATACTACATTTCTTAAGTATTGGATCTTCTCTGAGGATTCTAATATCATAAAATAATACCGTGTTTTACACAGATCATGATTTGAAAAAATTACCGCCATTGCGATAAGCCATTCCCGCCCCCGTCCCCCACTTCCCCGACTCATCCTAAAGAAAAACACTGCATCGAATACTTGGAATATTCAGACCAACTTAAATCTTGATAATGCTGGCAATTTATTCTTTCCAGGGCCATAGGAACCAAAAGAATTTACAGTCATTCATACTGGGTGACTTAAAGTCTGGAGATGTATAAAATCCAAGGCAGTGTGTGAAAACTCATCTTCACTCCCGCACGGCGAGCACTAGGTCTTGTTTTTCTCTTACAGCTCACACGTTTTTCAGCTATTGGGAACACCACCGGAGGGAGGGTGGGGTGGAGCACAAGGTGAACCTACACCCACCTCCCCACAACTGCAGGACAAATCCACACTCTAGAGAAAAGGATTGAAATATTTCAGCTCAGCTTCATTATTTGCTTGCAAAGTGTGAGGGCACCTACCATTTGGGCCTCGGAAAGAGAATGCATTTGAAAATCTTTGGCAAATTCCATATTGATTTGCTATCTTTACGCTATAGCAAAAATCATGCTTAGCTTTAAAATGAGAATGATCTGAATATAGTAGGAGTGAAAAATAATAGATTTTATTCTCATAGCGCTGCGATCTTTTTAGAGGAAATAAAAGTTAAAATCTGCTCTTTCGAACAAGAAATATAATTTCTGTTCAAGGCAACATGAGCCGTTTGTTGGAGAAGATAAAGCAAAGATTGGGATTGCTAAAGCAGGCACTGAAGGCGGCACAGGCGGGTGCTACAGCTGAATCCCCCCTGTCATGTAGGAGAGGCCAGGCAATTTTCACAAGAGATTAACTAGATTGCTATTTTGTAGCATGGACTCACCCCACATACTTAATGTTGTTAGACGTAGTCGAGTGAGGAATGAAAAAAATGATAATCTGTATACTTTATTTTTGCTCCCTAAGGGAAAATTTTTAAATAAGTATAGCATTTAAAAAAAAATATGGGAACATGTTTGAGAGTACGCATGCTTCTTACAGGAATAATAGTTACTTCTGAAAACAGATGTTTGCGCCATTAACAGTAACCAACTATTTAGAGAAATTTTAGGCTACCAAATAGAAAATATAGCCTTTAATAATGCACCTCTTGAAAACCTAATTTAGTAAAATGGAAATAGGTCTACTGTTTTTTAAGCCACTGAATGTATATCATAATTAGGATCATTGGTTATCTTTTTAGAGCCAATATTCACTCATTTTTGTGTGTGTCTGTCTATATACTTATTTATAAGCAAGATATGTAGTTTGTTTGTTAACCATAAACATTGTTGGATACATAATGTTCAGAATCTTAAGAGTCACATCTGATTAGAGGCACAAATGACTATTTTTATGGTGATTTTTACCTTTTCATAATTCCATCTTTACAAAGAAAATGTCACGTAAAAGGACTATTACATAAAGAGATGAGATATTTCACGATATCTCTCAAAATTATAACACAGCCAGAGTAAGAAGTGTCCCTTTTTCTTAGGAAAGAAGCATTTTTCTAAGCAAATAATATGCTAAAAATATCACTGGGTAAATATTTGACTTATCTGATGGATTGACCACCATTTTTAGAAGTATTGCAACCACATGCATTCCCCATCTCTGAAATGAAGTTATAAGGTAGGATCCTTTCCTTTTTTCTCCCTTTACCTATTCTCCTGAAATGAGTTCACTCCTTATTGTTAGCTGTATCTATTTATCTCAGCTTCAGCCTTAAATCTTGAATTTGGATCTGGTTATATTCTGTCTACTGGACATTCCTTCTTATTCCTTCTTAAGTGTTCCTCAGACCTGGTAATGAGTATAGATCGAACAATCCTACCTTGAAAACACACACACACACACACACACACACACACACAATGAACCAGTGGATGCTGTTACCCTGTTTGGCTCATCAGAACATGTTTCAATAGCTAAAATAATGTTGTTAAGCTTTTCACTCATTTATTCTCTGAATTGACCACTGCAGAGTGTGATCCATGAAAGCCAGAGCAGTTGGGCAGTACAGCACAGGGCAGCGGCTTGGAAATTTATTTTGATCATGACCTATTTTATAAAACACCTTTTTACATCATGACCCAGTACTCATGCTATACACATATAAAGCAGAAACCAAAGCGTCAAAAATCAGTATCTCTCTTTTATGTGCAATTCATACTCTTTTTTATTCTATTCCATTCCATTCCATTTCTGTAAATGCTAGTTAAAACCCACTATTAATGAGGCACCACTGAAGTTTGAAAAACACTGGCTTAGGTGTTCAGAGTTACGGCTCAGAAGCGTTCTGCCCTGGATTGAAAATTCTGGTTCCACTATCTTTTCTTTTTCCCGCGTGGCTCTCATCATGGAGCGCTTGACTTTTAGTTATCAATGCCCAGATAATTCCACAAACGTACTGCCTCCAAAATTCACGTCTTTTGAAATTATTCATATGAGATATGTATTCTATTTTTTTAAATAGACTTTATTTTCTAGAGCAGTTTGAGGTTCACAGCAAACATGAATGGAAAATGCAGAGCCTTCCACATAGTGTCTATCCCCACACATACACAACCACCCCCACTCGGTGGTACATGTGTTACGATCAGTGCATCCACAATGACACATCATAATCATCCAACATGCGTAGTCCACATTAGGCTCACTCTTGGTGTTGTACATTCTGTGGATTTGGATAAATGTATAATGGCAGGTATCCATCATTATAGTGTCATGCAGATTATTTTCATGGCCCTAATCATCTGGCCTCCACCCACCTATTCATCCTTCACCCCTCCAAGCCCTTGGCAACAACTGATTATTTTACTATGGCAATAGTTTTGCCTTTTCCAGAATGTCAAATATATGGAATCATACAGTATGTAGCTTTTTCAGATTGGCTTCCTTAACTTAACAATATGCATTTTATGTTCTTCCATGTCTTTTTATGACTTCATAGCTCATTTCTTTTTGGCAATACATAACATTCCATTGTCTGAGTATACCACAGTTTATCCATCCTCCTACAGAAGGACATCATGGCTGCTTCCATGTTTTGGCAATGATGAATAAAATCTGTTACAAGCATCCTTGTGCAGCTTTGTGTGTAGATGTAAGTGTTCAACTTGCTTGGGTAAATATCAAAGAGTGATACTGCTCTATCGTGTGGTAAGAGGTTGTATAATTTCATAAGAAACTTTCAAACTGTCTTCCAAAGTGGCTGTCCCATTTTGCATTCCCAACAGCAACGAATGAGAGTTTCTACTATTCTACATCTTCGTCAGAATTTGCTGTTGTCACTATTTTAGATTGTAGCCATTCTACTCGGTCTGAAGTGCTATCTCATTTTTGTTGTAATTTACATTTCCCTAGGCATATGAGATGGACTGTCTTTCCAAATATTTACTTGCCCTCAGTATATCTTCTTTAGTGATATATCTCTTCAGGTTTTTGGCCCATTTTTTTTAAATCAGGTTTTTCATGTGCTTATTGTGAAGCTTTAAGACTTCTTTGTATATTTTGGGTAACAGTCTTTTATCAGACATGTCTTTTGCAAATAACTTCCCCTAGTCTGTGGCTTGTTTTCTCATTTTCTTGATAGTGTCTTTTACACAAGTTATTTAACTTATCCTGTGCCTTCGTTTTCCAGTCTATAAAATAGGATACCAGTAACCATTCCATCATGTGCGTGCACGCGCACACACACACACACACTCATGTGTGCAGAGACACAGTCCAGGTCCTGCTTGATTTGTTAGAATTGCTATAATGATTAAATACATATGAAGTGCTTAGAACAGTGCTGCGCACAGTAGAACGTTTACAAATGTAGTCTTTATTATTTTAATATTTCTTCTTCTGTGCCTGAAAGGGTTCCTGGCATACCGTAACTATTGTGTAAGTTATGAAGGGATTTTCATATTTGCTCACATACCCCAGTAAGCTCAGTCAATTCTCCTACCCGAGTCACTCCTGAGTTCACTTCCTCCTGCATGTTTTGACCATCAGTGTGTATGTTTCAGTTTTCCTCTGGGCTTTACACATTTTTTAGTAATGGACACCAAACTGATGTCCCTGTTTCCACTCTGCAGACAGACTATTCATTCCAACATGCAACAGGGACCATGGGACTTGCCAGCGTCATGCTCAGGATGCCCTTCACCATTAGGACAAAATCCACGTCCCTTTGCAATGCAAGCAAGGCATGACTCTTCTCGTTTTGCCTCTGTAGTTTCATCTTTGTCACAATTAAGGAAAACACAGAGTATCAGCAGGGCAGGATAGCACAGGGCAGGGGCTTCAAACTTATTTTGACTATGATCTGACATATGAAATGGATTTTTACATCATGACCCAGCACACAAATGAACACACACACACACACACAGATGTACACACACAGAATATACACATGCAACATTGGAGCTAACACCAAGAGGGATGTCTGTGGTTTCAGATCACACTGTTTCACGTGTTCACACTGTTCCTGTTAACCAGGCATTGGCTAGAACTTCCTATCTTTTACAGTTTAAACAAACCTTATTTTTATTAAAAATATATTTATTCAACCATTTTTTAGTGGGAGGAATATGCTCTAAAAAAGACATTTAACTAGAAAACTCAGGGAATTTTTAAATGAAGTTAAATAATTTCCCCCAAAACAGTTATTTTTTTTGTTGAGCAAGCAGCACTATCGTCCAGTGTGGCCTGCTCTCTTAGCTCCAAAAAAGAGAGTGGGGGGCTTTAGGGGCTGGGGTGGGGAGATGGCTCCTGCCCTCTCCCATCTAAATCAAAGACAGAGGCGGAGCCTGCACCAGTGCTGGAGAGCAAGTCCTAGAGTTGCAGTCTACACATGAAGGGAGAGGGGCCAGTGTCTCCTGGAGACATTGCTCCCTTTCTATCAGTATCTTTGTCTTATACACCCAAGAAGACATGTATGGTTCCAAATGTGTGATTGTTAAGTGTGTATGTGTGTGTTTGGAAGTGTAATATAAAAAGAAATGAATAGTCAATTTTGAAAGCACAATTTTAAAATTTGCCAAATCTGGTTTCTTCAAAACATGGCTATTATCCTGATTTGTTTGTCTTAATCACTTCTTAGCTAGAGAAAACATCCATGTGAATAGCTATGAATGTGTCATTGTTTTCGATGATACAGACAAGAGGGGATGGGGAGAGCTGGTAACTCAGGCAAACACGTGTCCGGTAGATTTCTGGGATTTGATAAGCACAAGTGCAGGAGGAGGGTGTCTGTGGATAGTCCTCACCGGGAACAGGGAATCATCGGCTTTGGCAGGTGCAGCGTCTCCCCTCCACCTTGATAGGCTGAGGGAAAGCCCTAGCCAGGACTCTTTCTAAATCACCAAGCTGTGTGGCCAGGTTGCTTTACCCACTCCCCGCGACCCATGAGCCCTGTAATCAACTACATTTTGCTGTAATTGACTCTTGAACTTAGGTGTCTGCTGTTGTTTTTCTTTCTGGCCCTCGATGCATCAATAGCTCTTTCTGTACTCTGTCTCTGTCTGTCAGCTTTGAAAACACTTACATTACTTTTGTTATTCCAAATAAAGTAAGGTATAGGCAGAGATGTGTGAAGCACAGGTAACCATTAAATTCTAAGTAATCATAACATGAACAAGAAATACAGTGACCTTTCCTTGGAGAGGGCATTCACTAAAAATTCTACCAATTTGTGGTCATCATTAGGGTAGCTTTTAGCTGCTGTGCAAAATCGAAGGGCGTTTGCAGACAAGGGGGAGGAGGGGAGGATGGGTGGCAAGAGGACCCAGGCTTCTACTAAGAGGTGAGTAGTGCCTTAGAGAGACACACCTGTGAGGGAAGAGGGGTCTGAGCCAGGGAGACTGTCTCCTGCCCCCATCCTAACATAAATCAGCCACGTGATCTTAGGAACAGGGGTTGATCACCTTGGCCCTTAAAATCCTCACCTCTAGCACGAACATTTTGGACTAGGTGACTTCCAAGGTCACTTCTGCGCTGGACCTTACGTAGCTTTTCCAGGACGAAAAATGTCACTGCTACAGAATCGTAAACTAGGGAAAATTATTTTGGTTTCATTCTCTTAAGTCTGTGGGTTTATTATATGTTAAAGTATAGTTATTTAGTTGTGACTTTGGTACTTTGTGGTATTTATTGTTTTCTCTTCCTCCATTTGAAGGCAGCACATATTTCCCATAGAAATGTGGAATGTAAGAAAGGCACATAAAGCAATCCAAGTTGCCTGCAGATATCCACAGCCTACTTCAGTCTCAGTAATGCTCTTTTAACCTGGGTGAGTATCAGATTCCTCATTATTTTTTTCTCCCACAGCAGCGGAGAGTCCATGTTACAATAAAAATTAACATGATTTTCCTTTGGTCCCGAGTACCATTTGGATCTGTGCTTGGGTGTGTAAATGGTGCACTTGACAGGCTGGATGAAGTGCAGTGTGATCAGGACACAGCTCTGTGATTCTCTTCCCACCAGCCTAGAGATCCCCCCTCAGGTCTAGCTTGGGCTGACTGTGAATTAGAGACAAGGTGGCAGTTCTGGTGTTTTACACTCCTGCCTCCCCGTCCTGCCTTCTGGCTGCTGGGGAACCAGGAGATGGGAAGGGCTCAGAAGAGAAAGGGGCAAAGTCTATCTTCATGTAGCCGATGCTGTGTGCTTCTCACTTGGCTGCTGAATGCCCGTTGACATGCCAGGATTCCAGCTGCTGGGCCTCCTTGATGGGTTATTATAAGAATGAACCCATCGCAGCAGGGCCACCTTCTCTGTTGTGGGGAATTGCGTCTCCAGATGATCCTTGAGGTTCCATTTTGGGTGCCCTTCCTAGGTGTGAACACCCTTGCTTGACGCCCTTGATATAGTCACTTACAACAAGGCCTGCTCTGACAAGGTCATTCCAGGGTGGCTCTGTTCCACTTCCTTCCATCACATGCCTCTGCTTCAGGGACATATCCGGAGTGTTTGCACCACCCGACTGTGGGAGAGGCCACTGCTCGCTCTCCTTCCAGGGCAGCTCTGGCCAGGGCCCAGCCTCCGTGTGTTCAGGCTAGAGTTTTGCTCCAGTCTCTGTGTGTCCCAATCTCCTCTGCACTCCCCACCAAATTGAAAGCCCACAGCTTGGCGCTGATGAGTCTTGACTCCCACACCAAGTCCCCAAGAGTTGGTGAGGGGACAATGAAAGGGTTGGAGGACCAGAGGGCAGAGAATCTAGCCAGAGAAGATTCTTCTGAGGTCTGGAATTGAAGGGAATTTTCCCTGATAGGTTTGGGACTTGTTTGGGATTAGTAATCCTTTTTTTTTTCTCTTCTGATCTCCCCCTTATGGAATGGAAATGTCTATTCGATGCCTGTTCCATCATTGTATTTTAAAAGTAGATATGCAGTCTAGTCTCATAGATCCACAGCTGAAAGGGAATTTTGCTGAAGGATGAATCAAAGCCTGAGTTGCACTCATATTTGATGAGATATTTAGATGAGGTTTTGGACTTAGGCTTCACGCTGGACTGCATTCAGGCTTTTGGAGATGTTGGGATGTGGTAAATATATTTTTCATATAAGAAGGACATGAATCTTTAAGGGTCAGATAATGGGCTATTATGAGTTGAATTATGTTTCTCAAAATAAATACTTTGAGGTGTAATTCCTGAATACCTCAGAGTGGGAGCTTATTTGGAGAGAGGTCCTTTGCAGATGATCAATTTAAAACCAGGCCAGTGGGGTGGGTCCAAACACAATATAAAAATGGGAAATGGGCCTGGTGCAGTGGTGCACACCTGTAATCCCAGCACTTTGGGAGGCTGAGGTGGGAGGATCACTTGAGCTCAGGAGTTAGAGACCAGCCTGGGCAGCATTGTGAAAACCCATTTCTACTAAAAATACACACACACACACACACACACACACACACACACAAATTAGTCAAGCATGGTGACGTGAGCTTGTCATCTCAGCTATTCCGGAGGCTGAAATGGGAGGATTGCTGGAGCCCGGGAGGTAGGGGTTGCAGTTAGCTGAGAACACACCACTGCCCTCCAACCTGGGCAACAGAGCAAGACACTGTTGCAATTAAAAAAAAGAAGTGGAAATGTAGACACAGAGAACCATGCGTGGAAGGAGGATAAAGTAAAGAGATAGAAGACGGCCATTAATAAGCCCAGGAGAGAGGCCTGGTGGGGATCCTCCCTCACAGCCCCAGGAAAACTCACCCCGACAACACTGCGATCTCATGCTCCAGAACTGGGAAAGAATACATTTATTTTGCTTAAACCAGCCAGTGTGTGTTAATTTATTACTGCAGCCCTAGCAAACTAATACAGAAAAGAAGTCCCCAAACCATAGACCCCTCTTTTTTTACATACTTTTTAATGTTTTTTGATTTTTTAATTTTGGTGGGTACATAGTAGGTGTATAATTTATGAGGTACATAAGATGTTTTGATACAGGCATACAATGCATAACAATCACATCAGGGTAAATAGAGTGTCCATCGCCTCAAGCTCAGATCATTTCTTTTGGTTAAGAATATACCAGTGCCACTCTTTTAGTTATTTTAAAATGTACAATAAGTTATTGTTGGCTGTAGTCACCCTGTTGTGCTATCAAACACTGGATCTTATTAGTTCTATCTAACTATATTTTTGTGCTCATTAACCATCTTCACTCTCCCCTAGCCCTGCTACACTTCCCAGACTCTGGTAACCTTCTATTCTCTATCTCCATGAGTTCAATTGTTTTAATTTTTAGCTCCCACAAATGAGTGAGAACATGTGAAATTTGTCTTTTTGTGCTGGGCTTATTTCACTTAACATAATGTTCTCCGGTTCCATCCATGTTGCTGCAAAGGACATGATTCCATTTTTTTTATGGCTGCATAGTATTCCATGGTGTATATGTACCACATTTTCTTTACCCATTTATCGGTTGATGAACACTTAGGTTGTTTCCAAATATAGGCTCTTAGGAATAGTCCCTCTTTTATAGGCAATAAGTCAATGATATATGTGGATGAGGGAAAGTCCAGTGACCACATACATAGAAGGATTTTATTGCTGTGCATAGTGGTCACAGCTTCAAAATGCCTAGGCACTGCATTACCCCTTTTGGCTTTGGGTCTCAGGCAACATTCTGTGAGAAATTGAAGAGTACAGTTTAACATCTTATTCAGTTCAAAGGCGATAACTTCATTAACTTAAGTAAGGCGGGGCTGTAAAGTGTGTGTAGAAGGAATAATGTCTCACTCCCTTGTCTTTGTGCTGCAGTAAGGGAAAGATCATTGAGGTACGGTGCTCTGAGAGTGTACGCACACAACATTCTTAAAGTTACATTTTCTGACCAAGCCTCCTATTTTAGGCAGAATTGTTGCTTCATCACTTCAACCCCTGTAGCACTGCATGCATGCCTTTATTATAGCATTTATCACATTTATACCCCATGTTCCCAGGGACCAAATCTATTCACTTTGACATGTGTAAACCTCATGGAAGATCCTACAGAGGCATTAGGGGGACTGAAGAATGTCATAAAGCGCATTCCCAACCAGTGCAAGTGATTCCTCCAGGTAATTTACAAAGACTTGCTATAAAAAGAACAAAACCAAAGGCATCATGCCACCTGACTTCAAACTACACTACAGGGCTATAATAACTAAAACAGCATGGGGCCTGTACAAAAACAGACACATAGACCAATGGAACAGAATAGAGAACCCACAAATAAGGCTGCAAACCTATAATCATCTGATTTTCAACAAACCTGACAAAAACAAGCAACAGGGAAAGGGTTCCCTATTCAAATAATGGTGTTGGCATAACTGGCTAGCTATATGCAGAAGATTGAAGCTGGACCACTTCCTTACACCATATACAAAAATTAACTCAAGATGGATTAAAGACTTAAATGAAAAACCCAAAACTATAAAAACCCGGAGGACAACCTAAGCAATGCCAACTTGAATATAGGGACAGGCAAAGATTACATGACAAAGATGACAAAAGCAATTGCAACAAAAGAAAAAATAGACAAATAGGATCTAATTAAATGAAAGAGCTTTACACAGCAAAAGAATCTATCAACAGAGTAAACAGACAACCTACAGAATGGGAGAAAAGTTTTGCAAACTATGCATCCAACAAAGGTCTAGTATCCAGCATCTATAAGAAACTTAAACAAATTTACAAGAAAAAAAAAAAACCAAGCCCTATTAAAAAGTGGGCAAAGAACATGAACAGACTTGATTCAAAAGAAGACATACATGCAGCCAACAATCATGAAAAAAACTCAACATCACTGATCGTCAGAGAAACGCAAATCAAAACCACAATGAAATACTATCTCACACCAATCTGAATGGCATTATTAAAGAGTCAAAACAAAAAAAATTGCATATGCTGACAAGGTTGCAGAGAAAAATTAGTACTAATAAATTGTTGGTGGGAGTGTAAATTAGTTCAGCCATTGTGGAAGACAGTGTGGCGATTCCTGAAAGACCTAAAGACAGAAAGACTGCTCGACCCAGCAATCCCATTACTGCATATATACCCAAAGGAATATGAATCATTCTATTATAAAGATACATGAACGTGTATATTCACTGCAGCACTATTCTCAATAGCAAAGACCTCAGTGATAGACTGGATAAAGATAATGTGGTACATACACACCACAGAACACTATGCAGCCATCAAAAAGTGAGGGACATGGTTGGAGCTGGAGGCCATCATCCTTAGCAAACAAATGCAGGAATAAAAAACCAAATACCACATGCTCTCACTTATAAGTGGGAGCTAAATGAGGAGAACACATGAACTCATATAGGGGAACAGCACACACTGGGGCCTATTGGAGGATGGGGGATGCGAGGAGGAGGGAGAGAATCAGGAAAAATAACTAATGAGTAGTAGGTTTAATACTTGGGTGATAAAATAATCTGTACAACAACCCGCATGACACAAGAGTTTACCTACGTAACACACCTGCACATGCAGTCCTGAACTTAAAATAAAAGTTTCAAAAACAAGACTTGCTTTAGTGCTAAGATGCTGTGACACAGTGAAGTTCCTCTAGCCCATTCCCTGGTGTATTTTGCAGGCAGGAAGCGCTGACAAACACAAGACAATGCGTATTTTAGTTCACCAACATTGTTGTCACCATTACTGCGGGTGTTACATATAGAGTTATAAAATGATATTAGGGCTGAAAGGAAGCCTTTGCTATTGACTGTGAGTTTTCCTAAAGGTAGAGGCATGTTTTGTTGGTCTGCGTCTATCCTGAGGTTAGCTAAGTGCTGGGTACTGTGCGGCATTCACTAGTGCTTGGCTAAATGAACAGATGGAGTCATGAAGACATGAAGAAGGAAACCCAAGGTTAAAGTCACTTTGAGGGAATGGGAAGAAAAGGAAAAAAAAGAAGAGTTAAGAAAAAGAAAGGAACACAGGCTCTCCCCCTTCTCTGTCTCACAATTCCGTTCCTGCCCTATATGGTGACCGCACCCACTGCCCATTCACTGTGCTGGGTATCTCAATACCACTCTTCCCCTGGAATTTAGTTGTTATTTTCCCATGTAACGCAGTGTGATGCTTTCAATGTCTTATCAACATTTTAGTGAATGAACATTCACTCTTTCAGGCTTTTTTTCCCTCTTGCATGGGTCTGTAGGGGTTGGTCCAGAAGAAAATCTAGTGTAACACAAAATGTATTGTACTTACATGCATTAGTTTACCCCAGTCCTAGTATATTTTCCAACAACAGAGCTTCAGCACCTTGAATCTCTTTCCCTTAGAATGGGTTTTCCAAGGAGTTTTCTCCATCTCTTAGGAAACAAGATTCCTGGGAGCCCCTAAAACCATAAAGATATATACAAATATATGTGTTGAAACATGTAATTACAGAATTCGAAAGAATTTCTGGGACCCTGATAGTGGGCAATTTGAGGACATCTCACAGCAAGTAGGACTCTGTGTGATGGGCAGATGCATCCCAGATGAGTTTGTGTATAGGCTCGAGAGGGAGGTAGGGCAGGCTCACATCCTCCACCCTCCAACTCAATATGCTCCCCAGAGCCAGGGAATGAATAGACATCTTATCTACTGCAGGGTGGAATTCCTTACCTCAGAGAGGCAATAGTTCCAATTTCTTCTCAGTTTTTAAGTATCTTTTAGGATTCTCCAAAGCTAGGTACATGTTTTTCCTTCATTTCTCTCATTCCAGCTCTTGGAGGAGTTGTATGATTTGTTCATGCATATTTGATATTCTTCCCAGGGTTTATCTCTGCCTGTCCTAATACCATGTAGCATGCCTCTATTTCACCTCTTGTAACCAGAGGGCAAGGGGATAGCTAATGCTAGCCTGGGTAAATAAATGAGAACAGGATTGGAATATTAGTATGTCTATTTCTGGTTCTAACTGTGAAGAATAGGATCTGAAGTATAAAAGGAAAGATATTTATAGTATTTCCTGGTCATACATTTATTGCACAACTACCTCAGCTGAAGCTTGTTGACTATGTTAATGCTGATTGCAACAACTCTGTAGAATAATATTATGCCCCACACAAAAATGGTTAGGGAGATGTTCTCTACTACATATTGAAGACCAAGCTTATGATAGGTAGAAACACTCCTACTCCACTGACATAAGTCTACACTTGATCATATTTTCCCGAAACGCAAATATGAGAACGATGCAAACTGCCCTCACACAAAGAACTGAGCTGCCTTAAATCCAAAGACAATGTATGGTAACTAGGTTGCTTATTTAAAAAAGAAGCAGACCACATAATCTTTTTATGGTATTCTTTATTAACCAGTAGGACACAGTTAGAGAACATAAGCACTGTTTTGGGGGGTTTGATATTGACCAAATTATAGGCACATTTTCATGCACCCTGCACTCTGAAACATATGGGTACACTACAGAGTATTTAGTACACTGCATTTTCCATCAGGAGTTTATGGCTCAGAACCTTCATTTATCATTGAGAAAATGGCTCCATATCTCCTACTTACATCTAAGGAGACTGTGAGGTTGAAAATAGGATACAAAAATATTTTATGAAGCTTCTGTGTGATTATAAACCATGTTTACAAAAATAGACCGAGACACTTTGCTAACTGTGGTAGAACCCAGGAAAGAAAACATTTTAGCCATTTCTTCTACAGACATGAGTATTTTGTTTTTATTATGTAGAGATCTTTGAATATTTCTGGAAACTAGAGGTGAAAGGGAAGGAGAAAAAAATTAACTGCTAGTGTCACTTTGGAAATGTTTTCTGGATAGGCTAGGGGCCTAATTGAAAATAAGACATGGAATTCCAACAGCATGGAATTCCAGTAGCAGTAATTGCAAAGTGTGGGGCCCCTCGCTATGCAGGGAGTGGCAGGGGTTGAGGCAAGGCCAGCAGGGAACAGTCTTGGCATGACTAACTATGCTGGACTGCCATGCTACGCATGATGCCTAAGCCATGCCCATTTTACTCTCTGTCCTGTTTATGTTATTTGTAAAGTTTTCAATTTCAGCTATATGGAGAGTTGACAGAAAATACAGGATCATCAATCAATGATACAGTAAATACAGAATTCCTCACAGATGATGAATGTTGTCCTTCAGCGTCTGTGGTCACTTCCACCTTTAACTAAAGTTGGAGTTGGAAGAAAGGCAATGTGACTCCAAACTTCACAGTACCTCCATCTTAGACAAACACGACTCTCTCCTTCACCTGCGTGCCAGCTGAGGGAGTTCTGTTCCATTGCTGTCTCCGGGGACTCTGTCAGTATATTTGATGTAATACTTGTTTCTGTCCATAAAACATGTGATGATGAGAAGATCGCAGTGCAGATCCAAAATCATATGCTCACTGCAGGCTTGGACTCCCTGCTGGATGTTGTGTACGTGGAGGGCTCCTGCTTATGCCACTAGGACAAAATGACCGCTTTTGCTTAAGAGATATAGTTCCTACTGATTTTTATAATTCCATTAAGAGTCAATCTTGTTTGGAATGGGTTCAATCCTTGCTACTGTCATTCCAATAGGATTTGTTCAAGAATCTAGGATATTTTGATTATTTACAGCATATTCCACATTAAACCAGAAAAGAGAACCATTTATCTGTATATTATTTCAGATCACTATGTGTCTTAGTATTTTCTGATAGGGAGTATCAATATCCTTTAATCATTCATTCACTTATTTATTTGTTAAATAAATGCTTATTAAATGTGTGTTCTGTCCCAGCCACCATGTTCAGAAAATTAATGAAAAAACATGGTTTCTACTTCAGTTCAACCCACATGTAGAGTCATGTATTATGTGACAGACATTGGTTTCAGTGTTGAGGACATAGAGGGGAAAACTCAGAATTCATGCCTCACAGAACTCATAATTCTGTTGGGTGAAACACATACACACATAGAACATGTTAAACATGAATATAGCAATTAAAAAGAAACACTATAGGATATTTTAGAGAATAACTTCATTTAAGAATTACTTTCCAGTATTTTCCACAAAGCAGATATGCTCATTTTGAAAGGAAACGTACTTGATATTTTTTACTTTCCCACTTTTTTGTTTTCTTTAAAAAAATTGTTTCTCTAGAGATGGGGTCTTACTATGTTGCCCAGGCTGACCTCAAACTCCTGAGCTTAAGCTCCAGCCTCAGCCTCTGGAGTAGCTGGGCTACGGGCATGCTCCACTGCACCTACACAGCTCCCTTTTCTTCCTCAAAGAAAAAAAAAAAACCTCAGCTCGACTCCAGGCACTATTTGTCCTTAATGTTTTTTTCTGACAGCCTGTGTCCAAGAATCATGAAGTGACAAAAGTGCACCCGAAACAAAGTAGCATTCCAATCATGTCATTATTTTTTATGGCAGTTCACCTTGTGAAGGTGATATAATTGCTTTGAGACTCTTTATCTATAAAACTGGAGTGATAAAATCTTCATTGTCTTTCTCTAGATTTGCATAAAGGCCTAGGTGAAAACTGCTTGTAAGAGTGTTGTAAAGTACAGCATAATCTAGAAAATGCAAGGAAGTACTATTTGTTCCTTAATTTTCAAAAGACCCTCATTTATGCTTAAGTACATGCATGTGTCTGCGTGTTTTTAAATGGGCAACAAGAGGGTTTAAGATCCAGATTGGGAAATGTTTGTGTACAAATTCCATACCTATACATATGCTTTTAAAAAGTAGGATGAATTTCTCAGTGCATGTTAATGAATTTGAGTCTATCAGTGCTGCCCCACACTCCCCCAGGCTCCTTTTTTGAGAGAGAGTGTCACTCTGTCACTTAGGCTGGAGTGTGGTGGCACGGACACACCCCACTTGCAGCTTTGACCTCCTGGACTCAAGCAATCCTACTGCCTCAGCCTCCTATGTAGTTGGGACCACAGGTGTATGGCACCACGCCAAGCTCATATATATATATATATTTGTAGAGATAGGCTCTTGCCATTTTATGCAGGCTGGTCTTGAACTCCTGGGCTCAAGAGATCCTCCCCAGGCCAGCTTTTGCATAAGTAAGTCAATTAGTTTGTTTCCTTTTGATACAGTGGCAAGCATCATGGGGAGATTTTTTGCTCTTTCTTGATGTTTTTAACAGTAATGTCTATGTAGGATTCAGTAGAGTTATCCCAAATTAAAGATTTCCTGAGGTAGGATAGATTGGAGTAGGATTAGGTGGGGGTGAGGCCTGGGAAAGTGAGTACCATTTTGCAGATCATTTAAACTACCAGATAGACGCTGTGTCCAGGACTGTTACACTTATTTTCCCACGTTTGGTGTATCCACATTCCAATTCCAAGTTTGGCAGACATTTGCTTTTTTGCAGTGTCATTAATCTGTCCTAGTCCCACAGCCATATACTACATGCATGTCCAGAGGAATCTCAATGTTTTCACCAGCTCTCCAATCCAAATCAATACAACTAAACCTTTTCTGGCATTTGAGTAATGTTTTCTTTAAATAGAAACGTTAAAGAATTAATACTTACCAATGTGTTGGTGTTCATGTAACAGTAAATCCCAGGGAATTATTTCCTAGGAATGAGACTCATGCAGTCCTTCAACTAGGGTTGCATGACCCAACAGCTCATGGAAAATGAGAGTAGCTGTTGAGGTTAAATCTCAAGGGAGATCTCCATGGGATACATAACTGGCATTTAATGTTTGGACAATAGTTGAGAAAGAAAGAAGGGAAGAAAAAAAGGAAGAAAGGAAGGAAGAAAGAAAGAAGAGAAAGAAAGAATAGAGATTTGAATTTCACTGTCTTAGCTAGTTGCCTCTATGCCTTTCACACAAGAAAGAAAGAAAAAGACAGAGAAGCAGAAAAGGAATGGAAAGAACATTAGTAACAAATTTTTGAAAGAAAGAAAGGCAAACAAAGAAAGAAAGGGAGAGAAAGGAAGAAAGAAAGGGAAAAAAAGAAAGAAAGAAAAAAGAAAAAAGAGAAAGAAAGAGAAAGAAGGAAGGAAGGGAAGGAAGGAAGGAAAGAAAGGATCTACTACTGTAAGTTACTACTCAAGTATAGATCTTTATGCTAAGTATTCCACATGTCATTCAGGATGACTCATTTTGGAAGGAATGGGCTTTAAAAATCACAGGGATTTCAGCGGCTGAATTGAATACACGCACAAACAATCCAAGGGGGAACTCTCACTGAAATGAGAAGAACTTAGCTTTTTAACAGCTCTTTCAAAAAACACACACACTACCGTCATTTTATCTCCTGTACAGAAAACCCGACTCTGTTTCAGCGCAACTGTGAAGTGTGTGTGTGTAGCGCAGGCCAGCGTGCGCTCTCCCAAGACGCAAGGCCAGGAGTCCCTGCGGGCCCCCTTCGTCTCCGCCTCGGGCTGCCGGTCCTGCGCAGGACGCAGCTCTGTCCAGGCAGTGATGACCCCTCTGTCCCCCACCCCCGGCCCCTCTGTTTTTGGCTCAGCTGCTCTTTGAGACAGCAGCGCTCCCCCTTCTCTGAAAGGGCTCACCGGGCTCCCAGCCACCTGCCTGGACCACAGTTCTCTGGAGACCCCCCTTATTAAGCTGCTGCCGCCGCCGTCTGGCTTTCCTTCTGCCAGCTGCCTCCTCCCCCAGACCTCCTCGGAAGCCCAGTGCAGCAGCCTCGCCACCTGCAGTGCCATCCTCCGCCCGCGCGGCCGTGGAGGGGCAGGTGTCCCGGGCGGGCGCTGTGGCTGCGGGTGCAGCGGAGCCAGGTGGGGCGGGGCGTGGGCGCTGGGGACGCAGGAGGAGCCCCCGGGAGCGGCCGCGCCTGGCGGAGGTGGCTCCTGGCCAGGGCTCCCGCGGCCCTGACCCAGCCGAGGGCTCCTTCCAGGGCAGCGGAGGGCGGGGATGCCCCACCCGGTTACAGGGGCGGCTGATCAAGCTGTGACTGCCCCGTGTCCTGAAGCCGCTTCTGTCCAATCTGTTTGCCGCTAGTCTCTTCCTCACTCAGGCTGCGCCCTTGCTATTCAGATAGGATTCGGCCCCCTGCAGCGTTGACACCATCTGGCAGCTTCCCAGAAATGCAGAGGCCCTGGCCTCGCTCTCACCCGCTCAATCAGGAGGTGCGTCCCACCGCTCTCCGGGGCCTCCTGTGCGTGTTCACTACTGAGGAGCACCCCAAGCCACCCTTCCTGAAACCAAAGATCTCCCGGGAGTCATTGCCCTGCTCCAACACGTTTCCTAGATTCCCACCGTCCCCACAACTGAGGACACAATCCAACCCAGGCCCCAGAAGAACTGGGCCTTCCTTTCCAGGACGCTTCCAGAGCTGCCCTCCCAGCTGAGCCCCGAGCCTGCCGGCGGGCGCTCCACCTAAACACTGGTGGCTAAAGGAAAAGATACGTTTCCGTATCATCAAAGTGGAATTAATAATAGATGAAAATTAAAAAGCGAGAAATTCTGGACAAAGAAAAAATAAGGTTAGAAGAAGACCATATAACAATCGTTAAGTGTGGTCCCTAAAACGTGTTCTCTGAGTCCCCGGATTAGCAGGAGGCCAAACCTGTGGCTCAGCATTAGCCAGAAGCCAGAGCAGAAAAGGGGGGGCACTACCTTCTCCTCGATGCCCGGCAACCAGAACATCAAATAAACCGGTGCTCCTGCAGAAGAGTGATTCTTGCTACTGACATGGGAGAATTGTTTTCCCTGGGAAATCTGTTAATGAGAAAACACTTTTGCTAAGAGCAGCTGCCATGCTAGTTCGAAAAAGTAAATCCAAGGTCAAGTGCCTCTGTTTCTCCTAATATTTCAGTGTGAGTGAGTCCATGGCATAATTATCTTGCACAACAGTGAAACGGAAATCCAAGAGGTCAACGCAGTGGCATGTAGGGTGCTGCTCCCCCGTGGTCTGGTTTGAACCATGTCTGAGGAACGAAAGTTATAGGGACTCCTTGGTGGAGGGTGTACCTCGCACTATTTTTACATAAGCAGAGCGTTTAGGTTGAATTCTCTAGAAAGGAACAGAAATGCAGAGTTATTATATTGGTGATTCTGGGTAAATCTGCTGGGTCAGTGGAGAGCAGAGAAAGCCTCACAACTCAGTGTGAACAGAAATCACCTTTCAAACCTCACTTGCCCATCCAGTCTTCCCTTTTTGTTACAATCAGGACTATTTAGATGTTTGTTTTAGACCACTGTGCCTCTACTGTGAAGTCCAATATTCTTGAGATAGGCTGCGCCTGTCTCTATATTTTGTCATAGGTGAGAATCGTAGAGGCCATGGAAGAAGAGTGATTCCTTAAAACTGGCCGAGAAATTTCTTTTATGGTAATGTAAACTCTTTTCAACTTCCCTGACTTTATATAAAAGAAAAACTTCCATTAACAAACAAACAAACAAACAAAAACAGTCCAGGTGCAGTGGCTCACACCTATAATCTTAGCACTTTGAGAAACTGAGGTGAGCATATTGCTTGAGCCCAGAAGTCTGAGATTGACCTGGGTAACATAGCGAAACCCTGTTTCTACCAAAAAAAAAAAAAAAAAGAAAGAAAGAAATTATCCCTGTGTGGTGGTGTGGATGCTTGTAGTCGCAGCTACTCAGGAGGCTGAGGTGGAAAGATTGCTTGAACTCACGAGATTGAGGCTGCAGTCAGCTGGGATTGTGATTACACCACTGCACTCTAGCCTGGGGAAGAGAGTGAGACCCTGTCAAAGAAAGGAAGGAAGGAAGGAAGGAAGGAAGGAAGGAAGGAAGGAAGGGAGGGAGGGAGGGAGGGAAAGAGAAAGAAAGAGAGAAAGAGACTGCAATTCCTTCAGAAGATGAACCTGTTGATTTCTTTATGGTAGCAGGTGTCAATGGACATGGAGATCTTCCTAAACTGTACCACCTTGAGACAAAAGTAAAGAGAAAGGAAAAGGAAGAAGTTCTTAAGCCTAATACATATGAGGTTTTTTTCATTTACCTCCCTTAGTCCTCGTGGTAACCTAATAGAGTCAGGATTAGAAATTCTACTTTAATGATAAGGAAACTAAGACTCAGAGGAGTTGAGTCACTTTACTAATGTCACACAGCTAACATGTGGTAAAGCCTGACTCAATTTCAAATTTTCCTGGCTCCAGAGCCCATATGAAAACTCATTTTAACAAAAGTTTATTGAATATCTACCAAATTCAGGATGCTGTCTAGTAGATGAAGGAAGAGCAGCATTTTCAAAAAGTTTGGTTCTCATCTGCAAGGATTTCACAATCTAGGAGAGTCGGGATGCAGATGGCTAAGTGTATCTGTCCTATGGTGGGAGTGTTTGCATAGGAAGGTTCGTAACAACCTGCTGGGGAAGACAAGGAAGGCAGTGATTCGTGCTGACTAGGAGGCCAAGAAAAGCTTCAAAAAGCAAATGATATTTGATCTTGGCTTTGAATGATGAGTAGGATTTCAACAGATGGGGAAGGTGGAAAGAGTATTATTTTCAATTTAAGGAGGCCCCTGGGTGCTCTTTATTCAGTACTAGGTAAGAATCATCTGCACTTAATATTTTACAAAATCAAAGGAGTCATGTTGTCAAATATCAGTAAATATTTAAATTTGTCTCCTGGTCTAAAGTAAATTCATGGACAGTAATGACTGTGCCCTGGTTTTCCTGCATCAGTTCCTGGTGCAATTACCCTCTCACCCCTTGATCATTTCACATTTATGGAATATGGTTTTGTGACTGCCACAATGAATGAAATATAAATGTTAATAAAACTAAAAATTAGCAGGACCTGAACAATCCTCTTATTACATACATTTTAGGTATTACCTATTTAGTGTATTTTGCTGATAATTATAGCACAGTGAATGTAAGTACACATTTTTCTGTTCTTAATGATTGAGTGCATTTTAATATCCTAAGGGTATGGAATTTTGACCATCAATCACACTGTCGACTATTTTAGGGTGAATGCAGTCGTTAGTACTGAGAACCTTGGTGGTTTTCTTGCCTTAGATCGGTTTGCTGTTTTTTTTTCTTACCACGTCCTAGCATGCACTTGCTTATTTATAGCCCTTCTGTTCTATTGCAATTCAAGTGCAGCCATTTCTCCCCCTGGTAAATTGAAGGTCTTACTAACAAGGATCTTCATTAACTGAGATTATGAGATAGCAAATGGATAATTGTAACATGTTATGAGATTCTGTGAGATTCTGATGTGTGGTCTTCTTCCATACTCTCGGCTGTAAGTGTGTATGGTCAGCATTATGCTAAACTAAAATCACAGCATCCTGTGGGCAGGGAGCTCATGGCCCACCATCATGCCAGAGATTTGTGTTGGACTTAAAACCAAGGCCTCTGTTCCCATAGAAACATACGCATAGATCGCCAGTGAGGCTGGGATGCTGAAATACACACAGGACTCCTAGGGGAGCTGAATATTGAATGAAGATAAACACAAATGGGATATTTACAACACATTTTCCACTCGTTGGATACTTTGATGGCATCTCGAAGTATTACCATAAGATGAAATCAAGGCTGGGTGCAGTGGCTCATGCCTGTAATCCCAGCACTTTGGGAGGCCGAGGTGGGTGGATCACGAGGTCAGGAGATCGAGACCATCCTGGCTAACACGGTGAAACCCTGTTTCTACTAAAAACACAAAAAAATTATCTGGGCGTGGTGGCGGGCACCTGTAGTCCCAACTACTCGGGAGGCTGAGGAAGGAGAATGGTGTGAACCCAGGAGGTGGAGGTTGCAGTGAGCCGAGATCATGCCACTGCACTCCAGCCTGGGCTACAAAGTGACACTCCGTCTCAAAAAAAAAAAAAAAAAAAAAAAGATGAAATCAGGTATATTCACATATAAATAGGGACTACCACTTCATGTGACCTTCAGAGCAAGAGAAGAATGGGTCGATTTCTCATCCTTCCCTCCGTCCCTCCCTTCCTCCCTTTTCCCCGCCCTTTTCCCTCCTTTCCTTCTTCCTTTCTTCCTTCTCTCACCTCTCTCTCTTCTTTCCTCCCTCTTTCTCTCCCTCCCTCTCTCTTTCTTTCCTTTCAAAGTCATCCTCATGGCAGGTTTTTCACTGGATTCCTCACTGGCTTTTCTACCAAACCACTGGGGGTGTTTGTGTCGGCCCAGAAAGTGGCTGTTATGCCTTTGCCGTTTCCCCACAACCCAGAGTAGCCCTGTGGCAAGCCACAATTTCCAACAGCATGTCAGGAGTCTGATGCCATTTAGTGATATTCAGGCCATGTAGAAAAGAGCAGCTGCCCTGCAGGTGGTATTCCAGAAACGCTCCCCGGCACCCAGCAGGAAGCTGGATAAGTTTAATTCGGTGAAGCAAATTTAATCATTTGCCTCTTTGTAAATGGGGACACAGGAAGAAAAAAAAAGATTTTCTTGGTGGTGTTCTAACAAAACGGCTGCTCCTAATAGCACACGTGTTTAAATTCCTCTTTCATGGGATTTGCAGGACTGTATGATTTTCCAGTAGCTGTCAAGGACACAAACAGGTATAATCCCGGGGAGGTGCAGAACCTCCAATCCACAGCTCTGATATCAACCCTTGCAAAGAGCTCTGAAAGCATGGCACATGCATATTAAAGGAAGTAAAATGGATTCAGATGCTTTTGTCCAAGGCCAAAGAAATCCTTCCGCCTTCTGCGTTTTTCTTCCTTTACTAATTAGGAGCAGCTTCAATTCATTACATACAAATGCATTTATAGATTTTCAATGTATGTCTGCTTTTCGTTTTAGCAAACCATCTGTAAATTAAATCTACCACAGAAAAAACCTACCAACCTAGGAAACCCTTTAATACTAATTACTACGTAAGGGTAGAAGATTTGGAATAATCTTTTATCATTGCTATCAAAATTTACCACGGGTTTTATGACAACATCATTGCGTAGCTTATGTTGACTGTTGTCAGCTCTTGAGGGTTCTGTGGGCTCCCCAGATAGCTCCAGGTCTGTGTCAAGGCTCTCTTCATAAAGAAACATTTAGGTTTAAAGAATATCAAAGTTGTTGGATAAAATTGTCTACACGTTAACATGTGATCTTCCAGAAAGAGGTCACAGTCATTTTATATTGTTCCTATTGCATTTACTTGACGTCTCTTTTTTGGTGAGTAAACTGGAGTTAAATTTCACATACCTGAGGTTATCTGACAAACTGGCTTTAATGAAAATAACGTACTTTCCTTCAAAGTGGAAAGTAAGGCCTGTGTATGGCCTTACATCTGTGTCAGGCCTCAGTATGCTTATTCTAGTTAATTCTTGAATTTTGGAAGCAAACAAATATACCTGAATGGGAACTAACTTTCTTTCTTTTCTTTTCTTTTCTTTTCTTTTCTTTTCTTTTCTTTTCCTTTCTTTCTTTCCTTTCTTTCTTTCTTTCTCTCTTTCTTTTCCTTCCTTCCTTCTTTCCCTCCCTCCTTCTCTCCCTCCTTTCTTTCTCTTTCTTTCCTTCCTTCTTTCTTTCTTTCTTTCTTTCTTTCTTTCTTTCCTTCCTTCCTTCCTTCCTTCCTTCTTTCTTTCTTCCTTTCTTTCTTCCTTTTCTTTCTCTTTCTCTCTTTCTTTCTTTCTTTCCTTCTTTCTCTTCAAATGGACTCTTACTCTGCCACCCAAGCTGGAGTGCCACGGTATAATCTCAGCTCACTGCAACCTCCACTTCCCGGTTTTAAGTGATTCCCTTGCCTCAGCCTCCCAAGTAGCTAGGACTACAGGAACACACCACCACGCCCGGCTAATTTTTGTATTTTTAGTGGAGACAGGGTTTCACCATTTTGGCCAGGCTGGTCTCGAACTCCTGACCTCAAGTGATCTCCCTCCTTGGCTTCTCAAAGTGCTGGTATTACAGGCATGAGCCACCATGTCTCACCTGAATGGGAACTAATTTCTTTATTCTTCATCACCCCCATTATCATCATTATGACCACTACCACCATTACTGTCATTTAGAATTAATCTTTGGGAGCACGACACTGGACTGCATGGCAGGAAGGTTGTGCATCCTTCTGCTCCATGGGAAGGCCCAGGACCATCAGTTTCCAGGAGCGAGTGGCACTAGCATTGCTGCAAGTGTGGGGGGACTCTCTCCTCCGTAGGCCAGGGCTGTTGGTTGAAGGGTCTCTTGCAAATGTGGCTCACAGGGCTTTAGGGTGGGGACAGAAGGAGACCCTTGTACTCCTAGGGATCTACCTGGGCACCCCATGATGCTCCCTCGCTAAATGGGATCCTAACTGCGGACAGAGAGTAACCCTGGTCTGAGAAGGGGTGTGGCTGGAGGCTGATGAGGGTGTGAGGAGGGAGGTGAGTCACTGAGGCCAGCAGGCAGGGCTGAGCAGGGGGAGGAGGGTCTAGAGAGGAAGTAGAGCATGGGGATAGTGAGTGTTGCTGTGGCTGTGACAAAGAGCAGCAGCAGGGGCTCCAGCTCTGTCTCCACGCCACGGTGCCTCATTGCATGGCTTCAACTTGGCTAGGCCATGGTTTCTAGATGTTTGGTCAAACACCAGACTAAATGTGGCTGGGAAGGCATTTTTCAGATGTAATTAACATTTAAATCAGTGGACTCTGGGTAAAGCAGATGAGCCTCCCATCATTTGAAGGCATTGAAAGGAAAAGACTGAGGTCCCTGGAGAAGAGGGGACTCTGCCTTCAGGTGCCCTTGATGGTAACAGCTCTTCCCTGGGTCTCCAGCCTGCCCTGTACTTTTCAGACTGGCTGACCCCACAGTCATGTGAGCCAATTCCTTTAAAAATAAGTTCCCCCACCGTGTCTGTCTCTATTAGCCCGCTGGTTCTGTTTCTGTAATGTAAGAATCCTGAGTGATGCTGGAGTTCCTGTACAGAGAGAGGCCCCTGACTCCTGTGAGCCTCTGCCCACAGGTGTCCTCAGAGGAGTGGGTGGAGCACGTGGAGGGGGTCTGGGTCCACATAGGACCTTTTCAGGGCAAAGCTCACTGCCCAGCTGCATCACAGTGAGGACACAGCCACCTGCAGTGGGTTATGTGGGCAGCTGGTCAGGGAAAGGCCCGGGGCTGGTTCCATCGATAGGAGTCTGCAAAGCCAAGCACTTTTCAGGATGACATCCTCTTCCAAAACTCTGATTCTATCTGAAATTGTTTCCACTGCTGTTTTCCTTTTTTTGAGCTGTTTAAAGGGATAGGGAGGATACTTCTCAAAATTTTTTTACAGAAGGGATTTTTTTTTAACGATATCTTTTTTTTTCTTCAATTTTGGGATGGAAAAAAGACTTGAAACTTTAATTTTTTGGAGTTCCCTAAAACTTACCCGTCAGGTGTAATAGCTTTTTGTCTCACTCCATAACAGAGATGCTCCAAGAAATACAAATTTCTTCTTGCTTTTCCATAATTCAAGGTAATTTTTGTTTTGAGTTTTCCATTTAACTAAGCTGGCATAAATTTAATCTCAGATATTTAGGATCCTCTTTTTCCCTATGGCTGGGTCTATGGGCAAATGTTGTAAGACATTGGGGGAAGATGTATCCAGTCCTGAAGTCACTTAAGCTGACAAGTCATGTCCGCTGAGACCATCATGATTACACTCAGTCCTGCTGTCAGCCACCAGCGATTGCCTCTGTGTTTCCCCTTATGCCCCCAGGGATGGTCACTCTCTCCTATACCTGGTGCCACACAAGTGGGATCTTCCTGCCTCTCTGTGCAACACCAAAGCACGAACATCTTGTTAACGCTGTCCAAAGCCCCGTCTCCTGCGATCCAATTTCGAGTTAATCCCTGTCTTGGCTTTGGTGCATCTGCGGGGTTTCTGCTAGAAATCGAGGCACAGGATCTTCCACTGTCCATAACTCCACTCCCACCTTTTCTCTTCCCTTTCTAAACCTTAGAGAATCTTCCTAACAGTGGGCATGTAGCATGATCAGGAGAAAAGAGAAAGCCACTCTTGTCAAACCCCGTTTCCTGAAACATTTTGTCTCCTGTCTCCTATGTTTCTCTAGGGCATTAGGACCTCAGAACTCAAAGCCAGAAGGGGCCTGACAGGCTGTGTCCTTTTGTGGACCCTGATATATCTCTTCTAGGAGGCTGGGAGTGGGGCATTTCATCTACCAAATAGCATGAAAAGCAGGGTTGGGAGCAGTGAGTATAAAATACAGCAACCCTCATAGGTGCAGCAAACCACCATGGCACATGTATCCCTGTGTAACAAACCTGCACATTCTGCACATGTATCCCAGAGTTTAAAGTAAAATAAAATTAAAAAACAAAAAACACAGTGACCAGAGAAAAATAAATCTCCGTGAATATTTTGAATGCCTCCTACCACCACACAGATGTGAGAAACCCACATTCCAGTGGTGATCAGGGGTCCTAATGTTTTGAGGCTTCTCTTTTTTGGATTGTGTTCAACTGATTGATATGACCTGACACTTTTATTCTATGCTTGGAGGAGCCACTTCTTAACTCCCTCTCATTTTCTCTGCCTTCTGCCCTTACTTCTGTGGGCCTATCACAATGCTTGATCATAGAGTAAGTGCACAGAAATATTTGTTAAATAAGTGAATGAATGATTTTAGATTTATTTAAAACTCATAAAACACCACCACCAACAAAAATCCTGTCCCTCGAAGCAACTCCTTGTATGTCTCTTTGTTTGGGTTTACAGATATAAAGCATAGACTTCAATTGTTCTGACACATTACCACGGGCATCTGCCTTATAAAGAGGCAGGCGAACAGTTGCTAGTGAGCCTCCCACAAATGGTTGTCTGCAAGTAGTGTGTATAAATCAGGCTGCGCAGTCTGGAATCAGTTCAGTACATGCATAGTACACTATTGAAGATTTGCTGATTAAATCACCCAAGCCGAAAACAGTTACAGTAATTCCAGACTCCAGTTGGATTCCAATGTCAAGGCAAATCATTTGTGAGCACTGAGCTCATTTACACCTGGGAAGTAAACCTCACAGGAGAGCTGTTTGCTTTCCATACCACTTTATTGCTCAATCCTTGCATTCATCATTGTGTCTAGCAAATAGCACATCAAAATGCCATTAAATAATGTTGTTGAATAGGTTTTCTTCTTCTGCACAATTGACTATAATATGACCTAATAGATTGTGTTAATACTTCAGTGGAAATTTATGGTCTCTAAAGAATGGTCTGCAAATCCTTTCTCTTTTTCTGTTATTTCAGAAGAGGTGGTTGCTTTAGAGGGATGTAAAACATTATTTTTAAATGTGGAACCAAATGAAAGTTCAAGCCTGACTAGGTAGCTCACTGTAAACCTGAAAGATGATTGTGGTGATGGTGAGGTCTCTAGAGAGGCCAGTTACTTCATGGGAAAAACAACGGGTTTAGTATCAAGGAAATTGAGCTCCCATCTTGCTTGTCCTCCCGGGCACCTTCGGAGTGTTGGACAACCCACATAACTAATATTTCTGGGTTTTCCATAAGTATAACATGAGAAGTTTGCTCTCTAGTTTCTATGGCTTTATGAACAAGACATGCTAGCTTTGTGGTATTTTTCATATTTATATGCTCACTGGCTCCTAAATCAAATAATGCCATTTGAGATAAGGCTGAAAGGCATTGGGTCCTTAGGTTTTGTGGAGATATTAGGAAGGTTTCGTAATCAGAGTTGGGCTTACTTTCTTCAATTGTCCTCTGCTAGCAACATAACCCTGGGCACAGTCCTCAATTTCTTTGGTTCAGTTTCTCAACCTGTCAAGTGGTGGTAACGTCACTGAATTTGAAATGTTGTCATAAGAGTCAGAGATAACATACGTAAATCACCTAACAGTCTTTGGTACTTGGTAGGTTTTTTATAAATGTTGGAATATTTTATTTTTAGCAATTAAATCAATTGCAGTAAAAGAGAAAGGAGGGACATTATCAAAGTCACCAAAGTTTTTAGAACTAAGGGACTGTCAAAAGGAAGAGAGTATCTCAGCGAAGCTTTCTCATGGTTTTGCTTCAGCCTGATTCTTCTATCAGGTGTACATTTTGGGAATCATTAATGATGAGGATGGACAGAATCTATTATTGGCATCAGTTACAAGAAAAGTTCGCATATTTGAGTTTCTTGGACTAGCAACTTCACATACGAGTTTCTAAAATTAATAGACCCTATTTTTAGAGCAGCTTTAAGTTTATAGAACTTATAGAAAAATGGAATAGTAGCACAGAGAGTTCCCATATCCTTCTCAAGACATGGTTTCTCCTTGCGTTGCTGTGGCACATTTGTTGCAATTGATAAACCAATATCGTCACATTATTACGAATGTAACATAGTTTCTGATAGGATTCCCTCTGTGTTGTACAGTACATTCTGTGGGTTTTGACAAATGCAAAATGTCAGGTATGCACCATTACAATATGATACAATAGTTTCACTGTACTAAAAATCCCTTATGCTCTACCTTTCCATCACTCCTGTGTATTTACCCAAAGGAGCTGAATTATTTTGTTCATACAAAAACCTGTGCATGAATGTTTATAGCAGCTTTATTTATAATTGCCCCAAATTGAAAACAACCATGATGCCCTTCAATAGGTAAATGGATAGACAAACTGTGGCACATCCACACCATGGAATAGTATTCGGTGATAAAAATAAATGAACTAGCAAACCGCCAAAAGACATGGGGACTCTTAAATGCATTGTACGAAGTGAAAGAAACCAATCTGAAAAGGCTACCCACTGTATGATTCCAACTATAGGATGTTCTGGAAGAGGCTAGAGACACTAGAAAGATGTATGGTTACCAGGGAGTAGGGGAGAAGGAGGGAGGAAGAGATGGAGCACAGAAGGTTTGTGGGGCAGTAAGTTGTCTCGGTGGTACTATAATAATGGACATTACCTGTTTGTCAGAATCCATGGAATGTAATACAAAAAGAGTTAACCCTCATGTAAACTACAGATTTCAGTTCTTACAGGAATACCTTGTTCTAGTGTGCTTCACTTTATTGTGTATTGTAGATACTGCATTTTTTTTTTCTTTTTACAAATTGGAGGTTTGTGGCAACCCTGTTTCGAGCAAGTCTATTCTCACCAGTTTTCTAAAAGCATGGACTCACTTCTTGTCTCTGTGTCAAATTTTGGTAATTCTTGCAATATTTCCAGCTCTTTCATTATGATCGTGTCTGTCATAGCATATCTGTGATCAGTGATCTTTGATGTTATTATTGTTATTGTTTTGGGGCACAACAAACTATGCAGGTGACATTCAGCAAGTGTAATTGATAAATCTGTGCATTGTGACTGGTCCACTTACAGGCTGTTCCCCCATTTCCCTCCCTTCCCTTGGGCCTCCCTATTTGTTGAAACACAGCAATACTAAAATCAGTCCAATTGATATTCTATAGTTGCCTCTAAGTCTTCAAGTGAAAGGAAGAGTCGCATGTCTCTCACTTTAAATCAAAAGCTAGAAATGATGAGGTTAGTGAGGAAGCCATGTTGAAATCCGAGAGAGCAAAGGCTAGGCCTCTTGTGGCAAATAGCCAAGTTTTGAATAAAAAGAAAAAGTTACTTTTTTTTTTGTTTTTGAGATAGAGTCTTGCCATGTTGTCCAGGCCGGCCTAAAATTCCTGGGCTCAAGTGATCCTCCCTCCTCAGCCTCCCAAGTAGCCTGGACTACAGGCATGTGCTTCTGCACCTGGCTGCAAAGGAAAAAAATTCTTGGGGGAACTAAGAATGTTACTCCAGTGAACACAGGAACGATCAGAAAGTGAAACAGCCTCATTGCTGACATGAAGCAAGTTCTAGTGTCCTGGATGGAAGATCAAACAAGCCTCAGCCTTCCTGTTATAGTTTGGGTGTGTGTCCCTGCCCCAGCCTCATGTTGAAGATGCAGTCTCATGTTGAATATTGTAATCCCCAGTGTCGGAGGTGGGGCCTGGGAGGAGGTGACTGGATCATGGGAGCAGATTTCTCACGAATGGTTCAGCACCATCCCATTGGCGCTCTCCTTGGTGATAGTGACTTCTTATGAGATCTTGTTGTTTATATGACACCTCCCATGCCACTCTCTTGCTTCTGCTCTATGTGACCAGCCTAGTCCCCATTCAGCTTCTGCCATAAATATAAGCTTTCTGACACCTCCCTAGAAGCAGGTGCCAGTGTTATGCTTCCTGTACAGCCTGCAGAACCATGAGCCAATTAAATCTCTTTTCTTCATAAATTTCCTATCGTCAAGTATTTCTTTACAGCAATGGCCTAACACATGTCCCTTAAACCAAAGCCTAATCCAGAGCAAGGCCCTATCTTTCTTCAATTCTATGAAGGCTGAAAGAGGTGAGGAAGCCACAGAAGAAATGTTCGAAGCTAGCAGAGGTTGCTTCTTGAGGTTTAAGGAATGAATCTGTTCCCAGAACATAAAAGTGCAAGGTGAAATAGCAAGTGCTAATGCAGAAGCTGTGGCAAGTTATCCAGGAGATCTACATAAGATAATTGGTGAAGGTGGCTACATAAACAACAGATTTTCAGTGTCGATGAAACAGTCGACTTTTGGAAGAAGATAACATCTAAGTCTTTAGTAGCTAGAGAGGAGAAGTCAATACAAGGCTTCAAATCTTCAAAGGACAGGCTGACTCTTTTGTTAGGGGCTAATGCATCTGGTGACTGTAAGTTGAAACCGAGGCTCATTTAACATTCTGAAAACCCTAGGGTTCCTTAAGAATTATGCTAAATCAACTCTGCTTGTCCTCTGTAAATGGAACAAAAAGCCTATATGACAGCACATCTGTTTACAGCATAGTTTACTGAATATTATAAGCCCACTGTTGACACCTGCTGCTCTGAGAAATAGATTCCTTCCAAAACGTTACTGCTCATTGACAGTGCACCTGGTCTAAAACGTAGATGTGCAAGGGCGCTGATGTTGTTTTCCTGCCTACTAACACAACACTTACTCTGTAGCCCATGTAACAAGACATAATTTTATGTTGAATTAATTTACACTCCTACCAACAGTATATAAGCATTCCTTTTTCTCCACAGCCTTGCCAGCATCTGTTATTTTTTTGACTTTTTAGTAATAGCCATTCTGACTGGTGTGAGATGGTATATCTCACTGTGGTTTTGACCTGCTGTTCTCTAATGATCAGTGACGTTGCGCTTTTTGTCACCTGATTGTTGGCCACATGTATGTCTTTTTTTGAAAAGTGTCTTTTCATGTCCTTTGCTTGCATTTTAATGGGGTTGTTTGATTTCTTGTAAAATTGTTTAAGTTCTTTATAGATGCTGTATAATAGACTTTTGATGGATACACAGTGTATAAATATTTTCTCCCATTCTGTAAGTTGTCTGTTTACTCTGTTGATAGCTTCTTTTGCTGTGCAGAAGCTCTTTAGTTTAATTAGGTCTTATTTGTCAATTTTTTCTTTTGCTGCAATTGCTTTTGGTGTCTTCATCATGAAATCTTTGCTCATGCCTATGTCCTGAATGGTATTGCCTAGATTGTCTTCTAGGGTATTCATAGTTTTGGGTTTTACATTTAAGTCTCTAATTCAACTTGAATTAGTTTTTGTATATTGTGTAAGGAAGGGGTTCAGTTTTTTCTTTTTTTTTTGAGATGGAGTCTCACTGTGTCACCCAGGCTGGAGTGCAGTGGCGTTATCTCGGCTCACTGCAAGCTCTGCCTCCCGGGTTCATGCCATTCTCCTGCCTCAGCCTCCCAAGTAGCTGGGATTACAGGCACCCGCCACCATGCCTGGCTAATTTTTTGTATTTTTAGTAGAGACAGGGTTTCAACGTGTTAGCCAGGATGGTCTCCATCTCCTGACCTTGTGATCCATCCACCTTGGCCTCCCAAAGTGCTGGGATTACAGGTGTGAGCCACCACGTCCGGCCTGAAGGGGTTCAGTTTTAATCTGTATATGGGTAGCCAGTTATCTCAGCAACAAAAAATGATAATTTAAATATAAAGAAAAAATATAAATAGGAAAAATGCATTTATATATGCTATTAAATAAGAAATACTACCGGGAGTAATTTTTATATTTTTTATTTTATACACACTCCCCAATAGCATATACATATGTGTATTTGAATATGTAATATGAAATATATGTATATGATTTTTTATATAGTATGAAATAATACTATGAGAATTAACTGAAGTAAAATTTGTAAAGAAAGGAAATCTGTAGAAAGATTTTAGCACAACTATTTAAATAGTATTGCCTCACAAAATTTCAGATCCAGCTATCTATAAAAATTCGTATACACATCATATGTATTACAGACAAAAGAAAGGTAAAGAATTGCTTTTTTTTTCACAACAAGACTATAAGGTTCAATGCAATTACGTTAAACATTAAAGGGGAAAATGAGGACCTAAAACATTGCATTTAAAGTAAAAATATATAGTTTCCAAATAAGGGTTTGAGGCACTTCCTAAAAAGCAAAATATGCAACTTAGTGCACTGATTTTATGATTTTTAAGGGTATTTAGAGATTTCTGTTGCTTTAACTTTATGATTATGATTGTGATTATTTTGAGATGGAGTCTTGCTCTGTCGCCCAGGCTGGAGTGCAGTGGCGTGATCTCCGTTCACTGCAAGCTCCCCCTCCCAGATTCACGCCATTTTCCCGCCCCAGCCTCCCGAGGAGCTGGGACTACAGGCAGCCTCCACCACGCCTGGCTAATTTTTTGTATTTTTAGTAAAGACAGGGTTTCACTGTGTTAGCCAGGATGGTCTCGATCTCGTGACCTCGTGATCCTCCCGCCTCGGCCTCCCAAAGTGCTGGGATTACAGGCGTGAGTCACCACGTCTGGCCTAAGTTTATTATCTCAATTTATTTTCTCTATTGTGGCATGCCATACATGTGGCTTCCCTCAGACATTGCTATTAGTATCTAATATTGTAACAAGGGCTCTTTGGAGCCTCAGGAAGGAAAGAAGTAGAGGAAGGAAAGATCCAGCCTGAAGGGTGCAGGGCTGAGGAAGAACTGCAAAGAAGCTCAGTGCTGGCCAGGGCAATGGGAAGAATTTGGAGGTGGGTACAGGGACAGGAGGCAAGCAGAGTCTTGCAGGGGTAGTTTGGGGTAGGATTCAATGATAGGGGTTATCAAGGGGGTTTCCACTGTGGGACTTGCCCTGTGTGTAGCCTCATGGCTCCCTGCCCTGAGATTGGCATTGATGATGCAGAGGTACTTGGTTATGTATCATGACAATCATCCCATAGTATAATTTGGCTTAATCACGTTTTTCTCCTAATGGTGTCAGTTTTGCATATGGATGAGACATGGCTTTCTTCGAGGGATGGAAATGGGTAATTATTGCCAGTAATATTCAATACATTTTACTAATGCATGCTCTAATTTAATTTCCCCATCTTTAGAGTGAGCATGGTTTTGGAGACAGAAGGACATCCTCCTGATTCCTCTCTATGTGATTTTGGACTCATTCAAAACTTTAGCTTCCTTGTCAGGAAAACAGGGAGTTGGTGTGGGACAGATGTGCCACACAGTGGAGCCCATGGCCTGTGAGGTCACTGAGACTGGGAGCTCCGCATCCTACTGGAGAACTAAGCCTCTTCTGAGTGTGGCCTGTCCACGTCCTTCTGTGGACAGAGTTACTACATTCAATTTGAATAGACATTAATTTTTAATTTTGTCTTTACATTTATGTGAAAAGTATTTTAAGCCTGAAAGTGTCATGGATATGGATAGTTTCTCTTTATTAATGGGCATTTTGAGCTCCTGATCCTTTTTGGGTGCAAGATATCTTGAAAGAGGTTCTTTAAATGCATGCCGTGGGAAGCTTGTGCATTTTTGAAACCCAATACACAAGTAATAAGAAATAACTCATATTTGAAATTCCTGTCACAGTGCAAACGTGGCCTTCGTGCTGATGGAGAGGCTGCAAATGAATGATATCTGGGTTCCTAAATACCACGGAGCTCACACACTCATCCTCCTACAGAGAGTAAGATATAGCTCAGCACTGCCCAGGCCAGAAATAGCTTGAGAGTTTAAATTCCTTCATGGCATTTAGAAACAACAGTTGTAGGGAGAAAGGTCTATAGTCATGGCAATATTGCCTAATGATATTTTTTTCTGTGATGGTCATTTTATAATATTATTTAAAAGTTTTTTTTAGTTAAACAAGCAATGGAAATTTGAACAGAAAAATATGAAATTAAAACAATTAAAACTACCCATAATCACACTAGACTGTGATAACCAAACTGTGAATATTTTGGTTTCATAAGCTTTTAATCTTTTTCCTTAGGTATATAAAAATATTTAAGAACCAAAGAGAATTATATCACAATGGGTATATCAACTTAGTATCAGTTTTACTCATTGTATATGCCAAAGGTAACCTACTTATCCTTTGACTACAAGAGCTTTCTAAATGTCTGTATAATATTACATCAGATGAATGCGATACAATTTATTTTAAATATTTTCTTATTGCATATTTAGATTGTTTCTAATTTTTGAGTATGATCAACAATTCTTTGACCAGTATTCCTATAGCTAAGTGCTTATGTTGTAGGTCTGATTATTTCCTTAGTACAAATTTCTAACAGTGGAGTGTCAGTCAAAGGGTATGTACAATGTAAACATGTAGATGTGTACTGTCAAATTATCCTCCACCAAGTTCCTAAAATATGCATCTTTACTGTCATGGTGTAACTACCAAAGTCCTGTACCCTTGAAAACATAGATTATTATTTCAGAACATCTTTATCAGTTTAAAAGACAAACTATGCTACCCTCTTGTTGTTAGTAAAGTGCATTTCTTTGATTACTCCCCTTTTACAGAAGAGTAAATGAAGATTCAGTAAGTTTGTGTGAGTTATGCATGGGTGCATAGATAACGCGTGCAGAAAGCAATCACTTCAGTTTTCCATATTTGAGGTCCTCTCTGGGCCAGTACAGTTCGAGACACTAGAAATTCAAAACCACAGATAATGCCCTCCTGGGCCTGTAGGATGTCCTTGTTAGGTGGCAGGGGAGAGGCCCAACCAGTGCCCACAACAATGTCATAGCCCCAGGTGAGTGTGGGAGGGGAAGTTGTGGAAATATTTTCCAGCCAAAGAAATCAGTGAAGTAAAGATAGGCAGGAGGCAGGCAAAAAGGAGGCAGAACTGGCAGGTTGTGGGGGCAGGAGTGGCCACGGATGAGGAGCCAGGCTTGGCAACACAGGTGCAGGTGGCACGTGTCATAGGCACAGGCGTGGAGATCTGAGGGCGCAGAGGGGAGAAGACCGTGCACCGCCAATGTCAACTGTGTGGAAGCAAACCTGGGCTACATCTAAGAGTCCTGAGAGCAGGGGAGGAGAAGGGAGGAAGAGACAACAGAAGTCCTGGGTGGGAAGCAGAAATATTTCCTGAGTCAATGAAAGAGCCCCAAGCCTCCAGACCTGCCAGGGCTCAAGCAGGCAGCTCCAGATGCCAAGACCTATAATCTAGCAGTTCAGGTTGATTTTGCCAGAGTAGTGTGAAGAGGCCCTGATTTTCCCCTTTAATGTATACCCATACAAAAGGCAGAAGAGTTGTTTGAAAAGCAGGAGATTCACAGTTACAAGCACATAGGAAGCACAAGAAAAACTGGTAGAAGGGATCTGGGCCCTTCAATGTTGACAGCCTTCTCTAGGAGCCCTGGCTACAACAGAATGAGGAGGATCCTTGGGGGGTATAAAAAGGTGGGAAGGAGAACAAGCCAAACAAAACACCACCCTCAGGACCACAGAGAAGTTATTTCAGGAGATGCATTGATTCCATGTTTTTGTTTTCATAGGTTGCTGTTTTGTAACTTTTTTTTTCTTAGGTGAAAGAATTAAGGGTCCTCCCCAACTGTCTGAAGAAAGATATGCCTGTCATGAAGCATGCGCTTACTTACTTTGAAGGGGACAAGCCTTTTCTAGCTTCAATATTTATTTCCTATTTTGATGGGGAAACTTTTAGGGAAGTAGAAAGAGAGCTTAAAGCCTTGGGGGAGACATTTTACGTGCTTGCTAAAAAAACGCATTAAAACATTTAGTACATGTCCTGAATGTAACCCAGCCCTCCAGAGCTATTTTTTTCTCACTGTACTAGTCCATTTTCATACTGCAATAAAGAACTGCCTGAGACTTGCTTAATTTATAAAAGAAAGAGGTTTAATTGACTCACAGTTCAGCATGGCTGGGGAGGCCTCAGGAAACTTACAATCATGGTGGAAGGTGAAGGGGAAGCAAGGCACCTTCTACACAAGGTGGCAGAAAGGAGAAGTGCTAAGCAAAGGGGAAGAAGCCCCTTATAAAACCATCCGAGCTTGTGAGAACTCACTCACTATCATGAGAACAGCATGGGGAAAACCATCCGCATGATTCAATTACCTCCACCTGGTCTCTCCTTTGACAAATAGGGATTATGGGGATTATGGGGATTACAATTCAAGATGAGATCTGGGTGGGGACACGAAGCCTAACCATATCAGGGGAGGGGGCTCACAACTGAATATTTCAGATAATTTTAATATGTGCTGGTATCCACAAACAAGAGCCAATGTGGACTCAGCAGGCAATGTCATGGGCCTTCTGTTTCAAAAATGATTCAGATAGACTTTTATGCTTTTACATGTGCCATATGGGAGTGGGGCATTCTCTTCTTGTTCCTTGTTTTACCCTCAGCATCTACCTTTCATAGCAGTAACTGATGATCATGAAATGTTTGTTGATTGAATGGCTGAAGTATAGACAGATGCAGCTTCTGTCCATGAAAGGCACCCTGCTTGCTCCTTGCACTGTGTCCAGTGAAAACTCTCGTTTCTCTGCGCAGCTGCAACAGGTTTCACATCACAAGGAGCACAACGCACTGGCTTCCATTTCCACCCTGAAGCTCAGCAGCCCCATTTGCATCCCATCAGCTGCCTGCTCCGGAATAGAGGAGGGAAGGGCTGGGCTTCAGAGTTTGCTTTTTTTTCTCGGTTCTGTGAATGGAAAATTTCAAAGGATCCTGTGAAGGGATCCAGATTGATACCTTGGGGTCTGGTGTATGTAGGTCTGTTTGTGTTAACTCACCATTTAAAGACAGAAAAAAGGAAAACATATATATTTATAGCCTCCTAGAGAGAGCCTTGGTGCTAGTTTTGATGGCTTGCTGGGAACAGAAGTGAAGCCAAGGGGGGTGTTGTGGTTGGGAGCATTGATTTTGGGAGGAGAGTGGTGCTGGTATCATTTAGGGAGGGACAACAAGATGCTCCTGTGGACCACCACTGATTCTCTCACGCTGATGACATCTGGCAGTAGTGACAATGTGATGGGAGCCCAAAGAGGGGAGGGTCTTGTAGAAATTTCATGTGGTTGCATCAACTTCAGCTATTGGTAACTGGTGGATAGCCAAGCAGCAGGAGTAGGGCAGAATACCATGAGCCCGTGAACCAGGCAGAGAGTTGAATGACATGAACTTGAGTCAGGGAGGAGAAAACTAGGGGTGGGGCACATCTTTGATTAGTGAGTAACCAACAATGTGGACCCCCAGAGGGCTTAAGGCCCTTCGCTGGAGAACTAGATGGTTATCCCTGGGTCCTGTTATTGAGGCTAGCTTCTCTCAAGTTTCAACGCTAGTCAGATCACCATATCTAAATCATGGAAGGTGTACCACTGGTTATGTTAAGAGGTGATGTTTGAATATTTAGACGGAGATAATCAAAGTATTACAAAAATGACAAAGGATTCAATGCAGTAAACAAGTTAATTTACACACCAGAGTCAAAATTTCACAAATATTATTGCATAGAGTGAAGATAAATTTTTAAAATTTAAATTAATTTAACAAAATAAACATAGTACTTAAATGTGGCTTTTTTGGTATAGATTATTTTCTTATTCAAGATTTTTCCTTTCCTAGTTTATAAGTATTTTGTTGCTATTCTTTCACTCTCTGAAAATTGCAAAATGCATACTTAACTTTTCAAATACAAGTTTTTCCAAAAATTGTATACATCTCCTGAAAACGAGTGCCTTTGAAGATGGCAACTCCATTTCTGCTCCCTCTAATTCACGAGTTATTCTTGACTTGTTTTGTGGAATTAATTAGTTTCTTCTTTTTCTTAATGGCAAAAACTATTTGTCATGATTTTTGCATGTTTCCTACCTTCTTGATCTTCATCTTTTTCTCTGATTTAATTACATCCTTTTCTGAGGATATGCTGCAGATAAACTCTCTTTTTTTGTTTGCCCAAGAATGTCTGCATTTCATCCTACTCTTAAAAAGTGGGTCCTAGAAATTCTAGGTTGGCAATTATTTTTTATTAGCACTTTGGTGATCTCATTCTTCTGGCATCCATCTTTCATCATTTCTGTTGAGTAGTTAGTGGTCAATGCCATTCTGCTGCCTTGAAAGTAAGCTGTTTTATTCACTACCTTGTGGATTTATGCATGTTCGTGGTTGTTCTTTGGTTTTACTATTGTTTTTGGTTTGTCCAACTCACCATGACATGTTCAAGTGTAGTTTTATGTTTGTGTACCCTCTATAGATTTAGGAACTTCCCGTTGGCTTTCTTTTGATGTAGGGAATCAGTCATTATCTTAAAATATTACTTACAAACATTGTCTCTGTTCTATGTTCTTTCTCCTCTTTGTTTAGGAATCCACGTAAAAACATGGTAAAATGTCTCACTGCCTCTGTTTTGCTGTGATGCATTCTGCATAATTTCTTCTGACTGATCTTTGGATTCACTAATACCTACTTTAGCTACTACAAAATAGTGAACAGCCCTTGCATTTAAAAATCTATTTTTTGCATCTTTCTCTTTTAGAAATGTTCTTTGTTTCCTTTTTCACACATTCCAGTCATTTAAAAAATATTTATTTTATTTTAGATTCAATGGGTCCATGTGAATGTTTGGTAAATGGGTATATTGCATACTGGTGGGGATTGGGCTTCTAGTTCACCCATTACCCAAATAATGAATATTGTACCTAATAGGTAGTTTTTCAACACTCACATCCTCTCCCCTTTGGGAAACCTCAGTTTCTATTATTTCCATCTTTATGCCCATGTGTACCAATTGTTTAGCTTCCACTTGTAGGTGAGAACATGCAGTATTTTATTTTCTGTTTCTGAGTTAATTCACTCAGAATAATGGTCTCCACCTCCATCCATGTTGCTTCAAAGGACATGATTTCATTCTTTTTTATGGTGGTGTAGTATTACATGGTGTATATATATATCACATTTTCTTTATCCAATCAATTATTGATGGACCCATAGGTTAGACTTAGGTTGGTTCCATGACTTTGCTATTGTCATGGTATTGTCCTATAATGATTTGTTCTCCTTTGGGTAGGTGTCCAATTATGAATATTTCTGGGTCAAATGGTAGTTCTGTTTTCAGTTCTGTGAGATATCTTCATACTGTTTTCCATAGAGCTTGAACTAATTTATATTCCCACCAATAGTGTATAAACGTTCTCTCTTTGCTCTGCATCCAAGTCAACCTCTGTTTTTTGCTTTTTTCAACTTTTTAATAACAGCCATTCTGACTGATATAAGATGATATCTCATTGTGGTTTTAATGAGCATTTCTTTAATGATTAGTGATTCTGAGCATTTTTTCATGTGTTTGTTGGCTGCTTGCATTTTTTTTTTGAAAAATGTCTGTTCATGTCCTTTGCCCAGTTTTTAATGGGGTTGTTTATTTTTCTCTTCTTGGATTCTTTGAGGTCCTTGTAGATTCTTGATATTAGTCCTTTGTCAGAGGCATATTTTGCAATTCTGTTTTTTTTTTTCAAGCATGGCGAGAAAGATTTTATTCAGGACCAGAGCAATAGTTACAGGGACCACCGAAATGTTGTCTGACAGTGGGGAAGAGAGATTCCATGCTGGTCATTTTTAACAGCTTTCTTTTATTATTATTGTTATTATTATTATTATTATACTTTAAGTTCTAGGGTACATGTGCACAACGTGCAGATTTGTTACATATGTATACCTGTGCCATGTTGTCGTGCTGCACCCATTAACTTGTCATTTACATTAGGTATATCTCCTAATGGTATCCCTCCCCCGTCCCCCTACCCAACGACAGGCCCTGGTGTGTGATGTTCCCCTTTCTGTGTCCAAGTGTTCTCATTGTTCAGTACCCACCTATGAGTGAGAACATGCGGTGTTTGGTTTTCTGTCCTTGCGATAGTTTGCTGAGAATGGTGGTTTCCAGCTTCATCTATGTCCCTACAAAGGACATGAACTCATCCTTTTTTATGGCTGCATATTTGACAGCTTTTTTTTGCTGAGATTATTTCAAGTGTGTTCTAGCTTTGGACGTTATGAGAAGAGTTGTTTTACAAAATTTTTCTCTGATTATTTTTAAATCTAGGGTCTTTGTAGAACTTTTTCTTTCTCCACTATTTCTTCTAGTTCTCTGTAATGGTTATATGTATATATATATATATGATACATATGTACTTATCTACCAGCTATATACATCATAATAGGTGATACATACATATGCTGTGAGTGCATTATTTTCCTTGGAATATTATTGTGGAGATTCTTTCAGGATGAGGAGGAACTGCACATTTGTTTCTATTAGGTATTGGGAACTGTTTTAAACTAAATTTATAGCTTGAGTTTTTGAGATTGTAATTTATGCAACAGCAGCATTTTCCCCACGCTTTGTTCAGCACCAGCGAACACTTTCTTGCCGACACATGGAAGCAGGAGTTGGGTAGTCTGGGTTTACTTTTGGTTTATGCTTATTGTGAAATTATAGCTCTTTGGAGGTCTTGTTTCATAGGGGGAAAGTCTTCTATGATCACATGCGTGTTGCTGGGGACTTGAGATTTTTTCCTTCTTCCATATCACTCCACAGAGACTGAAAAACTGAAGCTCAAATTCACGGCTTTCATGAATTCTCCAAGGGCCAAAGGGAATTCAACATTTAGCTTTCTTTTCTGAGATCAAGACATCACTTAGATTTTGGTCTTGTAATTCCTTACCATCTTGTATGATCTTTGTTGCACCAAAATCTTCTTTTTCTTCTATCTTATCCAGAATTTCTAGTTGTTTTTATCAAGAATGTGGGTTTGAACAACTGAGCATATTATTTTATTGGAAAAGTGAAATTGCCTTTTACTACCAATTCCTAATTATCCAGAGGATCTAGAAAAAATGGATTTAACTCTTTGGCCAATTAAAACACAAATTTATTCCAAAAATGGATTATCTGTTCTTATAAAGCTATAGTATATTAAAAGATATTTAATACATAAATAACAGTAAACAAAGTATCCTCTACTATGGTTTGAAAATTATTTAGAATCTTGCAATTGTCCTGGGTCTCTCTAAATGCTAATGATCACCAATGAGTTTGACAAATAGAGATGTTACAAGTGATTGGTTTAAATCTTTGATGCACCTTAAATGTATTTTAAAATGTGCCCCTAACTCTTTATTTTACCTGACTGTATTTCAGTGCATCAGTTTAAGGGAAGACATGAGATCATGGGTTTAAGTGAGGCTTCATCATGCCAAGACAACGTGATCAGGTAAGTACTTGCCCCTCTACATGTCAGCATTCTCACCTGTAACATAGTACAAACAGGACTTTGTTTGAGTCCCTTGCAACATTTCGTGGAGCATCAAATAAAATAAAGACCGTGAATATGCTTTGTAAACCTTGAGTTTCTATACATATGCAAATATAAGTACTGGTAAGATATAGAATGAACAAGAGAAATAGAATCCTATTTTTATGTTTCAATTTTATGGATTGCTGGAAAATTGAAGTGTATAGGAGTCTTCTTGTAGTCGCTCACTAGAATGCCTTTGGCTGGGTTTACTGGTATTGCACGAAAACAGCTGTTAGCAAAGACAAGACTTAGGCACCCAACAAGACCTTTTATTTTCACATGACTGAGCCTCTGATTTCAATATGCGTTCCGTGTTTTTCCCAGAAGTTCTTTTGTGTTATGTACAATTACTCTGCTGAACAGATTGTATTTGTTTTTTTCTTTGTTTTTTTTTGTTTGTTTTGTTTTGTTTTGTTTTACTGTGAGACAGTGATGCCAATGCTTGTGTATTTAGGATGGGGGTCACAGACTCTGTACTTCCAGGAGAAGCCCCCAGAAGGTCTTAGCTGGCTCCTGAGGGGGCACATTCGCTGTGCTCACTGCACTTTACCTGGTGCCATGAAGCATAAAGAGCACAAACTTGGACACCAAGAGTCTACATTAAAGTCCCACTCCTTTATGTTTGTAAATATGGGATATTGGGAAGTTGCTGCACCTTTTTTTGCTCATTTTCTTCACTGAACAGCAGAACTAGAAAAATTTCTTCTTAATAGGGCTTAAAGGAGACTCAAATACAACACTGTATATGATGTTCTTTTGCAAATTGTAAAGCAAAGTACAAAGTTTCAAATATATTCATTATACATATATATCTAGCTCTTTATTCCATTTGGTTCAAAAAATTTATGTGTTTCAAAAAATTATGGAGGTGATACATATCTAAGTAGAGGATTTGTCAAATATAAATATCATGATGTACAAACAAGGCTGGACAGCTTTTATTAACACATTGTCTGCAGCACAAAAAAACAATGCCTGGGCCTGAATAGGAACCATATGAAAATATTTCTTAAATCAATGAAAGATTATTTAATAATTAAGAAAAACTGGCCAGGCGTGGTGGTTCATGCCTGTAGTCCCAGCACTTTGGGAGGCTGAGGCGTGCGGATCACGAGGTCAGCAGATTGAGACCATCCTGGCTAACACGGTGAAACCCCATCTCTACTAAAAATATAAATATTAAAAAAAAAAAAAAAAAAAACTAGTCAGGCGTGGTGGCGGGCGCCTGTAGTCCCAGCTACTCGGGACGCTCAGGCAGGAGAATGGCGTGAACCCGGGAGGCGGAGCTTGCAGTGAGCCGAGATCGCGCCACTGCACTCCAGTCTGGGCAACAGAGTGAGACTCCGTCTCAAAAAAAAAAGAAAAAAAAAAAAAAGGCAAAGACAAGGGTGAGTTTAGAAGGTGAAATCTGTGCTGTATATACTAAGAAATTGCTTGGGATGACTCATTTGATTCTGAATATCTGCATTAGCCAGTGCAGGCTGGCGTAACTAAATGCCACAGACTGGATGGCATAAGCAGCAGAATTTCATTCTGTTACAGTTTTGGGGGCAGGGAAGTCCAAGATCATGAAGCTGGAAGGGTTTGGCGTCTGTTGGGGCCTCTTACCGGCTTGGGCTGCTTTTTCCTTATGTGGCCTTTATACATGTGAGGTCAAGGGGAGAGACATCTGTCTCTTTCTTTCAGTATAAAGCCACCAATCCTAGTAGACTGAGGTCCCACCCATATGACCTAATTTGACCTTAAGTGCCAACTAAAGGCCCTGCCTGTCTTCAGAAACAGTCACATGAGGGATCAGAACTTTTATACATAAGATTTTTGCAGGGACACAATTCAATCCAAAGCAATATCTTATCAAGATAACGATATGTTTGGCTACGTCTCCACCCAAATCTCATCTTGAACTGTAGTTCCCATAATCCCCACCTGACATGGGAGGGACCTGGTAGAAGGTGATTTTATCATGGGAACAGTTACCTCCACGCTGTTCTCCTGATAGTAAGTGAGTTTTCATGAGATCTGATGGTTTTATAAGGGGCTTTTCCCTCCTTTTTCCCACCTCTCTTTGCTGCCGCCATGTGAAGGACATATTTGCTTCCCCTTCTGCCATGATTGTAAGTTTCCTGAGGCCTCCACAGCCATGCCGAACTGTGAGTCAATTAAACCTTTTTCCTTTATAAATGTCCCAGTCTTGGGTATGTCTTTATTAGCAGCTTGAGAAGAGACAACTACGGATAATATGATTGGTTAGACAATTTGAGAATCTTTATAATATTTTTCAAAAGAAACATAAATGTTGTATTTTTTGTCAATAACTGTTTGGTGAGCAAGGAATTTAATTTCTTTGAATGTGTTTTTGTACTTGTGAAATAGGGATTATAATTCGTGCATTGACTTAATGTTATTATAACACTCAAAGAATGTATCGTGCACTAGTCCTCAGTAAACTGTAGCAAAGCCCTTGGGTTACACATGTGAGTTGTCATCATTCGGTATTCCCCTTGCCATGGGAGGGGAAAGAAGCATGTATGACCTGCACTGCGATGCACACATGGGCCCCCTGGAGATGTGGAGCAGGTGATGGATCTTCAGTCTCCGTTAGAACCTTATTATTGGACATTTAGAAAAAGGCAGAAAAAGTTAGCAGCTCCAGAACTGCTGGATCGTGATTGTGCTTCTGTTTTGTATATATCTCCATTGACTTCAAGTTACTGCCCACTCGGACCTACGATTCCAATCCCCCTCCCCATTCACCTACAGAATAATGAGACTGTGATTTAAACTAGAAAGCCAGTAGCTTTTCTTCTTTATTTTCTTTGAGTGATAGCCACAAAGGGGAGAGTTTAAGAAATAAGTCGTTGCTTGCATAAAGACTGCAGAGAAAAACCTTCATTTGTTTATTTTTTTCCTTTCTTCTATTTTCTATTCTAAAGCTGCATGTGGTCTCCTCCTAAAAGGAGTTTACCTGTAGCATATTAAACATGTCTAAGACACTTCTGAATATTTGAATATAAATTATTTACATAACTTGTTAATTTATTTGTTTATATAAAAGATATGGTGGGTCAATTGGGTAAATAGCTAGCACACTGCAGACTACCTTGGCCTTTTTTTCTACCTGAATGCCTTGTGGCAATGAAAGAGTTGTGAAAAGGAGCAAAGAAGAAAAAGCAATTTATAGTCAAATTTTGAGAATTTTTAAAAGAGGAGGAAGAGGAAAACAATTTGACAGAGAAAGGATGAAGGGAGGAAAGTAAGAAGAAAATAAAGGATCATATGTTAAAATCAGAAAGAAATATACAAAAACCTAAAGATGACATTGGAATCAATGAAAGCAAATATACTAGGGTCAAGTTTTTGCCTCTCATCTCTAATCTAACACAGTCTATGTCAAATAGTTACAGCATCATAACTTCTGTCCTCTTTATTCAGAATTAGCAAAGTCTGAACTGACTTACCTGAACAGGAAGAACTAGTTGAGTAATCTCTTTTAGCAGCATGGTAGTGGAAAATTTTAGAATCATATAAACTTAGGTTGAAAATTCTACTCCTTTACTCTCCCGCCCTGTGACTTCAGGTAAGCTTGTTGATCTTTCCAACTTCAGTTTCTTCTTCTGTAAAATGGAGATAGTAGGACCTACCTTATATATTAAATATACATATAAACCATAGAGATGCCTCTGAAATTAGCATAAGCTCCTTTGGAAATTGAAAATGGCAATGTTTGGGATAACTTTCACCGTTTATGTGTTTGCTGAAGGTAAAAATATCAGTTAAAAATATCTTTCACTGAAACAAGAGGAAATTTACTCTTCAATAGGAATACTTTATGCATCGAGCAGAGATATAGAGAAATTACATGTGTCTCTAGGTTCCTTGGCTTCCAGTAGTATTTTATTTGTGCAAGTTTTGTGTTTTGTAAAAGCTAGAAGGTCAATAATCAAAATGGCATTTGATTGCTTATTCATTATTTGGTGGTGCAAACATGTAGAACATTTTCTGTTTCTATTTCTGGCAAACGGAAGGGATGGTAAAACTAGACGCAATATTGGACGAACATTAGCGGCCCAGGACTGGCCTCAGTCATTGAAACTTTGATTAAGAACTCTGGGTATGATGGATAATTTTTGTGTCAAATTCACTTAGACATGAGGTGCCCAGACTAAACATGGGTCCTGGCTATGCCTGTGAGGCTGTTTCTGTATGAGATTAGCGTTTGAATCAGCAGACTGAGTAAAGCAGGTGGCCCTCCACCGTGTGAGTGGGCATTATCCAATTCATTGAGACCCGAATAGAACAGAAAGCACAGGAAGGGTGACTTCACCCTCTGCCTCACTGCTTGAGCTGACACATTAGCCCCCTGTGCTGTTCTTGACTGGGTCTTATACCATCGACACTTTGGTTCTCTCAACTACATCACTGCCTTTCCTGGGTCTCCAGCTGCAGATGGCAGATCGTGAGACTTTCAGCCCCCATAATCACATGAGCCAATTTCTTATAATAAACTCCCTCTCACTCCTTCTTTCCCTCTCTCTCTGTCTATATACATATATACACACACACACACGTATTAAATATATATGTGTATATATATACACACACACGCGCGCGCACACACACACACACATACTCTTGATTCTGTTTCTATAAAGAACTCTGATTAATACAAAGGGCAATTTCAAGGATTTGATTATATATATAAAATATTAAATCCCTTATACATATAACATCGTGTGTGTGTGTGTGTGTCTCCTTTCACTGAGTTACCTCCTGATTTTTATGACTTTAGGATGAGAACCAGGGCTATTTTTCTAATAACACAGATACCTTTCCTGAGAAAAATCATCCTAGCCATCCACAATGGCAAAGATCACATATGTGTATGCATGTTCGTGTGTTCACATATGTGTGCATGCATGTATACATGTCTGCATGACCACATATGTGTATATATGTGTATTAGTCAGCGTTCTCTAGAGGGACAGAACTGATAGAATAGATGTACATATAAAAGGGGGTTTATTAAAGAGAATCAATTCACGTGATTACAAGATAAATTCCCATGATAGGCCATCTGCACGTTGAGGAGCAAGGAAGCCAGTGGTGGATCAGTCCAAGTCCCAAAACCTCAAAAGTTGGGAAGTAAACAATGCAGTCTTCAGTCTGTGGCCAAAGGCCCGAGAGCCCCTGAAAAATCACTGGTGTAAGTCCAAGAGTCTAAAAGCTGAAGAACTTGGAGTCTGATGTTCGAGACCAGGATGCTTCCAGCACAGGAGAAAGATGAAAGCCAGAAGACTCAGCAAGTCTGTTCTTCCATCTTCTTCTGCCTGCTTTATTCTAGCTGTGCTGACAGCTGATTAGATGGTGCCCACCCAGATAGAAGGAGGGTCTGCCTCTCCCAATCCACTGACTTAAATGTTAATCTCCTTTGGCAACACCCTCACAGACATGCCCAGGAACAATACTTTGCATCCTTCAATCCAATCAGGTTGACACTCAACATCAACTATCACAGCATATATGTATATATGTTTGTTTAAAAACACAGCAAGATATCGGAATAAGCTTTGTAAACTAGGACTATTTGCAAAGTTATTGTGTGAATATAAAGAACTAATATATATCTTAAAATTTTCTGTAGAGGTAGTTGTATACACAGGCTGTAAAAGTCAGCATTTTTCCTCATATTATTCCAGAACACATAAAAAAGCAACAAGGAAAATGGAGAAAAAAAGAACCAAATATATCCTTAGTGAAACTAGAAAAAGTTAGAATCCAAAGATTTCAAAACGTATGTAGAGATGACTAAATCTAGTTGGAATCAGGCACAAGCCACATGGGAGTAAATGAAGTATGGAGGTAGTGAGGCCAATGGCTGATAATCTCAGAAAACACCAACAAAATGTACTCCCTGAAAATTTGGGAGTTCACTTCCATGTTCAAAACTTATACCCCTTTTTTTAACCACAGGAGTGGGAACCAGGGTACACAGTCTACCAGAAAAAGTCCCCTCCTGGACCCAGTTTTGTTCAAGGGAGGAACAAGGGAGATTCAACCACACAGAGAATCACCAGAGGAGCCATACTTGCAGGAAGCAGTCTGTCTCTGTGACAGCCCAGTTGGAAAGAGCCATTCTGGTGTGAGGCCCAGAAGGTTGTCTTAATTCTCTCTCTGAACCTCTGTAGTTATCTAGGAAAACCCAAACCATTTAGTAGTATATTACAAAAATAAAAGGAAATAGATACCCATTTATACAAAAATTATCTAAGCAAACATTTGAAAAGCAAAACTCAAGTATTACAGAGAAAATGAGAACTATGGAAGACAGACAAATGGATTGAACACATACATTACTGGAACATCCAAAGAAGAAACCAAAAGAGACAGAACGAATACTTCAAAATTATAATTAAAGAACACTTCTGTGCAATGCATGAAGACTTGAATCTACCTTTCAAAAGGGCACATCAGAAGCAAGGTATATCCATTCATGACAGGCAAAAAGTGAACCACATCTTAATGAAGGTATTGGACTTAAAAAAAATAAGGTATCTATTGGGCAGCCAGAAAAAAAGAATAAGTCACTCACAGGAGAAATGAAGAAGGCTGTCCTGGCTCCCCTAGCTGTACTGAAGCTGGATGGTAATGAGGGAAGACCAATAAGATTCTCAATGCCAACCAAGGATTTTTATGTGCAGCCAAGCTAGTCTTACTATGTAGACATGATATATTACAATTTGTTGCGGTTTTTATCAAGCAAGAATTCAGGAAAATATATTTTCATTAATGTTTTTGAGAGAACAAAAACATGGGTATGTGGAGAAAAAGGGCAATACATTTGGTTACAGAAGGAAGGAAAACAATAACAACCAATTAAAGGAAGATGCTTTGGTAAAATACAGCAAAAAAAAAAGTTGTAAGTATTGAATGTATTTTACTGTAGACTGAAGCCAAATGTGGATTAGGGTTACAGAATAGGCTGGAAATGTCATATGCCCCAATAACATAGAAATAATACACTTTACCATGTCAAAGGTGAAGAAAGATAGTGAAGGTAAGGAAGCCTCATTAATTACCTCACTTGTTATGACTACGATGCGAAGGATAAATTTTAAAGGTGGCAAACACAGCAAAATAAAAGCCTACTTAGCAGTGCAATGGTAAAGTAAGGAGGATAACATTTACTATCCTCCTTACTTACAAAGGGCACCTGCCACTGTATGGTGGTGGGCTGGTATCAACTCAGTCATACCCCTACCTGGAACCTAGGTTGTAATGTTAGTTCCACCAGTACTCTTCAGATCAGGCAGCATGATAAAGGGAAGGAAGGCATTAATCAGCACAAGTAAACAATAGCTGATATAGGTTCTGCCTCTGCTGTTGGTCTATGTTCTATGTTGATAGTCAGCTCCTCTTTTTTATTTTTTCAAATCACCTATCAATGCTCCCTTTACCTTCTACCAACACCTTGCCCTATCAGAAATTTTAAACTAGTAGTATGACCAAAATTTTCATTCCAATAGACTGCAAATCCTTTACAGCTACAGTTTCCCACTAACCATTATCTTTGGACACTAGTGAATTAAGGAGCCCCAGTAAATTGCCCATGTTCTAGATGTAATCTTCTTTGCTCCCATTGTATACAAACACTCCAACATCCTTTGGGCACTGTAAAATGCCAGTTCAAAATAGGAATTCTCTATCTCATAACATGAAAAGCCCAACATGATTATAGAACAGTCTCAGGTTATCATTGAATGAAACCAGGACTATGTTTCTTGATGCAAAATTCTTCCCTTGGCCCTAGGACTTCACAACACACTGAGTATAAGGAGTTAAGAATGAAAAATACAGATCCCATCAGTGTAAGACTGAGGGAGGTCATACCCAATTTCACCCTTTTGTTTTCTGACCGTGTGTTCTAGTATTCTGGCTTTGTGGAAAAGGTGGAGTGAACTTACAATTCAGTTATCTAAGTCAGGTCACTTTTGACAGTGAAAGTGGTTGTTGTTAATAATTATGTTAGAAATTATTATTATTATGTCCTGGGAACACTGGAGCACATGGTCACACAAGAGACAGAGTCATACATTGGTCATTGCTCCACAGTCATTCTGCTTGCTGGAGAGGAGTGCTCCAGGCCTGCAGCATGCCATCTCTCAGCTCGTACTGTGCGAGAACCTCCAGGAAGCCACCTCCCCTTCTGTAAAGCCACTGGGTATCTGCAAGACAGGCTACCAGCAGCAAAGGTGGGCAAAGAGAGCACTGGTCAATGCCCGAACTGTGGGATGTCTTAATCTGTTTGTTCTGCATTAACAGAACATGGACATGGAGGCTACGTAGTCTATTGAAAAAAACATATTTCTCACAGTTGTGGGTCCAAGATCAAGGTGCCAGCAGATCTGGGGGCTGGAGAGGGTTGCTTTCTGCTTCCCAGATGGCGACTCTTGCTGTGTCCTCACATTGCAGAAGGAATATAAAAGCAAACAGGATCTAGCTAGTCCCCTAGAGTGCTGTTATAAGGGTATATAATCACCTCCTCAAGGCCTCACATCTTAATCCTGTCACACTGAGGATGAAGTTTCAACATGAATTTTGGAGGGACACAAATATTGAAACCATAGCAGGAGGCAGGGAGTGTTTTCGTGGAGAGAATACTGTTGCCATCACTGCAGTTCCCACTGCAGAAAAGGAGTGGGAGAAAATTACTCCCAACTCTCTGTCTTCTGGGCATCCCATCACCTTACATTGATCTCCGTCAGCCAAATCCACATGGAAGTTCAAGCCCAGGAAAGCCAGAGTCATGCTATTTATAGAGATATTGGCAGTTTTGGGGTGCATAAAGTGGGGTAGAGAATAAAGAGGGGTTGAAAGACAAGTGAAGATAAGCCATCGCTGATATCTGTCAGATACTGTGCAGCAGGGGCTTGGGGGGAACTGGCTGGTTTTGGTCAATGCTGTCTGTGAACACAGCCTTGGGAATGGAGAGACAGGGCTGGCTGGCTGGATTACAAGTGGGGAGCATCAGGGCAGGTTATTTGCTCCATGTGTAGCTGGCAGACTACCATGTGGTTTTAGAATTTGGAAACTTCAGTAACTTTGCAAAAACTGCGACACAAAATTCGAAAACTATCTTCCATCATATTTTAAAATTAAAGAACACATCATTTTAAATGTGTTCTAGGAACACATCTCCTTCCTCATGGTACTGGCCTTTTCTATAAATATCTCAAGCTCCGTTAAGCTTTTCTTAATAAAAGTATGGATGCACAAAAGAGGAATATTTTCTGCTTCTTCCAATATCTCTTGAGGTTATTAACATGTTTGACTTCTTAGTCATGATAAAATGGCTTTCAGTTATGACCCCTCCTCTCCTTTTTTTTTTTGAACTTTCCCAAGACCACCATCCAAACTCAAGCCTTCATTGCAACTGATCAAATCCAGTGCAAAAGCTTTATGGTCTTATACGTAGCATCTGCCTTCAATCTGCTTGCTTCAGTGCCTCTTCCACATTGCTACCCAAGTATCTTCCTAAAACATCACATTAAGTTGGGTGATTTTTCTGCTCAAAAAGCAATCATGGATCCTCTTTGCATATATAATAGAACACAGTTCTTAGCCTAGCATTAAACATGTTCCGTAATCTGAGCCTAGTATGTTTTTTCTGGCTCTACTTCATTCTTAAGCTATCTATGCAATACAGATACGAATTTGAACATGCCCAACCTCTCTTGCCTCAGTTATTTCATTTGTCCAATTCCTTTCATCTAGCATGCAGTCACCAGGATTTGCCTGTGCTGTAAACCCCACTGTAGCTCAAGGCTCCATTCAGATTCACCCTCCTCCATCAAGCCTACTCTTGACGGTTACATTTAATCCTTCCTGATAGATTAAGTCCTTATCTTCATGGTGGACCTTCTGTTCTGGGTGCTATTATTCACCTTGTGGTTTCTGGGCTGTCTTGGCCAAGTCTTCCCCCATAATGTTAGCCATCTCCCAGACTTAAAGTTTACAAAGCGTACATTGTCCTTTTTTTGTTGTTGTTTTTTTTTTGTTTGGTTTTTTTTTTTTTTTTGGTTTCTTTTTTTGAGACGAAGTGACACTCTGTCGCCAGGCTGCAGTGCAGTGGCGTGATCTTGGCTCACTGCAACCTCCGGCTCCCAGGTTCAAGTGAGTCTCCTGCCTCAGCCTCCCAAGTAGCTGGGACTATAGGCACCCGCCCCCACACCCAGCTAATTTTTGTACTTTCAGTAGAGACAGGGTTTCACCATGTTGGCCAGAATGGTCACAATCTCTTGGCCTCACGATCTACCTGCCTCGGCCTCCCAAAGTGCTAGGATTAGAGGTGTGAGCCACCATGCCCAGCCAAAGCATATATTTTCTCATTTATCTTTACTTGTGATGTGCTACAATCATAGATATTAACATGTTTCCCATTTAGCAAGACTAGGAAACTGAAGCCTGTAGATTTTAGTCACAAAGCTAAGTAGTATACACCTCGGAAAGGAATTAATTCCCAGATACAAGGATGTATCATGCACCACCATTGTCTCTGTTCTACAGCTGCCAAAGTGTAGAAGTAAAGTGGGTGCACATGCTTCATTCTTCAGCAGTCCACCAAGGATCCCCTGAATCCTTCTGCTCACATAGGTGATGGTAGTCAAGAGACCTGAAATGGGTCCGTCTGGAAAAGCAACTGATGAATTTAACTTTCTACATAGTTAGAAAACAAAAATCAATGCACTTAGACAAGTACCTGGAAGAATTTGTATATGATTTAGCATCTTTGTGCTTTATGGACAAAATGAATACTACAGAAAAAAAGCATTTATAAATGATAAATCTATCAATCCAAATAAAATACCATCTACTTTGTGATGTATTTCTTTTTCTTTTTTTTTTTTTCTGAGATGGAGTCTTGCTCTGTTGCCCAAGCTGGAGTGCAGAGGCATGATCTCAATTCACTGCAAGCTCCACCTCCTGGGTTCACGCCATTCTCCTGCCTCAGCCTCCCGAGTAGCTGGGACTACAGGTGCCCACCACCACGCCTAGATAATTTTTTGTATTTTTTAGTAGAGACTGGGTTTCACCATGTTAGCCAGGATGGTCTCCATTTCCTGACCTCATGATCTGCCCGCTTCGGCCTTCCAAAGTGCTGGGATTACAGGTGTGAGCCACTATGCCCGGCCTTTTTGATGTATTTCATAAATAACTAGAGTGGCATTACTTTAATCAGTTAAAAGTTTGTTATATGCAAAAATTTTAAAAGTTTGCTGCATGCAAAGGGCAGGCTTTCTAAGTTTGTGACCGATCACAAGGATCCAAACTATTTTATATTTGTTTCAGATAACTGTAAATACATAGAAATTCATGTTAAAATTAGTAACACACCATATTTTTGCATGTTTTATTTATTAAGCTTGTTATTATATGTTTTCATATATTTTTTCTTCTGTTTTGATCAAAATGATGGGAAAATAAGCTTGCATATTATAAGGAACACATTTCCCCCAATAGTAAGTGGCTTTTGTCTTTTGCTCTTTGATAAGATCTTTCAGAGAGACTTTTAATTTTCATCATTAAGTTTAATTAAATTTTGTGAAGTGGCTGGTTCAATATCACATGGCTTTGAGCATGAGTAATCAAATCGTACGTGTTTCCTGAATACTATCATCAACTTCAAATCTTGAGTTAGAATATGCACTTAGAGTGAGTTGACATTGATGACAATGGATATAACCTATGTTTCAAAATGCTTTCCTGATGATAATGTAGAATTTTTGGCTGACTCCTTGCCATTGTTTTAAACTTTGCTACGTGGTTGACAAGAGTATATACAACTAATTGAAGAAATGTAGCTCTGATATTTTATTGTTCTTGAATTATCATATTATCTAAATTTGGTATTTCTTTGTAGGAAATTTTTTAACCCACTTAACCTTTTGTGAAGTTAGTTTAGTCAAAAGTAGACAATTTAATCCTTGAATTCACTTGCCATGGTTAAGATGACTGTGCCATTTAACAATAGCTGCAAGAGATCCTGTGAGTGGGGCTGTGGGAACTCCTCTGCCCTCTGCAGGGCCCACATTTCTCAGGAAACCAGTGACTTCACTTGCTATGCAAATCTCTGACATGCAGCCTGAGTGGGGAGTCCAGAATCAGTCTACATGTTCAATATTAGTAACACTTAGATATTTGCCTACTTTTTAAGATAACAGAAATAGATATAGAAATTCTCACAATTTATTTCCAGAACCAAATTGACCATTTTTTAAAGCCAATTTTGAATACTTTTCATCTTGTAGATCAGATAAGTCCATATTGCTTCTTGGTCCATACTGAGGGTTTGATTCTCTTGGATTACTGAGGAAAATAGGCTCCATGGCCCAGTAACTGCTGATGACCTCAAATTCTTTCCATCGTTGGAGTGTGGTCAACATCAGCAGTTGATGAAACTGAAAGTCAACATTTCACTTCAGCTTGTCCTGGAACTAAACTGAGAAGAGGTCTTTGGAACTGGTCACACAGGGAGAAGTATCCCAGTGTGAGGTCAGATGCATGCACATTTCTCAGTGATGTGACTACACACTGTGAACTGTGAGACTGACACTTTCTCCATAGTGAGGAAAAAGACCTTGTTGAAAAATGCCAGAGTACTATCTTGGAACCCCAGAGTATTCGCATGACTCAAATACCAAGGGCTGTTTTTTTTTCTCCCCAAAATGGCTTAGAAAACAAAATGTATGGATCTGATTGTCTCTTATACAAAGGCACGTTAGAGTTTGTAACCTGTGTAAATGCTGTAATTAAAACCTTGTTTTTACATGGATTCATTATGTTAAATTCTTCAGTAATTACTGACATTTTCTTTAATGTGTACATGTGGCGAACATAAGAATATGATTAGCTCGAGTTAAAAGTGTAAGCAGTAATGAGCATATTATGGGTCTCCCTTTGTCTTTGGTCACTCTAAGCTTCTTGACAATAAAGCTTGACTTTTTATAGATTTGCTGCACTATGCAATTTTCTGTAAGCAAATAAATGCATGTAAAGTAAAAATGACAACATTCACATACATATGTTGAATGGTACAGCTTCTCTTTACATTAGCTCCCCGAGTTACAATCTCTCCCCTTGTGAAGGTACAAGTCAGTGATTAAAGTGCAGAACAACTTCCCCAATACAGGAATCCAGCTTCTGAAAATATCTGTGCTGGAAAACTTGCAATGGAGGAATGGAAGACTTGAGAAAGGGAGGGCTGGGAAACAAGAGCTGTGACTCACCCTGAAGACATTCATAAATATCTATTTTAATATCTATTACAATACAGCAATAAAGGCAAACTAAAAAAGGCTATACAAGGCATTTTGCACATCTTCATGTACTGGGCTCTCTGAAGCCCATTTCCTGTTAATATCTTTTGCTGGAAGAATCTTCTCAGGATCTCCCCTTCTGTCTGTTCCAACCAGACTCTCGTACATTCATTTTCGTTCCTCGTGGGTAATACACCCACTGAGAGACATGTTCCTTTGCTTTTTTTTTTTTCTTCTTAGGGGGTTTCTCCACAAGATTCCTGGTTGAGTTGATGGAGTGAAGGTCTGTCTGTCCCCCACTTTTTTTTTTTTTTTGGAGACAGAGTCTCACTCTATCCCGCAGGCTGGAGTGCAGTGGCGCTATCTCAGCTTACTGCAACTTCCAGCTCTTGGGTTCAAGCAATTCTCATACCTCAGCCTCCCGAGTACCTGGGATTACAGACGTGCACCACCATGCCTGGCTAATTTTTGTATTTTTAGTGGAGACATGGTTTCACCATGTTGGCCAGGCTGGTCTCGAACTACTGACCTCAGGTGATCCGCCTGCCTTGGGCTCCCAAAGTGCTGGGATTACAGGCGTGAGCCACTGTGCCTGGCCTGTCTGCCACCTTTGATGGACAGTGTGACTATAAGGACAGAGGAAGATTCCCCAAAGACCTGCACTCACCTCCTCTAATGCATGTCCAGGCATCGTCTGGCTCTCAGCACTCCCCTCCATTGCCCAAAGCCCTTTTGCAGGACCTCTGCCTGTTCTGCCTGCTTTGTGCTTTGTTTTGTTGTATTTTATTTCCTTTTCTTTCCTGTTTCTAACCCAGTCATCTCTTTTTCTAGTTATTCCCAACCTATATAACTCACATACACTGGAGGAAATATCTTCATGGAATTAAAACCACATGGAGTAACATTTCACGTAAGCAGAATTCAGGAATGATTTCAGTAATTCCATCCCAAACACACACAGGCAAAGGGAGTGAAGATTTCTTCAGCAACATGGTGGCAGAAAGATCATGAAAAGATCTAGGCCAGGCAAGTATGCAAACAAGACTGACTCTTCCTTTCCACTGGAGCTTTGGGTAATTGCTCTGACAATTCTATGATTTGCTGAAGCCACGGAAAATCAGTTTTAAAACAGGATTTCTACCCCTGGCTCACTACATGACAAATAATTTTATCCTGTAATCTTCTGATGTTAAACAAAGATGGCCCTCAATGTAATTGTTACAGTGCCTCCTCCCCACTTCTGTTAGCTGTTGCTTCTCTGCCTCCCATGAGTTTAGTGTAATCCCAGAACTTTGGGAGACCAAGGCGGGCAGATCACTTGAGGTCAGGAGTCAGAGACCAGCCTGGCCAACATGGCGAAACCCCATCTCTACTGAAAATACAAAAATTAGCCAGGCATGGTGGCTTGCGTCTGTAATCCCAGCTACTTGAGAGGCTGAGACACAAGAATCGCTTGAATCCTGGAGGCAGAGGTTGCAGTGAGCTGAGATAGTGCCACTACACTCCAGCCTGGGAGACAGAGCGAGACCCTGTCTCAAAACAACAAAAAACAAAAACCGAACAAACAAAAACTGTAATTGCTGAAACGCTCTTTTTCATCAATCATATATATTGAACCACGGTCACGAAAACATGGGAAAAGTGTAATTTCTGCCTCTGAGGAACTCACAGTCTAGTGGGAGACACCATTTATTCATCCATTCTTTCATGAAATACACATTGAGAATGTAACACACCCTGGGCAAAGGAGAGGTCATTTGACTATGACACAAGACAATAGTCATAGTCTTTGCTCTCATGGAATTCACAGCCTAGCCATGGAGATTAAAAATAAAAAGATCTAATAGAATAAAGAGTAGTAGATTTAAAAACACTGGAAACCCAGTGTGCAGTAAAACTAAAAAAGAGGGCTACCTAACCTAGTGTGAGAGGTGAGGTAGAGGTTAGGGTGAGAAAGGATGGTATAGGAAGGCTTTCTGGAAAATTTCAAGATAAATCTTGAGGATAAGTCAGAATTATACAGGTGAAAAGTAGAATAGTGCCTGCTACCTTGCAATTGTTCAGCAAACATCTGCAATGATTACTAACTGTCTGTCAGTTTTTGGCTCTGCTTCAATCCTCACAGTCCAAGCTCACTGCAGTTAAATCTTCAGTCTCCAGCACTGCACTTGGGAAAGCGTCAAGGAGTTGAATGTATATGTAATTGGAGTGCCAGAAGAAGAGAACTGAGAGAGAGGGGCAGAACAGCTCATGAGGGGGAAAACCCACTACATACAAACAAGAATACTGCAGACTCCTCATCAGAATCTATGTAAGTAAGAAGAAAATGGCCAGGAACTATAGAGCTGTTCTTTAAAGTACTTAAAAACATTTTTGCCAACCTAGAAGTCTTTAACCAGCAAAAATGTCTTCCAAAAAGAAAAGGACTTTTCAGAACAAATACTGAGCTAATTCATTATTAGCACATTTGTACTACATAAGTGTTAAAGAAAATTTCTTTAGTAAAAGAAACATAATACCAGAAGGAAAATTTGATCTATAAAAAAAGAAATTAAGAGTCCCAGAAATATATAAAAATTATGTAAAAATTTTTTGTTTTTTCTCCTTAAAAGATAATTGATTATTTAAAGCAAAAACAATAAAGTGTTATAGGATTTGTGGCACATGTTAAATGTATGCATTTGAAGTAAAATGTATGATAACGGTAGTTAGTGCAAAGACAGAAGAGAAAAACTGACTTCTCCTACTGTACATTCTTTATACTCTACATAGAGCTGTGATAAGTTAAAGATGTGTATTGTAAACTCTAGATGAAATAAAAATTTAAAAAATAAAAATAAAATTAAGAAGTAAGATGGAACAAGTAGAAAACAAATAGAAAGATGGTGGATTTGATTTTAGTTTTATCAATAATTATATAAATTCAAATAATCTAAACCCCCAGAATTTTTAAAAATGGGAGATAAAAAAACAATAAATATTATGTATTATTTGTCATCATCATTATTTTATAAAGGGACAGGGCATAGATTTGGACAGAAATAGTAAGTTTTACAATAAGAAATGTTACCGGAATTGCATAACATTTCATGATGTTAGAAGGGTCAATTCAACAAGAAGACACAACAATACCAAATATTGCCCAACCATAGAGCTTTAAAATATACAAAGAAGAAATATACAACAGAAAAAAGAAAGGGATATATCCCGTTATTGTTGGAGATTGTAGATTCTAACCCATTTTTTTCAGTAACTAATAGAATGAGATAAGAAACCAGCAAAAGGATAGAAGAAAAGCAATACTCTTAATCAGATTTACCTGACTGACTTTTCTAAAACAGTCCACTAAACAGCAATATAAAAGACATTGTTATCAACTGCACATTTAAAACATTCACTAAAATTGATGATAATCTGGGCTATATAAACATGTCTCAGTACATTAAAAAGAATAGAAATCATACACAGTATGATCTCTAAGCACAACTAAATGAAACTAGAAATAATTTCCAAATGTTCTGAAATGAAACAACACACTTCTAAAAATTCCTGAGTCAAGGAGGAAGTCACAGATGAACTTAGAAAGTATTTCAAAGAGAACGAAGATGAAAACAAAAACAGAATATATCACAATTTGTAGGATGCACTTAAAGTAGCCATTTGGGGAAATGTGATACTATTACATGCTTATATTACAATGGGAAAAATTCTGAAATTTGTAAATTTCAAATCATTCATGATATGTCAAGTCTTCTCAACTTGTTTTTCTTAAGGACTGTTTTGGCCTTTATTGTATAGTTTATAAGTTCCACAAAATGTATTGGGAATTTATTGGAATTTTGTCAAACCTATATAATTTTGTCAAACTCAAGCATAATATAAATATGTTTGAGGAGAATTAACATTATTATAAAAGTGAGACATTTAGCCTATGAACATAATACATATCACCCCTCATTTTGATGTTATTATTGTACAAAAGTTTTATATTATTGTATATAAAGACTTCGTACACTATTTTAAAATTTATTCTTAAATTTTATACTTTTCATGAAATATGAAGTTAATTTTATAAATTATTATTTTTAACATTATTGCTGGTGTAAAGAAATACAATTCCTTTGGACAATGAATTTTGTATCTAGTAAATTCATTGAATTTGTTTATTAATTTAATTCATGTACAAATTTTTGGATTTTCTATTTAAATAATCATATTGAAACTACTGCATTTTAATAGTTTCTCATTATTACATTTACATATTTACTCATCTTATTCCTAAATTCAAAGATAATATAGTTCACTCTTTAGTATAAGTACATTATACATTTAGTGTAGTACAGGTACATTATGAAGTATAATGTTTACTAAAGCTTTTCTGTAAAATCTTTCTCAGGCTAAGAACATTATTTTTTTACTAGAATATAATATTAATAAAACATAATCTAGAAAAGCGTAAAATTTACCAAATATTTAGATTTTTAATTTAAGCATCATGGAGAGAAATGATGCTCTCATGGTTGAAATGCAGAGGCTGGAGGCACAGATGTTCTTAGAGCTGCTATATTGTTTGAATCAACAGTGACGTATATAAGCAAAATTCCACAAAACCACAGATTTAACTGCCATTATTATTCAGAAGTATCTGGTGTTACTTCTGGTGTAACAAATGGACTATTGTTAGGATAAAGAATATCCATATGAAAAAGTGCTTTACATAAAGTAGAAACTTAAATAGTAACATAATCTGGGTACAATCCAACAATAATAATTAGAGCTTTGCTTTCCTGGAATACTATGTGCTAACCCTCTTCTAAGGGATTTGGATATAGATTTCAGTGATTTCAAGAGAAACGTTTGTCTACTTGTTCAGATTTTAGTATCTGAAATTGCAATGTATCTTACATTAGATAAGCATAACTTAATTTCAGCATTATTTAATATTAGTGCATTAAAAAGTGTATGTCATTACCAATGGTATTTTAGATTTAGTGAAATTTTGTATAATTTCATGAAACACTAGACACTATGGAATCAACTATAGTGTAAGGTCTACAAAAGCAGGAAATTCTATTTTAGTTACTCTTATAGGAGTCACTTGATAAATATATGTTGAATGAGTTGTCCAATGAAATAAATAAAGGCACAGCATTCTAGCAACATTCAGGGGGCAGTAGTTCATCCTGTGACCTCATAACACTTGAGCAGTGATGTGGACATCACTTGGAAATGCTCAATTTAATCAGGTATGTTCATAATGAGGGCTTCTCATTTTTCTGTGAAAATACTAAAATATACTGTCTTTAGGGAGGAAGCAAACAATGTAATAAAATATAGAAAAATAGTTAAGCATGATTCAAATTAAAAGCCTTGGAATTTATAAAAATAAGCTTTATTTGTTAGGGAAAAAATTACATTGTGTAACACTCTATTCCCCATGATTCCTAGTAAATAAGACAATAAACCCTTTAAGAAGAACTTTGTCAGAAACAAAGGATCACTATTTCCCGAAGAGCTGCAAAATACCATAGGCCAGAATTAATACAGGTGATAACTGAGGTCATAAAAGCCATTTAGACAAGTTGAGTTGACAATGATCTAAGAAGGGCCAGGCCACTCTCCTGTGCCCCCTCCCTAAGCAGCTGCGCATTGCTTTGCTTTGACAACCTCCTTCCCATGCACCCCATCCCACACCCACAGCCCTGCTTGGAACTCTCCTAAGTTCCAGGCTCACGTACTCAGCTGCCTCCTAGAGCCCTCTACCTGGAGACGTCCAGAACACTTTGAGTTCAGTATGCTCACAAGTGAAGTCATAAAGAGCCAAGAGTGCAGGATTGGGGTCAGGCAGCCCCACTTCTTAGTTATGCGTAGACTTCTTAGTTTACTTGACCCTCTTCATTTTCAGATTTCATTTCTATAAAATAGCAATGGGCTTTGTAGAATTGCTTTTAAAGTATTGTAAAATAACTTAGGTAATACCTCCAACAAAGAGTCAAACAGATATTGGACATATAACCAATGTCTGGTACTGGCTTTCCCCTCCTTTCACAAGCTTAATGGCAATGCAGTTAAGTCAAGGACCTGGATCGGAATTACGGCATGAGGGACACACTCCATGTGTGTGCACACCCGTTCCTGGATGACTTTTCAAGGGTCTTCTCTTTTCTTCCACCTGACAACAAGTTCTCCAACTTCCCTACTTGGAAGTGGCTGCCTGCCATGAGATAACCCTCTTTCTAATTTGTCCTCCCATGAACAATGCACCCAAGGAGTCCTTCCTCTTACTTCATCTCTCCTTGAGCCTGCAGAATGGAGCTCAAGTTTCCTGGAGCAGCCACTGTTCCTGCACCATCTCCCCTTCTGCCTTGCGGGCTGCCAAGCTTGCGTCCACCGTGCGCATGAACTCCAGCATCAGGAAGTTTCATGCGTGTGCCCCGTGCTCCTACCTGGGCTCACGTGAACGTGCTCTTCTCTCTTTCTGAAATGCCCCTTTCCTTTGAGCGATTGTGGAAATCCTCCTCCTCTTTTACAACTAGTCTCAGATGCACCCTCCTTCCCGAAGCCTCCTCCGAACGGCCTGTCTACACATGGCCCAAACTTGGTTTCAGATCGTTAAAATAGAAGGAAAAAAATGAACGGTGTGCAGGGAACACACAGACAGCCTGTGGCATGGTTGGAAGCTGTGGTCTGATCTATGGCGAGTCCCGAGACCACGACTGTTCTTTGATTTTTGCTGCAGCCCTGAGAACCCGGTGGGCCTGCTCAGGCATCCTGCTGCTCTTCCCATCAAGACCTTTGTTTCTCTGCCTATCTTGTTTCCTGCTTTTCAGTTTCTTGTTCTCACCTGGCTGATTTGTAAATAATAAAGTAACCGAAGTTAGACAATTCCAGCTACTTAAGATAACTGTGTTTCCAGGGAATCTGTTTCGTGTGTAGAGAGGAAAAAATAAGTAATCACAATCCTGGATTTTCTATGTGAATCAGTTTGCTTAGAGAGCAGCAGCTGTTAAAATATAAATGTTGAGTTCAAATGGGAGCAGAAATTATACTTAGTGTGGGCCAAAGAAAGGCATTTCAACGACAGGGCTCTTTCATCTGGATTGGCGTGCCTAATTCTGATTTAGAGAAAAGCAGGTCTGATGTTGTGCGGTGGAAAAGGAGGCCTGGGGCTGGGCATCAGAAAATCAGCTTTCAAACACTTCCTCCAGGTTGTAGCTGAGCAACTTGAGGCTCTTTAGTGAAATGAAAAAATAGTAGGCGTCTCATCCAGCACAGAACCATATTGTCACAGTGTACACACAGATGGCTGAAGGCAGAAAACACCACACCAGTTCAGTTCCCCCGAGTGAAACCTATCTTGCCTTGGTGGAAAGAAGTCACCAAATCCGAAGGTTTATCATGAACAGGCAAAAGAGTTTCACTTGTTTTCATGATTCAAAACATTTGGCTTAAACTGCATATCTCTCCATTTTAAATGTAAATTATAATAGGGAAACAGGAGGGAAATATGCAAGATTCTGGAAAACCTGAAGTTTCCATGTTTATCTTTTCTTTAGTTCCTTGCTCTTTAGAGTCAACCAACCCATTCCCTAGATATAGTTATAAAAAATGGCTGGGGTAAGAAAAACAAGTTCGGTGATATTTTTAAAACTGTATGCACAGTCACTTGGAGACCCTTGAATGATGTTAGGAGACTGAGCTTCCCATACTCACTGGGACACACACAGTTGCTGTTGTTTGTAAGGGAGGACGCTTCTGAAGTGTCATTTCCTCTGTTGCTAGTATCGGCCTGCCTTCCCCTTGACCCCTGCCTTGTGGCCACCACTGTATCACATGTCCACACCCTTCCTTGGCTGGGGCCCTGGAAGCCAGGGCATACTGAGTGGGACAGCTGGCAGGGGCTCGGGCTGGTGCGGTCACTGACAAAGAATCCTCCTCCGGCCTGTCAGTGGCAACTCTGCAGCTGTTGGCCCACATACCTGGCATACCTCCATCTCCAGGCAACTGCTGGGTGTGGGCAGGGATCCCAGCAGCACCCACTGGCGTCGGCTGCCTCCCACAATGCCAGCCCCCAGGTAGCCAAGAGGAGTCATCCAGGTGTCGGGGAGAGAAGCTGAGAGAAGCAGCGAGGGCGGTGGTTGTGGGAGAGAGGAGGAAGTTGGGAGGGTCACCCACACACTTACGGAAAGCTTGGTGCAAAGAGAAAGAGACCGCCTTTCAAAAACAGCCCTGCTCTACCATCCTGAACCTAGTCCCCATCATGCCTTGAAGAAATAGCTTCCCAAGTGGGTCTTGCCTAAATAATGTAAGTGGACGTGGGAAAAGCACGGACTTGTCAGCAGTTTCAGAAGATTCCCTGCTGCTGGTGACTTTGGAAAACTCCCTTAACCAGCGTGAGCCTCCATGTCCTCCTCCAGAGCAGGGGACTGTGTACCTTCCCCCGGGGAGGCCTGGAAGGATTTTGTTGGGTTTTCCTGATAAACTCACTCAGTGGACGAAAGGGGGGATGTTTGTAAAGTTGTCATATTTATGTTGAATGTAAGATCATTGAACTCTCACTGATATGCAGAAATCAACCTTAACGAGCGCTATCTGCAACACAAGAGATTTGTTTTCATGAGTACACACCTAGACAATGAACCTGTGCACACCACTTCACACTTTAAAAATGTCTCTTTTTTATTTTGCAGTTCTTTAAGTACTAACAAGAATGGTTTTTAAAAGTGTTTTCAACTGTGAAAAAATACATATGACATAAAATTTATCATTAACCACTTAAGATGTGCGCAGGTCAGTGGCATCATGCACGTTGACAGTGCTGTGAAGCCATCACCACCATCCAGCCACAGAACCCTTTCATCTTGCAAAATTCAAACCCTGCACCCACTGAACAACCCCATTTCTCCTTCCCTCCAGCCCCTGGCAAGCACCGTTCTATTTTCTCTTGCTATACATTTGACTATTCCAGGTACTTTATATTACTTTTAATGGCAAAAACCACAATAACTTCGCACCAACCTAAAATGAGTTGAATCATGTAGTATTTATTTGTTTGTTTGTTTGTTTATTTTTTTGACTGGCTCACTCCACTTAGCATAATGTCCATTGTTTATTGTCAGCAATTACATTTTAAAATTTCTAATCTTAGAAAAAGAGGCATACTGTTGTCAATGAGAGGTCAGCAGTTTCAGAATATATGAATAGATGACAGACACAATAGACTTAAAAATTATTACCATTCGTTGTGCCAAGAAAACTTGCAAAAGTGTTCTTTCTCTGATGTAAGCATGCCAAAGGTCTGAATGTGTACACCTGTATGTTACTTTCCCCACCCCTCTTTTCTTTCATTTTTATCTTTACTTTTTTTCTAGGTAAGGACCGATTTTATTGTGGGGTGAAAAGTAACATAGAGCTGTACATTTTAAAGTGACTTGTATTCTCTATGTTAAGCTCAGTAAGTTGCCTCTGCTGCAGGTTGTAGGTATCTGTGTTTAGCCCTGCATTCTATCTGCCCATTTCCCCTGTCTTTAGCACAGCTTGCCTCTCCCCATCCCCACAACCCTGCCTAATTCTACTTGCTTTCTTTGACTCACTCATGAAGATTCAGTAGGTACTAAGTAAAATACAAGTATTTTACTTATATCTAAATCTCATGCCTTTTTAACAATATCAATATTACTTTTCTCACTTCAGAGATAAGGAAACTGAGGCTCGAAGATCTTATGTAACTGCCTATAGCCTAGCATCCATCTCAATGGGTGTCAAGAACTAGATCGAGTGTGTTTTGAGACAAATCCAAGAGGCTGCCCTGCACAGGATGTGGCAATCATCACTGCCTCAGTCACCTGACTTTTACTTTTTGTTTGTGTGCTTGTTTTTGAGACAAGAGTCTTGCTCTGTCACCCAGGCTGGAGTGCAGTGGCACAATCACCGCCTCCTGTAACCGTTGCCTCCTTGGTTCAAGTGATTCTCCTCCCTCAGCCTCCCAAGTAGCTGGGATTATAGGTATATCCCACCACTCCTAGCTAATTTTTGTGTGTGTGTGTTTTTTTTTTTTTTTAGTCGAGACGGGGTTTCACCATGTTGGCCATGCTGGTCTCGAACTCCTGACCTCAAGTTATCTGCCCACCTCGGCCTCCTAAAGTGTTGGGATTACAGGCATAAGCCACCATGCCCGGCCCTGACTTTTGCTTTCTATTGGGCTTACCTGTGTATTCTCCCACTCTCGGGAGAACTCAACGCTCCTGAAGAACACAGCCCATGACTCCTCATTTCTGTCTCCTGGCAAAGGCTAGCACAATATTTTGTGCAAAGGTTTTGCTTTCTTAATGATAAGTGAATGAAATATGGAAAAGTTTTAACATAAAAGTATATTCAAGTTAACATTTTGCCTGAAATTTATACTCAATTACATCTAGGAAATTAAGTGTACATGATTAACATATATGTATATATCATTTTCCTATCTGAGTAGTGACAAGATGGAGGAAAGGCAAGGAAAAGCTGGAGAATTTGAAATATGCATGAGGTCATTTCTGTTCCAGAAATAGGAGACATAAAGTAGAGGTTGAGATCATTGACAGTGGGCTTTCTCGAGTTGGGTAGAGAAGGGGTCAGTCCTTCTAGAGCTGGATCCAACCATGTGTGGCTCTCTACCCAACGGTATCCACCTGCTCTCCATTCCCTCATCTGTCCACTGGGGTGCACACAGCACCTCTCGTGGGAATTAAAAACAGTGGTGCCTGAGCAGCTTTCAAGGAGCCAGTGGCACTCGCTGCTCAGTGCACATGAGCTAGAGAGGAGTGGAGGCCTCAGCACAGGGCCTGGTTCTAACTCGAGAGATATTTGTTGTGCCCTATACCCAGCAGATACTGAGTACATGGTCAATGGTGTCATTATTTTGATAGATATTTTCTTAAATCTGGATTATAATCCTTCAGTTTGGATAAGACAGACAATATTGATGGGTTGAGGTACTTTGTCAAAGAATGTAAAGAAAGATAATGTGAAGAAAGGCAGTTTTGTGATTAAAAAGGAAGCTTTATTCTTAGATTTGTTAATAAGTGTCTCTTACTGAATTACTTGCTTATTAGGCAAAACAGTGATATCCTTGAATCATTCTAAAATTTCTTCCCTTTTATGTCTTGAGGTTATGAACACATGTAAGGCACCTCATCTGGCATCTGACAAACTCAACGAGACAATGAATGAACCAGAATAAATAATCATCTATTTTCTTCCCCCTGAACATTTCTACAGTTGAGACAGTCTTAGAATTTCTCTCTTGCATGCCAGGATATTAGACTGTTGAAATTGAATTCTTTTTTTTTTTTTTGAGAAGGAGTCTCGCTCTGTCCCCAGGCTAGAGTGCAGTGGCGCGATATCGGCTCACTGCAACCTCCGCCTCCAAGGTTCACGCCATTCTCCTGCCTCAGCTTCCCGAGTAACTGGGACTACAGGCGCCCGCCACGACACCTAACTATTTTTTTTGTATTTTTTAGTAGAGACGGGGTTTCACCGTGTTAGCCACGATGGTCTTGATCTCCTGACCTCGTGATCTGCCTGCCTCGGCCTCCCAAAGTGCTGGAATTACAGGCGTCAACCACCGCGCCCGGCCGAAATTGAATTTCTTTCTTTTCACCAACTCGAATTTCTTCTTCTTATGTAAGGTCATCTTACATAAGTGAGACTCCTTTGTTCCCTTTCCCTTAATAACAAGCCTACAAGGAGGTGAAGGTGGTGAATGCATCTCTTCTCATCTCAAAACATCCACGTGCTCTTCCATTTTTTTCTGACAAAGAAGGGAGAGGAGGTGACATGAAAACACACTGTGGGCCTTCTGAATGAGACTAGTGTTATTTAAATAACTTGACTTGGCCGGGCGCAGCGGATCATGCCTGTAATCCCAGCTATTTGGGATGCTAAGGCGGGTGGATCACCTGAGGTCAGGAGTTCGAGATCAGCCTGGCCAACATGGTGAAACACCATCTCTACTAAAAATACAAAAATTAGCCAGGTGTGGTGGTGTGTGCCTGTAATCCCAGCTACTTGGGAGGCTGAGACAGGAGAATCACTTGAATCCAGGAGGCGTAGGTTGCAGTGAGCCAAGATTGTGTCATTGCACTCCAGCCTGGGCAAAAAGATGGAAACTCTGTCTCAAAATAAATACATAAATAAATAAATAATAAATAACTTGATTGGGAGGTCATTTTCTGCTGTGTGCCAATTTCCTGAATGCCTTCTAAGTTGTTATGTACAGACCGTCAATATATTACAAGCAATGAATTTCGCAGTTAACAAAATTCTCAGCAAGATACTTTAAGGGACTTTCTCAATGTCACACTCCTTGTTACTGTCAGAAAAAACCTGAAATGCAACTTTCTTTTCTGTTACACAACAACAACCCTTGTTTCCCCAAGGCTCCATAGATTCATTTAGGGACACCAACTGATCACTCAGATTAGTCTCTTTTCAATTTTTTTGTCACAACAAGAACCTATAATTACACAGCAAAAGCATAAAAAGTGTTTTTTTTTTTTTGGTGGGACTGTAACTTTATCTTTTATTTTTATTTAATTACAATAGGTTTTTGGGGAACAGGTGGTGTTTGGTTACATGAATAAGTTCTTTAGTGATGATTTCTGAGATTTTGGTGCACCCATCACCTGAGCAGTGTACATTGTACCCAAGGTGTATTCTTTTATCGCTCCTCCTCCCCCATCCTTTCCCCTGAGTCCCCAAAGTCCACTGTATCATTCTTATGCCTTTGCATCCTCATAGCTTAGCTCCCACTTATGAGTGAGAACATACGATGTTTGATTTTCTATTCCTGAGTTACTTCGCTTAGAATAATGGTCTCCAATTCCACCCAGGTTGCTGTGAATGCCTTTATTTTGTTCCATTTTATGGATGAGTGGTATTCCATTGCATATATATATATATATATATATATATATATATATATATATTCCATTGCATATATATATATACACATATATTCCATTGCGTGTATATATATATATATATATACACATATACATACACACACACACACTCACTCACCACAATTTCCTCATGCCCTTATTAATTGATGGACATTTGGACTGGTTCCATATTTTTGCAATTGTGAATTACAAAAGCACAATAAAGTTGGATGATCAGGACATGCCTCTGGCCACGGCCACCCCACTATCCCCCACCATGTGTAGCTCTAGTACTAGGAGTTTCTATTTTTGGCTCTGTGGTGAATTTCCTTCTCATTCCAGTGATATTATTATACTTCTATTTCTTTGTTTCTGGACATGAAAGATGAGGACTTACCTCAACAACGCTACTTGGTCTTCCCTATATCACCTGTCAATACTTTCATACATCATCATCATTTTCATTGGTTGCCTTTTGGCTTTAGAACATATTTAGATTTCCTTTTGATGTCCTATTAATATTTGACAATATCTCTTGACTCCCTACTTTAGAAAATGTTTATTGGATCTAGCCTTCCCCAACCCTCCTCCTAGTCTGGGTTCTATTGTCTGTCAGTTTCACATGTACATTTTCAACATTTCTACTAGTGGCACTCACTTCTGCCTATCTGCCAACTTTAAACTTTGAAAACCAATAAACGACATCAGTATTATATGACCGTGTAAACACCGTTCAATGCTAGGCTAAGGACGATGCTAGGCTCACATTTTCTTTGCCACAGGCATACTCTCAAGACGCTCTAAGCCACCCAATAAATTGTCGTCCATTGGCATTGCATGAAATCATCCTATCAGTTTTCTTCATAATGGAACCATTCATTTCATACAGAATTTTGTTTTCCTTTTTTTATTGCAGTGTTGTTTATTATTCTACCCTACATATTTTTCAAACTCTTAAACACACTTCTTATTTTAGCAAGTTAGCTTTCTACCTCCAGACCTCCTTCTTGTCTTTTATTATCTTGCTGCTCCCAGGCAGCATCTTAGCAGTCGTCTGGGACTTCTCTTTCATTTCCTGAGCAGAGTCAACTATTTTTAGAATCTCCTTGTATGTCTTCTTTTTACTCTTTGTTGGGCTTCTCTATTGTTTTACTGAAGTATATTTTTCAATGCAACTCCCTAAAAAACAAATGCTGCATGGAAGGTACACTTTCCAAGTCTTTACGTATCTGGAAATATTTTGGTTTTGTCCTCAAATGTAATTGATACCTCAGTGGGTATAAATTCTATGTCGAAAATCATTTTCCTACAATATTTTAGAGGCATTATATGTTTGTCCTTTATTATCAAATATTGTTAATAAGAAATTTGAGGTCAGTCTTATTTCTGTCTGCAGGTGACTTGATTATTTCTTTCTGGAAAATTTTAGAATTTTTCTTTCTTTTCTTTCTTTCTTTTCTTTTTTTTTTTTTTTTTAAGACCGAGTTTCAGTCTCTCTCTTTTGCCAGGCTGGAGTGCAATGGCACGATCTCAGCTCACTGCAATCCCTGCCTCCCGGGTTCAAGCAATTCTCCTGCCTCAGCCTCCTGAGTAGCTGGGATTACAGGCATGCGCCAACACACCTGGCTAATTTTTGTATTTTTAGCAGAGATGAGGTTTCACCATGTTGGTCAGGCTGGTCTGGAACTCCTGACCTTGTGATCTGCCAGCCTCGACCTCCCAAAGTGCTGGAATTACAGGCGTGAGCCACCATGCCCGGCCCAAGTTTTAGAATTTTTCTTTTTAATCCTTGTGTATCTTTGTTGCTATTGAATTAAGTGTGTTTAGCTTTTGGTGGAAATTTTCATTTGAAGATTCTGGTCACTCTTCAGCCTGGAGGAAGTTTCTTCTGTTATTTTTGTCATTCTACTATTTATTCTGCTATTTCTTGCTCTCTGTTTTATTTTCTTTACTTTTTTCTAGGATCTTTATCAGTTTGATATCTGTCTCTTACATTGATTTTGTCTGAGTTTTCTTTTGTATTTTTAATCTCATTTTAAGGTCTGGGAGATTTTTAAAAATTTTATTTTTGAAAACTTTTATTGTGAAGTATATATTAGTCCTCATATATTTACTCTCCAAGAACAGTTGTTTTCAGCATTTGTGTGTGTGTGTGGCTCCATGATAACATCCTCTCTCCTGCAGGCTACCTGTAAAGGCTTGTAAAAGCACAGAGCTGCTCTCACCATGCAGCCAAAGAAGAAATGAGGATATCGGTCCTATAACTGCAAGGAACTGAATGCTGCCAACCACCTGAACGGACTTGGGCTACTGAGGTAGGATGAGTGTGTCCAGTGGTGTGGTTGACTCATTTGTACACTATTAACTAATCTCTTATTTTCAGTCCTACTTCTAAATATCAACCTCTCTCCTACTTTCTAATTCTGAACCCAGGGCCTCCCTGAATTCCAATGGCTAGGTTGCTTGCCTTCCTTTTAAAGCTTTGAGCTGCTTTGCTTGTTTCAGCTTACTATCTTCTCCCATTTCCTTCCAGAAATTGGCAGAAATCCCTTAACTCTTGTTTACTATAAACCCCACCTATCCAATCCACTCTTTGAGGGATCCTAAGCTTTTATTTCAGTGGAGGTTTTTGAAAGGTGGAGAACAAATGTGTGTATTTATTCTCCAATTCTGAACTGGACCTGAAACAGTCTTTTTAAGGAGCTGATTCTTGAACTGATAGCTTCTACATCATTCTTTCTTGTTATTTTTGTTAACATTTGCATTAAGGCAATGCCCTTACACAAAAAGTGAATTGTTGTTCTGCATAGTAAATATGAAGACAGACTGACAGACTTTGCCAAAGAATGGTAATGAGCTAAGACCTTAAATGGGCCTTGGAAAAAGGCTCATTGACATCTATGTGTTATGTTAGGAGGTTGTGTGGGGTATTGAAGAGAACATAGGCTTTGTCTAATACAGGGCTGTTCCACGGAGCCTTCAGTTAATCAAGTAACCTCTTAAAGCTCATGCTCAGGTGGATAAATATTCTTTCAAATATCACAAAATTACTGAAAGAAAATACAACAATTGCATGATATCAGCAAGTACGTAATGAATTGATTCTACAAAGATTCATATTCATACTCTGCTGGACACTGAATATCTAATGGGGGATAGGACAGGGCTTGCTCTCTCTAAGAAGGTGCATTCTTAGAGATACATAAGTAAACAGTCAATTTTATAACAATGTCAATTACCTGCCTCCACCCTACCTACCCTGCCCCCATCATCTCTGGTGATGACACACCCTGGGCCACAGGTGGACTCCTTTAGCTGGAGTGAGGTTGAAAAAGACTCTGGTGGTGCATGTGGGCACGGGATGAGAAAAAAGTAAAGGATGGAGATAAGGGGAGGGGACTGAAAGAGACTTTGAAATATCTAACTTAGAATATTTCAACAGAAAAGCTAAGTTCATCACCAAATATAGAAGAGATTAAATACTCTGCATACAAAGCAAGAGTATTTAAAAATGTAAACAATCCTTACGAGCGTAATAGAAAGACCACTACACCAGGAGAATGATTTTAGGGTCTAAGTTTTGCTCTGTTACTATTTAAGACTCAGGCTTCAAAAATCTTTCCTAGACATCAGGTCTGTTTCTACTATGAGAATTAAATGAGAGTTTTTTCCCTCCAGGTTCAACATATTATACTTCTTATGAAAGATTATAACATCTTTAAATTTTTAACGTTTTATTTTATTTAATTATTTTATAATTTAAAAAAATAGGCAGGATGCGGTGGCTCACGCCTGTAATCCCAGCACTTTGGGAAGCCAAGGCGGGTGGATCACAAGGTCAGGAGATCAAGACCATCCTGGCCAACATGGTGAAACCCCATCTCTACTAAAAATACAAAAAAAAATTAGCTGGGCATGGTGGCATGCACCTGTAGTCCCAGCTACTCTGGAGGCTGAGGTAGAAGAATCACTTGAACCCAGGAGGCAGAGGTTGCAGTGAGCCGAGATTGCGCCACTGCACTCCAGCCTAGTGACAGAGCAAGACTCGGTCTCAAAAAAAAAAAAAAAAAAAAAGATTTAGAGACAACGTCTTGCTGTGTTGTCCAGGTTACAGTACAGCAGCAAAAATCATAGCTCATTACAGCCCCGAACTTCTGGGCTAAAGTGATACTCCTGCCTCAGCCTCTGGAGTGGCTGGGATTACTGCTACGCTCTACTGTGCCCACCCAGTTGACATCATCTTTTTTTTTCATGAAGTGAGAAATGAAGTTAAAATCTTGGCTGAATAGTCACTGGATGCATCAAGGCAGTATAAGACTTCAAATTAAATTTAAAAAGAGGCCAAGAAAATGTTAAGACACTTAATTTTAGAAACACAAGCACAAAAATGGATATAACTCAAATGACTGAATAAATCGAGCCCAAATTTTGAAAGAACTGCCAATTAATCAGTCCAATAATGTTCAAATCCATGCATTTATAGGATTGGGTTTATGAGGAAATAATTATAATCCATACAACATAATGGTTTTGTTTCAACATCACCGATCAGATTCACATTTTATAAGCATAAATACACCAACACAAATGCAGTACGAATATCTGTTGTGATAATAAAAATATTTATTAAAAATTTAGTCTAACATTTCTCATGAAATGGGAAGCTATTCAAGTGCATTGTATAAATTGACTCCATAGGGGTCTTGATAAAGTAGCAAATGAGTTTCTTAATGTTATGAGCTCTTTGAAAATAGCCCATGAAGGAAAACTATATTGTTTGCCAGCAAAGCAATTGAATCAGATTCCCATCATTGATAAAGGTAGAAGAACTAATTTGAAATTAGTCAGTTATTCTTTTCAGAATTTCAGTAATGTCACATGAGATATTTAATTTGTATATCAGAAGCCTTGTTTCCCAATGCAAGTTATCGGTCTCAGAACATTTTGAATAGATAAACAATTGCTGGTTTGTTCTAGAAGAAGCTATTCTAGCAAAGCTGGAGGAATTCCACCAGACTGACAGAACAACACAAATAAGTCCATGCCTGACGCACAGCAGGGGCTCAAGGCAAGTTTGTGGACTCGAAGCCCTGTTAGAATGGATGGAATTTGGTCTTATGAAGCAGATAGAAGAACAGGAGCTTGACTGTAAAGATTTGTCTCCACCTCTTAATAAAGCATATCATCTCCAAGACGCAAGTCCTTCTTCTGTCTTTTAAGTATGAACTCCCTGTCTTTTAAGTATGAACTGCTTAACTGAGACTCAGTAAAATTATAACTAGCATGATACTCATCCTTGGTGTATTTGTGTTTCAAATCAGAGTCATGACCCTGTGGGAATCCATGAACTTTGATGGCTGAATAGCCATGGCCTTTTCTGATGGCTCTGGGTACTTTGTCTCCCTCATTACAAACAAACAAATAAAGTTTATCCTCCCTACTCTGTCTCTCCTTTTTCTCTAAAAGAGTCCTGCCCAGCAACTTTTTACACTGGATGTTTTGCCTGGAAATTTGCCTGGAAATTGAAGCTTGCAGCTGTTAATGATGTTTCCAAGCGAGTCAAATTGTGCTATGCCCCATCTCAGAGCTACCTCCATTTGTATTCCTAAATATAAACGATTCTACAAAAATATTTTTCTGTGACTCAAGGAGAAGTGGTATAAGGAAGAGTATTGGCTGAGGCAGGCAGAGGTGTAAAGAGTGAATCCACAGCAGATCCAACCCACCAGTTTAGAATCCGATATGATGGCAAAACCAGAACAGATTAGGAGGAAAAAACAGGAGAATCCGGTATTCCAAAGCATAAATGGGAGATTCCTTTCAGGAGACCACCAAGACAGCTTTCTCCACCAGCTGCCTAACAAGGTCACTGAGCCCAGCGTATAGCTAGATTCTGAGAAAGGGCTAAATAATTTCATGATCAGCCAGTACATCTGGACATTCGCGGGCAAGCGGGATAATCGAATCACAGGGACTGTACCCACCATCATCTGTGCTTCCCCATGCCCGTCTACACAGTATTGCCAAGCTCCGTCTTTAGATCAAACCAGCCCTGCTGCTCAACTGCCAAGCCCAGCACAGATGTGTGCATGAGCTCCATGACTGATTTTTAAACTTTCAAACTCAATTTGGCCTTCAGTGGTGGATTCCTTGTTAGTTACCTATTCCCCGAACTGGCTGCACCAAGTTTTTGAGACTTCTCTTGACATTAACTGAATCACTGACCTTCACACTCTCAGTGTAATCCTTAACTTATTTCATGGATCACAGAAGTTACTAAAGGTGAATTCCTTCCCTCCCTTCAACTCTTTTCTTCCTCCACCTCAATGTTTCCTAATAACTCACGACCTCTCTGCTTCCTTTCTGCTTATCTCAAGGCAAACCGATGCCATTCCTGTGTGTTATTTGACTCCATTTCTTATTTCCCTCCTCTTCGGAACCTTCTTCCATGCAATATCCAACTGGGATATTCCTATGTTCGATATTCATGGATATTCAGTTGTTTTTTCCCCACTGTCTTCTCCTTATCCCATATACATTCCCCTTCCCATGTGGTACAAATCACTTTGGAGACATCATACATTTGTACAGATATTTTGGTAGTGTTCTGGCAAAGGGCAGTAGCATTTCTTGAGGAAGTGGTGACTATTTCTCTCATGCTTAAAGCCTCCATACTGGAGAGAAGAGGAGCTGATCTTTCCCCTTGGAAGAGCCGACTTTTCACTATTTCCTTCCCCTTTCAAGCTGTGGCCCCATTCCGTTTGTCAAAAGGAATGTCTTTTATGACCCATTCTGGTTTGACTTTTGCCATATCTTTAACCCTCTCTCCCCTCCCTTGGATTCTAAGATACCACTCTTCTATTTCTCTAGTTTCCCTTAATGTTATTTTCAATGCTTGGGAATAGCTCTTCTTCCTTTTGCTCTCCTAAAATGGGAATACTGTCAGGATTCCATTAACATGTGTATGAAAAAAAGAAGTTCGTGGCCAGGGCATGATTGGTCAAAAGTTCCTCATCCTGGTGTGCATGTCTCCAGCAGAGCAGCACCAGAACCTGGCAAAAACGGGGCTGAGGTCTCTTGGCAGGAAGTAGCACCAGAGAAAGAGCTGACATTAGATGAATTCGACAAGACAGCACCTGTGAGGGGTAATTGTATGTGCTAACCTGACTGGCCAGGGGATGCCCAGATGGCTGGTAAGACATTGTTCCTGGGTGTGTCTGTGAGGTGTTTCTGGAAGACCCTGGCATGGGATAGAGTAGACTGAGTCAGGCAGATTCACTCTTGCCAATGCAGGTGACGTCAGACAACCTGTGGAAGGCTGGATTCCAGCAGAAAGGTGGAGAAAGGATGAATTTGCTGTCTTTGCTTGAGCTGGGACATCCATCTTCTCCTGCCCTCAGACGTGGCTGCTGCTAGTTTTGGGGCCTTCAGACTCAGACTAGGACTTATGCCATTGGCTCCCCTGGTGCTCAAGCCTCAAGCTTGAGCTGGAAATGCACCTGGGCTTGCCTGTTGTCCAGCTTGCAGGCATCAGGTTGTGGGACTTCTCAGACTTCATGATTGTGCGACTTCTCAGACTTCATGATTGTGCAAGCCAATACCTTATCATAACTCAGACACACACACACACACACACAATTGGTTCTGTTTCTATGAAGAACCTTAACTAACACAGTATCAAAATTCCAAGGGACCAATTTAGATCCAGAGTCAGATTATGGGAGCAAGTGATTAAACCACATCAAGGAGTGAAGGAGATAGGAATGGGCACCCGCAGAAGTCCAGAGAAATTTCACCGGCCAATGACTGAGAAGTATTACTTCCACTGTTTTTGAAAAAGAGAACTATTTCAGGCTCACAAAAACTTGGACCATGTTATCATAAACACCTAATTTCAGAAATATTTGAAGAAGATCTTCAGCATCCCTGGAGTGTTCCTCCTCTCAGTCCCATTTTCATCCCTCTCGGAGTTGACTATTTTTCTGAATTTTTGTTCCTTCTCCTATGCATGTTTTTAAACGTGAACTAATCATGAGTATATTTATAAATAACAGGTATTATTTAATATAATTATAACTTTATGTCGTGAATTCATACTGTACATATGCATCTCATCTTGCTTCTTAATTCAGCATTATATTTTTGTGGGGCATCTTTGGTACTATATGGAGTTCTAGTCAATGAATTTTAATTGCTATATAGCATAACATTGTATGAAGAGTTCACGTTAATATTTATTAATTGTTAGTTTGCCGGACATTTAGGTGGCTCCTAGTGTTTTGCTATTTCAGACACCATACAGACAGTCTTTATGTGTCTCCCTAACCCAATATATCACCTTTTCTAAGTTTTATACATGCAGTGGCATGATTTTAGGTCATTGTATCCATACATTTTTTGCTTTATTAGAAAAAGCAAACTTATTTTTCAAATTAGCTCTACCAATTTACCTACCAAATAGTAATGTATGAGAGTTCCCTTTGCTACGTATTTTCTTCAACTTTTGAAATTATCAAACCTTTACATTTTTCCTCATTTTATAGTTTTGAAAGGACATGGTTTTAGTCTATATTTCTCTGTTTTCTTATGAGGCTGAGAATTTCACCATGACTTTTAGCTGTTCAAATTCTCCTTTCTATTTGCATTTTTCATTTTGGTTACTTATCTTATGTGTTTATAGTAGTTCTTCATACGTTTTGGTTATTAACTTCTTTCATGCTTTCTGAGTTCCAAATATTTTCATTCTGTCTGTGGCTTGTTCTTATAACTTTGTTTATGATATTCATTTCAATTTTAATAGAGTCAAACTTACCATGTATTTAATTTATAGATTGGATTTTTAAAGTCTTGTTTAAAAAAGACTTCCATATCCCAGCAGTCATAAAAATATTCTCCTAGATTTTCTTTAAAATGCTGTAATGGTTTGCCTTTCAAACTTTAAAATCAGGGCTCTTAAAATGTTTTTCACATATGGATCAATTATTGTTCCAGCATCTCAGCTTTGTGTGCGTGTTTTAATTAGTGTATTCTCTCTCTCCCTTTGTAGCCCTCTACTTCCAGATCTTAAGGTTGCGTTTGAAGTTCCCAGAGAGTGTCTGTTTCCATCCCATTTGTCTTTTTATGTGCTTCTTAACTTTCCTAATGGCTAAACAAATCTGTATATCCAGGCTGGGTTCTTGGCATCTTTTCTCGATGACAGACTTATATAATCACCTTCTGGCTGGCTATCTTCACTAAAATCCTGCAGACACCTCAAACCCAAGGAATCCAAATCTATCTTCCCTCCCCTATTTCTCCCAACAGTTAGTGGTTTTCCAGATTCAATTTTCATGGGAAATGGTAAAGAAGAATTAAACTACCAAATGCTGCTTATTATCTATATGACCATGGACCATAGGCAGTTACCTAAGTAACTCTGTGCCTATCTTTTCTCATCTGTAAAATGGAGTGTGTTAGTCTGTCCTCACAGCGCTAATAAAGACATACCAGAGATTGGGTAATTTATAAAGAAAAGAGGTTTAATTGACTCACAGTTCAACATGGCTGGGAGGCCTCAGGAAACTTGCAATCATGGTGGAAGAGGAAGCAAACAGCTCCATCTTCACATGGCGGCAGCAAGGAGAAATGCTGAGCAAAAGGAGGAAAAGCCCCTCATAAAACCATCAGATCTCCTGAGAACTCATTCACTATCACAAGAACAGCATGAGGGTGACCACCCCCATGATTCAATTAGCTCCCCATGGGTCTTATCCACGATACGTGGGAATTATGGGAATTGCAATTCAAGGTGAGATTTGGGTGGGGACACAACCAAACCGTATCATGGGGATAATAAATGATTTTTTTCATAGTGTTGTAAGGATTAACAAAGCACATAAACATGTGTGTGTGAGTGTGTGTGCGAGTGTGTGTGTGTGTGTTAGAACAATGCCTGGCACATAGCTAACACTTTACAAATGTCAGCCAATACAATTCATTATTCCTACTCTGTGCCAAGTAGGCTAGTAGATATCATTTTGCTCAATGAGAACCAGAAAATGTTACAAGCCAAACATACATAATATGGTTCTTATGTTGGCAAGGCTCACTTTGCGAGAGCATCCTCTATTGCTGCTTCTTTCTGATAAAAATACAGCTACTTGGCTGCGTCCAGTAGCTCATGCATTTAATTAGAGAGCTTTGGAAGACTGAGGCAGGAGAATCATTTGAGACCAGGAATTTGAGACCTACCGGGGCAACATAGTGAGACCCTATCTCTACAAAAAATAAAATAAGTAGCTGGGCATGGTGGAATGCACCTGTGATTCCATCTAATTGAGAGGCTGAGGCAGGAGGATCACTTGAACCTGGGAGGTCAAGGGTGCAGTGAGCTACAATCACACCACTGCACTCCAGCCTAGGCAACAGAGGAAGACCCTGTCTCTTAAGAAAAATACAACTTCTTAATACTTGGGGATTCACCATTGCCATATTTGAGCCCCCAAAGACAAGGTCTCCATGTTCCTCGTATCTCATGGATACCCTGGCATGAAGTGATTTAAGCCCCTTTTCTCAGGAAGCCCCCTCTGCAGCTGGGCTGGGCTTCACCTCACTTCCCCTTGCTGTTGTTTCAGCCAAGATCCAGCAAGCACCGTGGCGGAGAGTACTGCAGTAACAGCACAAAGCTGAAATAGCCCTGCTCCTGCCAATTGAAGTGTGACCCAGAACTGTTTTGCTAAATGAGTGTTGTGATTGTTTCCCCAGCTGTTCCTATTAGGATAATTAATATAATTAACAATAAAGGCTTTAATTATAGATGTTTAATGGGAGGCATTTATAATTATCACCCAAACCTGAATGAGATTCATGGGAAACTTTTATTGAGTGCCTACTAAATACTTTTCATATAGTACCTTATTTAACCTCTACAGAAATCCTTCAAATTTAGGAATGACTTAATTTTAAATGAAGAACCAAGATTACTATAGTTTTCTGGAGCTGACATTACAAAGTATCACACACTGGTAGCTTAAAAGATAGAAACGTATTGTCTCCCAGTTCCAGAAGCCAGACGTCTGGGATGACGGTGTTGGCCGGGTCAATTCCTTCTGCAGGCTCTGAGGGGTCTGTTCCTTGCTTCTCTCCTAGCTTCTGGTCCCTCAGGTGTTCCTTGGCCTGTAGATGGCTGACTTCCCCGTGTCTTCCTAAAGCCTTCGTCCACACATGTCTGTGTCTAAATTTCTCCTTTTTATAAGGACATGCTCATATCTGCTAAGGGCCCATCCTAATAATCTCCTCTTAACTTGATCATCTGCAGAGACCCTATTTCCAAATAAGGTCACACTCTGAGATACTCTGGGTTAGGACTTCAACATCTCTTGGGGAGCCCAACTCAGCTCCCAACAATTGCTGCTAGAAAGTGGCAGAGCGGGAACTTGAATATGAAGGCACTGTGTGTCTAGGACACCCTGTCCCTATTTCTTCCCCACATGACTCCAGGTGTCCTCTGCCATCTTGGACCAATCTCCTGCCTAAGTCAGCCTCTTCTTTTGAGTCTCCCAGAATTTTTATTTTCTTCATCATTGTCTTTATTCTCTACTTTAATAACCCTCCCTTTTCCTCTGAGTGAGCACTCATACATGCTCAAATATTTCCTATCTTTAACAACATGTTTTTATATCTCTAAATCCAATGTCCCCTTCCAGCTTTCAACCAATCTTTCCCATGCCTGTCAGCTGAGCAGCCTGAAATGAATTCTGTCTTCTCCATCCTTCATGGTCCACACGCGTCCTCACCTCAGCTGGCTGTGCCCCACCCCAGCCATACCACGAACTGTTTTCTCTTGCATTGTCAAGGACTTCTACAGCACCGAGTTTCAGTAACACTTTGGCACCATCATCTCCTGAATCCCTGCTATGGACTGAAAGCCTGTGCCACTCCCTGCAAATCCATATGCTGAAGCCCTGATGTCCAATGGGATGGCATTAGGTGGTGGGGACTATGATGGTTAATATTAGGTGTCAGCTTGGCTGTATTGAAGGATGCCTACATGGCTGGTAAAGTATTGTTTCTGGGTGTGTCTGGGAGAGTGTTGCCAGAGGAGATTGCTGTTTGCGTCAGTGGACTGGAAGAGGAAGACCTACCCTAGGTGTGAGTGAATACCATTCAATCGGCTGCCACTGAGGCTAGAACAAAGCAGGTGGGAGAAGGGGAAGAAGACACAGCTTGCCGAGTCTCCTGTCTCTCTTTTTTCCTCCCTATGCCAAACGCTTGCTTCCTCTTTTTCTGCCCTTGGACATCAGACTCCGGGTTCCTCGGCCTTTGGACTCTGGGACTTGAACCAGCAGCCTCCTGGGGCCTGGACTGGGAGCTGCACTTTCAGCTCCCTGGTTTTGAAGCTTTTGGACTTGGACTGAGCCATGCTACCAGCTTCTCTCCCCAGCTTGCAGACGGCCTATCATGGGACTTTACCTTGTAATTGTGTGAGCCTAATAAAATTCTTTTTGTATAGACATATATCTTCTAGGTTCTGTCCCTCTGGTTAATGCTGACTAATACAGGGACTCTGGGAGGTGATTAGGACATAAGGGTGCAGCCTTTGTGAATGGGATTAGTGCCCTTTTAATAAGCAGCAAGAGAGAGGTAATTTTTCTCTCTCTCTGACATATAGGTACACAGCAAGAAGGGGAGAAGGTAATTACCCTCCGTAAACCAGAAGAAGAATTCTCCCCAGGAACCCAATTGGCAGGGACTTTCATCTTAGACTTTCCAGCTCTCAGAACTGTTAGAAATCAATGTGTTGTTTAAGCTACCCAGTCTATGACAGCTTTGTTATAGCAATCCAGAATGACTAAGACAAACCCTCAGCATGGGTTATTTGCTAGACCATTCTCCTGGAAACATTGTCTTCTCTGTCCTTTCATTTAAATGTTGGAGTCCTTGGGAGCATCTTGATTTTCCTAATAACTTGGGACCTTCCCTGAGTACCATCACCCACGCCAATGGCCTTACTGACCTGCTGCCTTCTGGTGCCCTCCAGCATGAGACTCTGAGCTAGATTCTTCCCAGCTCTGCCCTGAATCTCTAACAGCCACTTCAGCATCTCCAGTGATGTGCCTCACAGGTACCTCAAAACTAGCACGTCCAAAATGAACTCAAAATCCCCCACTCTCCCCAAACCTGTTCTTTCAGTGTGGGATATTTAGAAAATGGCACTACCATTTTTTTAAAAAAATTTTAGATTAAAACTCGTAAAGTCAATTGTAACTCTAGAGTCTTCCTCTCCTCCCTGCCTCCAGCCCCACAAATGACCAAATCCAATCACTTATGTCACCAATGCAATGTAAGGGGGAGGGAGCAGCCCAGAAAGTAGAGATGGAAGATTCTTGAAATATAACTCCTCTATTTCAACTGTCCTAGAACTTTTTTTTTTAATTTAAAAAAATGATAATTGGTTAGTCTTGCAAAATGAGAAACCTTAAATGTTCAAACCACTTCACCAAAAACACATTTGGGAGGATCTTAGTTGAATCAAAATGAAAAATTAAAAGAAATATCTGCTCTCTGGGAGACAACAAATCTTTCTCATATTTCTGTTCTCTTGTCTATGACTTAGAAACGTCACACTGTGGGGGGCTCCCCCTCCCCAGTTGAGCATGGCTTTGAAAATACAGTTCATGTCTAATTTCTACCTTTTAGAATTTAGAAGCTTTTTAAGTTTTTAATGTACAGGGCTTTATATTTCATTTTTAAAAGTGCTTTCTTGGACACCAGATCCTCTTATTGTATAAGTTACAGAGGCACGTCTAGACCGTGATTATTTTTAACTGAAAAGGAGAGTTCAGAAGAAGTCACTAGGTTGTGTATGTTAAGGTGGACATGAGACGTCAGCGTTTGCTCCGAGAGGTAGGAAGAGGCCTCATTAGGTTGAAAGCAGTCTGCAACCAGGGAGTTTGGAGCAGGAACTAGAGGAGACAGAAAACCCTGAAAATACAGAACCACATTGTAAAAATGTAGACACGCTGCCTGTGATCTTTCATGGAATTGACATCTATAGCAAATAGCAAAGACTTCACCTCATTCTTTTCCTGTCCTTAACTAGGAACAGACCTGGCCTCCCGGGAGCCTCAGTGAGAGAGGGTGGGGAGGGGCAGAGATGGTGGTGGAGGAAAGGGAGGGGCTCAGGCAGTGGCCGGGGAATGAGGCTGAATGCAAGACTCAGAGGCAGAGAATCTCCACCTGGAGAATTCAGCTAAATGAGATTTGTTTTGTTTTGTTTTAGGAAAATGACTTACTTTTGGTTGCTAAATTAGTCCACCTAATAAAAAGTGGTATTTCCCTTTTCTTTGTAATGCAAAGATTTTAAAATAATATATCACTCAATTTAAATCCACATCACCGGCCCTGTGGGCTTTTACAAGCTTCCTTTTCCTGTCATCCAGATTGAGGAGGTGCTGCACTGGGAATATGAACACTTTCGCACTAGTCATAGTTGGGGAGACATGGTGGGGACCACTCCTAGTTTTTGTTGATGGCTTATGGGTGTTAGCAGGTAATTTCATCATTAAATAATTCTATAAGGCAGATATCATTTTCACATCACAAGTAAGGTAAACTGAGGCCCAGAAATGTAAGGTGATTTTCCAATATTGCCTGCCTGAAGCTCAGATCTTGAGGGACTGAGATGGCTTTTAAAAGAGCAGCTTCACCTGGCTGGGATGCGTGCGGGGTACATGATGGAGATGGGCTGGAGGAGGAGGCACTGGCGAGCCCCTCAGCATCGCCTGTATTTTATTTATTTATTTATTTATTTATTTATTTATTTATTTATTTATTTTATTTCTTTATTTTGAGACAGAGTCTGGCTCTGTCGCCCAGGCTGGAGTGCAGTGGCGTGATCTCAGCTCACTGCAAGCTCTGCCTCCCGGGTTCACGCCATTCTCCTGCCTCAGCCTCCTAAGTAGCTGGGACTACAGGCGCCCGCCACTACGCCCGGCTAAGTTTTTGTATTTTTAGTAGAGACGAGGTTGTACCGTGTTAACCAGGATGGTCTTGATCTCCTGACCTTGTGATCCGCCTGCCTTGGCCTCCCAAAGTGCTGGGATTACAGGCGTGAGCCACCGCGCCTGGCCTGCCTGTATTTTATAAAGATGGCTCAAATAGCTCGGATGACGTGTACACGTGTCTGAGTTTGAATACAGGTTTGTTGCCCATCTCCTGGCCATATCATGTTGCTGACTAAGTAGTTAAAGTTGACGAAATCCTGGCCCTGAGTTATACCAGTAATTTCAGGTCTGTAAGAAATACGTTTAACAAGTCAATACGTGGGACATTCATGGAATCCAGAACCTGACATACAAAAGCTCCACAAACGATAGTGGCCTTTAGAAAGCGTTCTCCTTGCAGGATGCATCTGATAGATAGGATTACCCCTGAAATAGAGCGGCTGCCATTCTGGGTTCTGTTTATAGTCTTCTTTCCTCACGTTTGTGCAGAGCCTTCCTCTTCCCATCACCAGGGCCCAGCGCTCTCGCCTCTCCCTTCCGTCCTCACTGCCGCACACACACTCAGCGCGGCCCCTTCAAACTCCACCTCATCCACTCAGGTTCTCTCCTTCACACTGCAGAAGGAAAAGGACATTTTCTTAGCCAAAAGTCCTTTGCAGATCAGAGTGCTTTTAAAATTTTAATCTTTATGTTGCTGTTGGGGCAGATAAAAAGTGGTGAAGTCCATGACAGGTAACAGAGCAGAGTCATAAACCAAAGGCAATGGGTCAAGGCTGAGGTTAAGAGGCTGCAAGTTCCAGTGAATCCCTTCAGGGAGGCATCTGAGGTCATGGTCAGCAGGGCTGGGAGGTGCAGAGGAGCCCTCAAGCAGGGTTCTGAAAAGAGCAGTTGGCAGTCCCTGGCTCCAAAAGGTCCACTGAAGGTCCGCAGTGCTATCGCGGCCTTCCTCTGGTTCCTATGGCTTCTGATTCTGAAACTGGAGAGCTTTGCTGTTTTTATCCTGGAAATGATGAATTAAAGCAATACATCTTCAGGATCAAGTAGCCTGAAGTGAGGCAGATTGGATCTGTGTGTGTCTGGAAGATGGAAGACCTACACCTACTAACAGGAGTTCTTTCCTTGAAGAAATCTGTGTTATTCTTTGGGGAAATAACAACATTTTTCTAATTATGTTCACAAATGTCATGGCTACTTCAGGTTCCTAAAGCTTGACCTCTCCCACCAACCCTCACTTTCCTCCTCTTCCTCTAGCCCTATTTTTCCTCCTCTCCCTCACCCACTATCCTTTCTTTTCCTTCATCGGCTTTTCTTAAGCTGAACCCTATAACCTAAAAAAACCCCCGCTATTTCTGGTTTTAAGGGAAAAGCTTTGCACATGGCCAGCATCAGAATGTGGAGCAGTCTGCTTGGTTTGCCTGTGGGATTAGGTAAGCTGTGGCCTCGGCAGCCCATTCCAGTGGAGGACATCCCCTGGGGTCAGACGCTCAGCATCCGAAGATGAGTGATGTTAGGCATTTGAAAGCTTATGCATATCAAACAGTCAGTTAAGTAAGACTAAGTTAATTCCACATATTACACTTTCCCTAAATGTTGCTTTACAACAAAGGTTGCAATTGAGATGCATAAGGAAAATTGTATATTCTGATTCAGCATTTTGAAGTGGAGAATTAAATCTTTGGATGATCTTTTTTTTGTTTTTTTTTCCTATTTGAAATTTATCTGCAGCTTGCATCTCCTGCTCATTAGCTGTGTGCCCCTCAGCAAGTGGATCCACCTCTCTGGGCTTGGGTTTCCCCTCTATACAATGTGAGGGTTACGGAGGAGCTCTGAGCTCTTTCACAGTTTGATGTCTATAATGCTTTTATTAATATAATCATAAACCCAACTACTTCTCTCAAGTCCTTCAAAAAAGTATCTGAATTTACAAACCTCACAAATTCCACTTCCTATAAATATTGGCAAGATGCATCTGGGGTAGAGCCAGACCGAGGCCAACCTGGGAAGGAGGCAGCGATTGTCTCTCGGTTGTCCCTCCTCTCAATAGCTTCCCTGAGGCTGGATCCCTTCTTGTAGCTCCCTTAGCTTCTGGTGCCTCCATCCCAAGGACATCAAATTGCTTGGGGAGCCTCTGCCCTGCTGCCACTCCTCTCCCCAGTTGCAGGCCTCATACTTTCATTCTTTTTATTTCCTTTCTCTTGTCTCTTCAAAATTCACACTAACCAGGGCTGTCTTTTCTTTTCTTGAGATATCACCAGGAACCTGTAGAGTCAGGGAATGTCAGCGCAGAAGAAGATATGAAATATTACCTAATCAGAGCCCTTCATTTTACCACTGGGAATTGAAATCAAGAAAGAAGATGTGGTTTGACCACACAGCTCAGTACTGGCAGAGCCCATGGTAGATTCAGGCTTCTTGATTTTTGCACTCTCAGTACAATATGTCACAACTGCCAGACAGATTGCATATTTGCAAACACCCTTAAATATCAGTAAATAAGGACATTTAATAATTGTAATACATTAAAAGTATTCATCAGTGCTAATAATCATTCACTGTATTTTAACAAGGATCTGGAAGGGAAAAAAATCATTTCTAAAAGTCAGGCTGACCTAGAGAGAATGTATCCAGAAAACGTTTGTTTCTATGGGATGATTGAGGTCCATCACCAAGCAGGCTGGTGGAGACAATGTCCTGAGTGGGAGATGGGGACAGATGTTTCCAGGCATCATTCAGATGGTGCCACATATGCTGTGGAGTATAAAAATCATCCCTGAAGCCAAGAGGTCGATGACTTCCAAATATTTCCTTTGCTTTCTGGGCGGACCAGTTAAATTCTGTCATTCTCTTCTATCTGTGTAACTGCTTTGGGATTATTAGTTTGCTATTATTATTATTATTATTATTATTATTATTATTTGTGTAAGTCCACAGAACAAGATTTTAATTTTCTCTACACCTGTCTCCTATCAGATTTCTAAATGATATTGTCTAAATGTCACAAATGGCTTCTTTTGAAGCAATAAAATTTGATTGGAAGGTTTCTATATCTAGATTATTGGCTGGAATTGGTAGATTTGCCATTTTCATTGTCTCTTAGATTTTCTCTCTAGTTTCCCTCAAACATCTCTTATATTAGGGCTAGACCATCCCCTTGTGGGTGCTATTTGGCATGATCTCAGCTGTAATGTCCAGAAAAAATTGTGGAAAACACTTGTCATGCAACAATTAAAGGCTTCCCATTCTCTGTTGGTTTAGATCACAGGGATTTTCCAAACTCAGTTTCCCTCTCCAATTTGTAAATATTGCTCTGTGCTCCAAAATCTATCTAAAGTACCATGGATTTTTTATCTACTGTATTATCCAGATCCATTATCTACTATATGGTCAGAAGATTCTGAAGGCATGAAGACATACTTCTCTGGGCCCTGGGAGGCTTCTGACAGGAGGAGTCACATGCCTAGGAAGTATCCTAACAGGTAATAGATTTTGGATTCTAGATATTCTTTAGTAGCTACATGCAAGCCCTTTGTAAGCCCCTCCAAAGTGCCAGGCACTGGAGTAGACACTGCTGAACATATGCATGCACAGTCTGTGATTGTCAACATAACTCTGAAAGGCTGCCAATAGGAAATGGGTAAACCAAGACACAGAGAGGTTAAGCTCCTTCCTCAAGGAAGGATAAAACATTAGAGTACATACAGTAGATAATCCAGGGCTAAACGCAAGCTTCTCTAGTTGAATATAGTAACTTCTTACTCTCTTGTCCCCTTGCTCTCTTGCTCTTCCATCTTCCACCACAGCATGTTGCAGCATTAAGGTCCCCTCCAGATGCTGATGCAATGTTCTTTGACTTCCCAACTTCTAGAACCATGTTCTTTCAACATCTTCCAAAGTGAATCTGGGCACTTGAGTTAGAGGACAGGCTATTCCAAAGTTCATGTGTTTACTCCTAGGAATCTTTTCCATGTGGGGATATTCTGTGGAGGGATCTTAAGTTATGATTCTGAAGGATGATGCTGGGGGTAGGGAAGGACGTAGAGCAAGCAGGAATCCAGTAAGAGAGTTTGGGAGGCTATGCCCACTAGGCCACAGTTTTTAAACTTTGTGAACTGAAATTATTGGAATGTCAGAATCAGGAAGACTGGATAATATAATAGGTAAAAAATCCATGGTACTTTCGATAGATTTTGGAGCACAGAGCAATATTTACAAATTGGAGAGGGGAATTGGGTAGCAGATGTTTGTTACTGTATGGATTGCATCCATTTAAGAAATGTACAAGAAGTTAAATGAAGTGCAGAATGAATTTGTAAAGCATTTTCAATTGTCTATTGTGGATTTATGGGGTACTTATTCACAGTGCCAAGAATCATGAAAGAGGCAAGGAATACAGACACGGATAAGATCAAGTTTTCCCACTGAGATGCTCAATCTAGAAGGATGGAAGAGCTGAGAGAAGGAGTTACATTATAATCTGCTCACTTCCCATCTGAAAGCCTGTGCAAAATGCTAGGGGTGAGAAGAAGACATAAAAGCAGCCCAGGGATGCTGTACGGAGAGAGACACTTGAGCTGAGTCCTCCTATCTGAGAAGATATCAGATGGTTGCGTGGAGGAAAAGTACTTTTCAGGCAGAGAGAGGTGCTAGCACAGCCATAGGAGCCTTGAAGAGATGAGGGAACAGCTTGGATGCCTAGAACCTGAAAGAGACATGGCAGGAAGTGTGGGAACCAAGAGCAGCAAGAGTGAGTGGCCATGCACAGATGTTTGTCAGTGCTTTTATGAATTTCACCATATTCCTATGGGTTGAAGCAAGTCACATGGCAAGCTCAGATTTAAGGGGTAGAGAAACAGGCATCAACTTTTGATGGAGTTCTGCAAAATTGCATTTTTAAAGGGGCCTGAACAAGGATGTCAAGAATTCCAGATTGCTTTTGCAGTCAACTGTAGATAATGTATACCAGCACTAACCAATAGACAAGGAAACAAGGATGGAAATGCTCTATATCTGCGCTGTCTGTCCAGGATGGTGGCATTAGCCACATGTGGCTATTTTAATGTTAATTGTATTTAATTATAATTAATTTAAACTTAAATAGCCACATGTGGTTAGCTATTAGTGTATTAGACATTGAAGAATTCATTTCAAATGTTTCTGACACAGTCCAGCTTAGTAAAATTTTATTTATTCTCCCTGGTATTATTTGGAACAAGGTCACAGTTCTCCTAAGTGCCATCAACAGTAAATAAATTCAAATTCACTCCCATTAAGTATCAGTTGCTTTTTAAGTGTTCTATCATAGAAAATGGTTTTTACCTCCTTAAAACTTGTGATAATGGCAGTAGTCTTGTGCTAGATCCCATCATGGTGTGGAAAAATGACTCCTGAACCACATGTTTAGGAGACTGATGGCTTCACACTTCAAGGGTGCTTTGGTTTGAATGTGTTCACAAAAGTTAATTTGTTAATTTACAAATTGAAAAGTTAATTTGTTGGAAACTTAATTCCCAATGCAACAGTGTTGGGAGGTGTGGCCTAATAAGAAAGCCCTGACCTAATGAATGAATTTACATGGTTATTGTGGGAGTGGGTTAAGTTATCACAATAGTGGGCTTGTTATAAAAGTAAACTTACTACTTTCTTACACTCTTTTGTTCTCTTGCTCTTTTGCCTTCCCACAATCCGCCACAGGATGATGCAGCATGAAGGCCCCCCTCAGATGCTGGTGCAATGATCTTGGACTTCCCAACCTCCAGAACCATGAGCCAAACAAATTTCTATTGTTTATAAATTACCCCGTCTCAAGTATTCTGTTATAGCAACACAACTGGACTAAGACAGAGGGTTACACGTATCTTTCACAGGAATTCCTTGGGGCTTAATACAAATCCTTGAGAGTTCTAGCCCAGATGCAGCCTAGAAATGTGAAGATGAAGGAGGTAGGTAGTAGGGTTGTTATTAATCCTAGGGGAAACCCTCCACTATGGGATTCTGAAATCAGCAGATAAATGCTGCAGCCCCCAGACTTGTGAAGAAATTTTTGAGATTCATCTTCTCTGGTTCTTCAGCACATCACCAAGGCATGGACCTGCAGTTGGCTCCAGCTATAACTAGCTCAATGATGCATCCTTCACTGTTTTTCTTTCTTTCCCCATTTTTCTCTGTATGTTTCCTTACTTTAGCTTCCTGGGATCAACTCCCAAATAAGCTACCTGAAGCCAACTGTTTGCCCAATACACTTTCTTCAGGAAACCCAGTCTGAGACATAAGAAAACAAATCAAATGCTAATTCAGTGGTTCAGTTGGTAAAAATAACAGAGACTCAGCCTAGTTGGCACTAGTGGAGATAAAGAAAAGAGGACAACTTTGTTATGCATTTTATAGACAGTCATGAGGCATGCAAATTGGTGTAATGTATGCAGAAAAAGAAAGGGAAATTTTCAGTGTGATACTACAGTTAGTCCACTGTATACCTAGAATTGTCTTTTTCAGAGAAAGATGGTGGCCTTTGGAAAAGGTACAGATTTGGGAGGAAGATCGTTAATTCAATTTGGGCATGTTATGTCCAAACTACATTAAATACTTGAGAACTATTTCTTTAATAATGGATGAGTGAAGTCAGTTCATTTCCAAGCTTCTTATTTGTCTTATCTGTGAAAGAAAAATTGTGATGTCTAGTACCCAGATATGTAAAAAGTAAATGTAATCTACCACATTAAAGCTCAAAATGCTCGATGTTTTTGCAAATATAAAATAATGTGACTTACTTTAAAGATAATAAATTAAATATTAAACATGGCTTTTTGATTTTATCATGTTTCCCCTGCTCATGCAACTGATGTGTGCTTATTCCTCTGGGCAATGTCACGTTACATTTCTCTTCATCCAAAGAGCAACCGCCGCAGCTGCATATAATGGAGTAGGTAGGAGACAGTCATCATCTTTTAGCTGTACAAATGATCAGTTCATCAAATAATGAATACTCTCCAGTTTCTAAAATAATGATATTTTCAGACATTCTTATTATTTAACCTCCCAATAATTGTATGATGTAGGTATATTTCTGTTATAGATTCAAAATTGAGAATCAGGAAAGTGCATTGCTTTGTCCAAAATCATGTACAGTCATGCATCATATAATGATATTTTGGTTAATGATGGACCACACATATGATGGTGGTACCATAAGATTATAATGCAGCTGAAAAATTCCTATGGCATAGTCAGAGCACAGCCATCATAACATCATAGAGCAACACATTCCTCATGGGTTTGTGGTGATGGTGGTGTAAACAAACCTACTGTGTTGCCAATCGTATAAAAGTCTAGCACATACAATTATGTATAGTACATAATGTTTGATAATAAAAATAAAGGACTATGTGACTGGTTTATGTATTTACTAGACTGTACATTTAATTGTTATTTTAGCATATATTCTTACTTTTAAAAAAGTTAACTATAAAATAGCCCCAGGCATGATCTTCAGGAGGCAATCAAGAGGAAGGCATTGTTATCAGAGAAGGTCACAGCGCCATGGGTGTTATTCCGCCGAAGACCTTCCAGTGGGACAAGATGTGGAGGTGGAAGACAATTATATTTATGATCCTGACCCTGTGTAAGCATAGGCTAATGTATGTATTTAGGTCTTGGTTTTTAACCAAAAAGTTTAAAAAAATGAATGAATTTTAAATTAGAAAACAGTTTACAGAATAAGAATACAAAGAAAGAATACTTTTGTGTAGTTGTACAATGTGTGTTTTAAGCTAGGTATTAGAAAGTTATAAAGTTAAAAATGACAGTTTATAAAGTAAGAAAGTTACAGTAAGCTAAAGTTAATGTACTATTGAAGGAATAGTCTTTTTTAAAATGTAGTGTAGCCTAGATGTAGACGGAGTGTTTATAAAGTGTACTGTAGTGTACAGTAATGTCCTAGGCCTTCACATTTACTTACCACTCACTCACTGATGCACCTAGGACAACCTGCAGTCCTGGAAGCTCCATTCACGGCAAGTGTCCTATACAGGTGCAGCATTTTTTACCTTTTATACCATATTGCACTGTATTATCTTTCTTTCTCTTTCTTTCTTTCTTTCTTTCTTTCTTTCTTTCTTTCTTTCTTTCTTTCTTTCTTTCCTTCCTTCCTTCCTTCCTTCCTTCCTTCCTTCCTTCCTTTCTTTCTTTCTTTCTTTCTTTCTTTCTTTCTCTCCTTCTTTCTTTCTTTTCTTTTTTTTTTTTTTCGAGACGGAGTTTCACTCTTTTGCCCAGGCTGGAATGCAATGGCATGATCTAGGCTCACTGCAACCTCCACCTCCTGGGTTCAAGCGATTCTTCTGCCTCAGCCTCATGAGTAGCTGGGGTTACAGGTGTCTGCCACCACAACCGACTAATTTTTGTATTTTTAGTAGAGACGCGGTTTCGCCACGTTGGCCAGGCTGGTCTTGAACTCCTGACGACAAGTGATCCGCCCACCTTGGCCTCCCAAAGTGCTGGGATTATAGAAGTCAACCACCATGCCCAGCTGCATTGTACCTTTTCTATGTTTTGATGGGTTTAAATACACAAGTACTCACCATTGCCTATAGTATTCAGTACACTAACCTGCCTGTTTATAGCCTAGGAGCAATAGGCCACACCATACAGTCCAGGTGTGTAGTAGGCGCTACTATCTTGTTGTGCGTAGGTACACCCTATAATGTCCTCACGATGATGAAATAGCCTAAGGATACATTTCTCAGAATACATCTCAGTTGTTAAGTGACACATGACTGTGTAAAGAGGTGTCAAAAATAGGACTCTGAATTTAAAACCCATCTTCCATAAATTTTATCTGACTTGGTAGAATCTCTGATCTAAATTTTGTGCACAAGTCTAGTTGAAAGGAATTCTGAAATTCCTACAACTTTCTATTACAAATATTTAGTCTACTTTGGCATTTTGAATTTAAGAGTGATGAAATGAAACTCCTGCCTCACTCCAAATAACTTCCTTGACTATTTATGCCAGAAATCTTACAATTGCAGTTTTAAACTTAAGCTTAAGCCATTCAGGGATTTTTTTCTCCCTTATGTTAGAACAAAAATTCTCCTAGTGAGTTTCCAAATTCTATCAAATAATTTACTTTTACCTTAAGGTAAACAGTTTAATATATAAAAATCACAAATCAACAGCAAACCTTTATCACTGTTAATTATTCTTTATGGTGTTCCAATTCCCCTGTATCTTGGTTGCCGCTTTCTTACAGATGAAGGTTAGGGTTGGAAGGCACCTCCATAGCAGGATGGGTCATGGTTATTGAGCACTCATTCTGTGTTGAGGGCTGGGATCTAGAGTTTCACTTTGATTATCCCATTAATTATTTCCACAACCCCTTAAGATGGGCCTTGATACACCCATTTTTATAGAGAAGGTTAACAGACTCAGAGAGGTTAAGTGGCACGTTCAACACCATACAGCCAGTCGAGATTTCAACACAAGTCCTTTCAAAGCATTTTCTATGATGGAAAACTGCTTTGAAAAGGAACGAATTTGAAAAGTCCTAGAAAGATTAGAAATGAGATGTTTTGAATTCCAGTCTATGTTTGATCATATAAAACTGCTGGCATTCCGCCTTGTTTCACCAACAAAAGCAGCAATTCATATGGTCCCCTCTAAGCCCTACATGAGGGTCCCTGAAGGGGCTCCCTGCAGTTCCATCCTCCATCTTTCAAGGATTCTTTATACGTTCATGCTGTTCACCTGTATGGGGCTCTGTCATCTCTCAGCTACCGACTGGAGAGGCGCAGAATCCTAGAATCAGTTGGTGTCTTGGTTGAAAGTATTGGATAGTGCCCGGAAATCCTCACAATAAAGTGTTGTCCAATGCACATGTCCCTCTTGATTGCCTGTTCTTGGCCGTGAAACCATATTCTATGTTCTCAGACTTAATGCGTCTACTTGGGCTTCCCACCCAAGTTTCCCACCTCTCTCTCCTTATTTAGGGTAACGAGCAGCACATGCAGCCTTTCCTCCTTCAACAGCATGTAGGAAAATGAGTTTGTCTGGGCTTTTGAATCAGACATACTGGGCTCTGTTCATTTAGGCTCCTGTAGGAGCGAACCCTGAAACAAAGATATGAGTGAAAAGTTTATTTAGGAAGTGATTCTAGGAATGAGACAGGGATGGGAAGACAGCCAGTAAAAGATTTGTTATCAAACAAGTTATGAGTGTGGTTAACTCAGCTTGACCCTGCTGGGGAAATCTGAGCACTGATGTAGAAGTCTTAGCATTAGGTAGTGGAGGGGAAGGGAACTGGGGTATATACAAGCCAGCCTTTAGGTGAACATGGACCTGTCCAGGAGATAAGAAGCCTGTTACTTCCGGCGGGCTCATGGGCAGACTGAGTGAGCTTTGGTGGACAGAGAAATCTAGCAGACAGAAAATGCAGGCTCTAGTAATTAGAAGTTGGCTGGCTCTTGATGGAGTATTCAGGGGTTGCTGATACAGGGGCACCTACACTGGCTTTGAGTTCAATCTGCAACTTTTTGTGGCCTTAGGCAAATCTTTGACATCTCTGAGTCTCCATTTACTAATAAAATTGTGAAATGGTGATATTTCTCAAATTTTAGTAAATAGTGAAATAACTACAGTTCTGTGTTGATTAGAGATGTTATATACATGTAAAGGAACATTTTCTTGAAATCTATTTTATCTGTTTGGGGCCAAGTTTTTACAGAATTTAACCTTATCTCTGAATTCTATTCTAGAACTCTCTGAGAAAGAACCCTGGGTTCTACCCATCTATCTGAACTTTGAAGTTGTTGGAGAACACTTGCTTATTCTGAACAGTAATGAAATTATAAGGCTATCTTGCTTTTGGTTTTTTAAGTTTCTTCGTAACAACAGCTATGTCTTGCCTTGAGCAACTGTATAAAGCTCCCGCCTTTGACTCTTGTTTGAGGCAATGATTTTTGAAGAATATTTGATGCTGTCTCAGAACTGACCAAAACATATCTCATAGGTCCACAAAGACAGGAGGTCCTGATGAATTTAATTTGGGCAGAGACTGGGCTACAATTCAGTCAATGCTGTCCTGTTAGCCTCCATATTAGGAACTGGGAGTGATACTGGGGACACAGGGGCATGGATGAATGACCTTGATGCAGACAGAGGTCAAGTGGCCCTCAATTCTCCAACCAGGTTCCCAGTGGCAGGCAATGCCCTGGCTTCCTGCACCTCTCCAGCAGCTCACATGCACCATCCAAGTTCATCTTGCTAAGGCATGAATCAAGCAATCAGCACAGACCTAGTCAGTAACTACCAGAAACAGTGAATAGCAGCTGAAAGGGATTTGGACTTAGAGCTTATTTGGTTTGATCTGGGTAGATTTTAGTCTCTTGCAACTTCCATGCAATTTGATCACTTGGGTCTAATTTAGACTTTGAAGTGAGACAGACCTTTTGCTCAAATTCCAACTCTGCCCCTAGCAAGATGATCAAGACAACTTATCTTTCTGTTTCCATTTTTATATAAAATGAAAGCAAAAACCATCCACTTAACAGGATTATTGTGAGGCTTAGCAATAAGTCTTGTAAAATTCTTGGCACAGAATCTATGTTCAATAAATTACAGATGCCTCTATGCCTTTTAGAGATATCTGGTGAGACAGCCCATTATCCCTATAAACTCAACATGTCCAATAAATATCAAATTTATTTACTTCTTCCCAAACAGATTTTTCCTCTGATACTCCTTTTCCACATTTTTCGTCTTTCTTTTAGAATAAATTTGGCTTTTATGGCTCTTTGTTTCAGGCCTTTCCATTTAGTAAGGGGCAGATCCACTCATCCTCAAATCCAGCTGGTTTCCATTGACTGTGGCTCTCTCTGTCCCAACTCATCTTCACACTTCTGCCACCAGCATCACCCTAGAATGTCACTTTTACCCAATGTAGCACAGGCCTCCACAGCCTCAGTGAGGAAGGTCACAGCCCCACACCTGGTCTCCAGTGATGTGGAGTGATGAAACCCAAGTTTACCAGGAGCCACACGGTGATCAAGCACCGCACCACTGGATTTTACAGGAGCAATTGCAGCCACAGAACACGGAGTTGAGCTGACAAAGACAGCCTTTTGCTGAGAAGCCAAACCAAGACAGGGCTAATCACTAGGGCCATGAGCACGGGCGTGAAGAAGTGGGAGGAGGCTGGGATCCAGTGAGGAGACAGGATCTGAAAGGAAGCAACATGTGTGTGGAACTTTGTTTTTCTCCTACCCAGCATTCACACTCTTTTTTTTTCTGGCTACAGAACCCTGGATTTCTTTTGGGGGGGGATCACCACTCTCTCATTCTCAGACAGTAGCTCACATGAGTCCCCAGATGTGCCCCAGACCTGACCAATCAGGGTAGAAATTCTCTCATGGACAACAATGTCTATTCAGGAATCAGCATGTGATTTAAGAACATTCAAACCCAGTGAATTCCAAGACTTGCTTGAGAGCTACTGCAAAGACATGTCTTCTCTATCTATTCTTCCCATATCCCAGAACAGTTAGGCAGGCTGACTGTCCTGCCTTTGCATAGAAACTGAGGGTAAAATCAACAGAAGAGAAAGCTGAGAGACGAAGCAGACTGGACACTGACGATCTGTTTAGCCTCTGGATTAAACCTTACCCCAAAATACATCATCTGTTTTGCCTAAGCAGCCACTGATTAGATTTTCTATCACTGCCTCTCCCCCAAACCCCAATCCTAATTGACACACACCCCAAAAGGCTGTGAAAATTGTTGATTATGGCATTAATGTCTGAGGACACGTTATTCTGAGTTTACATGATACTGAATTAAGAATCGTACAGTCCTTATTGGTGAACACTTCTTCCAGGTTCATTTGCACATGAAGTCATACCATGAGAGCAGGTTTCCTCTTACAGACATGGCTGTGACCCATGGACAGAAAGGGCTGTAAGGAAGGATCACTCACTGAATCAGAAACAAACTATGTCCAACTTTGATTTTAGCCTTTGCCCAATGCTCTTGTCTTCTCCATCTCCACTGCCTCTCCTCTGCCCCCACAAAAATCCACCAATCCTTTAAGGTTTAATCAATGGCTTCTCTTTCAGAGCTTGGTTGAGGGGAGTCTCTTGATAATACATTAGATCTACAGTTTCCCTCATCACTCCCCACTTTACATCTAAAACATTTATGCTTTAGTCATCTCTCTTCAGGACTGCATTTCCACAGGGAATTCAGGCATCATTATAAAACTACCTCTCCTGTAAGTATCTGTTCTCCCCAGTCACATTAAAACTTCAGGGCCCAGCTTACATGGTCATCTTTTGGGTGGAGAGTGTACATGTTCCATGAAAGAGACTTCGTGCCATTCCTAGAGTGGCTACACACAAAATCATTTGTTCAAAAGTGTACCCTGTTCCTATATTAAGAAATTATCCTATCACTTACAACTTTGAAAACTATAATCATGGAAAGTTTTTTCCCTTTAAAGAAATGTTTCTCTAAATATTATTTTGTGGAACACTCATATTCTACCAGCTGAACCTACATGTGTACAAGAAATTATATTTTCTCAGTTTACAAGTAAATTTTCCTAACTCTATTTCCCGCTCTCTCTTAGCATGTGCATATGTGTGCATGCGCACACACACACACACACACACACACACTTATTTTTGTGCATTGATTATTTGGTTAAGAGCTTTTTCTCTATTTTAAGGTTCACTCCATTTTGAAGGTATTGTTGTAGTAAGTCCTGGTGTATAACACCATTTTTAAGGAATCTACAAATATTAATTGAAATACTCAAAACTGGATGATTACACTTGGTTTAGCTGTTATTTTTGGCTGAGAATTCTCGTGACTGAAATATTATGTGGCATGCATGGAAGACAGGCCTATTTCTGTAGCAGCATTCTTCACGTCCATATAATAGGATTAAATATGAATGAACACTCCATGGTGTACTATAAAGAGTACTATGACTTTTCAAGTGCACTACTAATCAAATGAGCGTGAGAGCTCTTGTTCTAGACAGAATAAACTCGATATTTGCAGTGGAGGTATGATGGGATTGTGATGAGTTTATGCAATGATCTGTGGGCAAAAGAATTTCAATGTGAAATGTGAATAGTTAAAAAGCAATTACTTGTGATTGTGTAATCCAAATCCATGACAATATAGACTAATCCATTAGACAATGTCTATGTGCTTCGTCTTTTTCATCTCTGAACAAACATATTTTTGAGTACGGTGATTAAGAGCCCAACACATAATGGTTTGAGGCTGAGATTGTTAAAAGGTGATCTCACCCATTATTTTGTGACAAATATTTCTCTCAGGCAATAAGAGCAATCCTAGCAGGAAAACATATTCTCTTAGTATTTCCTTATTATCTACCTGGTGTTGACATTATCTGTGGTCATAAACTTTCCCTCAGGGTTTTTAAGGGTGAGGGCAATGTAATTTCTTCATTTCTTCAGACTGTGTTTACATTCTGAGATGCAAATTCATGTGTGTATGTGTGTGTGTGTATGTGTGTATATGTGTGATGAAATAACGTATATTCAGATTGCTGACTTCAAAATGTTGCAGAGGATGGAAACTTGTAGCTGGCCTGACTGTGTCTGTGTATGAGCTGAAGTTGAGCTTGGTAAGTCTCCCTAAGGAAAAGACAAAATGAGAATCCTAGAGGGACCCAGTTGCTCCATGGAGCATGCACACCCAACATGTCCACACAGGTGTCCTAAGGCATGCGGCTGAAGTAGAGTGGCCACTTTCAAGGATGTATCCACTCACCCACCTCACCTGTCACCCCACACATCTGGATGTGTAAACAAATAAAATTTGGAAAATGTGGAGTAGTGCCTTGAGGAGACACGTCCTGTTTTTCTTTCAACAGTCGGAAACCCTGTGACCAAGAGCATTGGTAGTCCTGCTGTTGCAATGACAGTGATTCGGTCTCAGGTTTTAAAAGCAGAAACAAATCGTCCAGGAGTTCAGAAGACATTTCTCCTCTCCAGGAGCAACACTAAGGATTACTAACGGGAAGAGCCATGCTTCGTTGCTCTTTGCTCGTTCCTTCATTCTTGAAAATGCATTCGGTTCATCCTAGCTACAATTCTGAGCAGGGAGGCAGAGCCAGGCCAACAAGAAAACAACATCAGCCAGGATAAGAATGTTCTGCACAGTGATGTCTTTCCAGTTCTGCCGTCCAGAAGACCCAGTACAACAGATGCCCAACGCTCAATGGCTTTGTTTTATTAGTTTGCGGGGGTGGGGGATTGATAGTATTTTGAAATGATTTTGCTCCTAATGAAACAGATGCTTTGAATGCTTATCCCACCCAAAAAACTTTCTTTTTGTAACAGAATAGTTTTGCCTTTAGTTGTCTTTTAATGTGCAGGAGAATCTTTGTTTGTTTTACTTGGTGGTTTGCCCCTGGACATTTTTCATTCTATGCTTAAATGAATTCCAGCAGAATGTAAGTTTTGAGCTGATTTTTTTTTTCATTCCTCTTCTGCGGTTGATCTTTATTAGTCCCTAAGCTTGTGTCATTCATTTTAAATTCATTAGTTAAAATATTATAAAAATAGAAACATTTTGGCTTGAAAGCACACAGAATCATTTCATGTAAAATCTTCAGCAAACTCTTTCATTGACTGCCTGAAACAGAGCAAGCCTTAAGCCCCCAAGCCAAACTCCTTCTTGAATGTGACAAATAGTTTAGTTCCTCCTGAGCCAGTTATTTTAAAAAAAAGAGTAGAGAAGAGCGATTCCTGAGTGTTTAGCTTTTCCACAGGCCACAGGACCTGACACTTGTAGAATTAAACCACTGCAGAATTTAAGTTTTAGCCAACGTATGTTGATATACGAATCATTTAGTTCTCATCATTTTACAAAGCACATTTGTATCCATTATTTCCTCCCAACTAAAAAATAATAATCATAGTAATCATGCCTGTGTCATTACCCAATTTCCCTATAGTATGAGGAAGTTGCTAAGAAGAGAAACTAGGTCTATTGTGTCCATAGGGACAATGTTAGCAAAGGACAGACCACATCTCAAAACGACCCTTACGGATGCTAACGCCAGCAGCCTGAGACTACAGTGCTGACAGACATCACAGTGTGTCTTCTGCATGGTAGAGGACAGAGTCAGAGAGCTTTGAAACAACTCAACAATAAGCCCATAAAGTACTGTAAATCGTGAGAGCATTGGTGCCCACATTTCTTCTCTTTGGCCTCTTTGTAAGGCCATGAACTCCTGGATGTGGAAACGTTTTCTTACCTGCACCTTGCAAGCAAACATGGGCTGTTGCTTCCATTGGCTGTGCTGTTGGTGGCTAATTTGCCTTTCAGCTTCTGGTCTAAATTCACAGATCATTCTGCTCTGAACACCACTTTCTATTTTCATGAAACGTCCCTCTCCTCTCTTCCTAGCCAAGCCTCACTCCTCCAGGGCTGCCTCTCAGGGTGATTCCAGCAAAACATCTTTCTCCTCTGGCCGGACCCCCTGATGCTCATACTCAAACTTCAGTGCCTAAAATCCACCACATAGCTTAAAAGTGCCTCAAAATCTTATTTCCACCAACCCCCCACACATGACAATGGCATGCAATTTGTGGCCCTCAATGTTGTAAGCCCCCCAAAACCTCTTTGTCCCTATTTCATTCCTTAATGTCTAATTGAAAGATGTGAAAGCTGTGGTAGACAGGATGAAAAGCAGGATGGATAATAAATTCAATCTCAGAATCATAGAAAGTTGGAAGGATATGCATGTCTTAGACTAGCATTTCCATATGTTTCTTGGCAATACAACTCTTCCCCCCCCACACACAAAAACTCTACAAGGAACCCCTCCTTGTGCAATTGCTAAGTGTTACTCCTCTGTCAGGAGGGGCGCGATGGGAGATTCCAGCCTCACCTGCTGCTCTCCTCTTAGAGGAGACCTCTGGCCCCATGGAACCCAGTATGAAAATCCACTGACATAAGACAATGTCCCACACTTTATGTTGGAGGAAACTGAAGTTCAGGGAGATTGAGGGACTAGTCCAAGGTCACATAAGCAGTTGGTGACAGAACCAGCACCAAACTCCATCTGGCCTGAGCTCACAGCTAGAAGCCTGCCTGTAGCACATGCTGGGATGAAATATTCCCAGGATGAACTCTCATCATACTTTGTTACTACTAATGGCAATAAAAATATGTTCCTGCTTTTGATGATGCCATTGCAAAATGGTCACAGGATGGGTGATTTTAGCAAAAGAGAGTCCCATGCACATCTAAGGGAACAGCTTTTGGCCCTCACTCTCTCTGCCTCACCTCCCGTGCTCAGCCTGTTCTTGGCAAATGTGCTCCCAGATCCTGCCAGATGTGCTGCTTTCTGTGCACACTTCTGGGTGGTCGTCAGGAATAGCCCCAAGTGGAACCCTCTGCTTTGGCCCAGGCAGTCTGAGAATTTCCCACAGATAAAGAGCAAGGCCTCCCTGCCCTAGCGTCAGCTGAAGGCTGGGAACAGCTGCTGGTGTGGGTGTGCCCATGTTTTCTGCAGTGGCTGGCACGGCACCTTTGGTGGCTGTATGGGATGCAGGCTGTCTTCCTCCCTTAGCTTCTCCTCAACGGCCACTGCCCATGTGTGCCTGCTGCTCTGCGCTGTGCCTGCGGTCCTGTGGCAGCTGTCTGGCTGATTCTGAGTGTAAGCTCCTGGAGGGTGGGCCATGTGGGGGCCCCTGACTTTGCACAGCATCCAGGGCAGAGCCACAGGGTGCGGGTGCCCAGGAAGTGTTATTTGGAGGCAATGATGACTGTCACCTGGCATGCAGAACACACAGCTTGCTTCTTCTCATCTACAGCATGAATTTAATCAGAACCAAGGATGGGCAAATCAGCTTATGTTTGGGGTGAAATAAAAGAGTGCCATGGAAAAAACATTAGGCTGGAATGGAAGGAGATCGATTTCAGCATCAGCTTTCCCCTCTCTTTCTCTGACCTCTGACTCTCTAATTCGTGTTGCAAATATTGCATAGGACATACGTATGCCTGAAACAATTCTGTGTTGTTTATCTGAAGTTCAGGTTTAACCAGGTATCCTGCATGTCTTTACTAAGTCTAGCAGCCCTTCTCTATTTCCTGAAGCTGCCCCTTTCTTTTCACCCACACTCTCATTACCCTGTTTCAAGCTGAACTTAACCTTCATCCTTCTAGCTGCTTCTCAAACACTCAGAATAATTCCAATCCATTTTCTATTCTGCCATATTGCAAGTTGTGTTAAGATGAAATAATATTGTCATTTTCGGGTTCAGAATTTCTTCAGTGGCATCCAAAATGGAAATGCATGAGTACAACATACAGCATGGAGTTTGGCGTCTGCCTCCCTGTCCTGCAGAACCCCTGAGCACCTCCCTTTGCACTTTGTGCTCTTGTCTTTGAACTCATCTGTGGTTCTCCAAGCACACGAGGCTATCTCATGTTCCTGTCGGTGCCTCTGTCTGGAGCTCCGTCTGGTGCTTATCTGTGCAGCCAGCGTTCCTCAGGAAATATGCTTCTTCCACACACGCTTTTCTGATTCCATCCATGAACAGAGTTTGTACCCTTACACCTGTCTCCACTCCTGCAAGTGTAAGTCACATTGTTTTGCTTGCTTGCTTTTCTGTCCCTTTTCTCATTCAACAACAGCAAAGGTAAGCACAGTCTTATCTCTGTTTAAATGACAACAAAACAAGAGTTCCTGAGATTGATTGATTTTTTTAAAATGCGCTTCAAATTGGGATATGATGAGATATTTTGCCACAGGCTATATTATGGTTTGGCAGGTTAGCGACCAGTCCAAAGAACTGTTTTGTCATTCCTACCCTTCATAGATTTGAAATCCTCAAATGCACAGAGAACAAAACAAATTTTCTATCTGGTGAGCATGTCCCAAATCATAACAGCTGATTCCATGGGGAGGAGCTGGCGATAAGATCTCCCTGGGGCAGGGCAGAACATGGTTAAGAACATCATCCCTATGGGCCAAGCCTGGTGCCATGGCTTCATTCTGGAGACGCTCCGTGGAGGGCACTCAGGTGGCCAGAGATGATTAAAAAAAACAAAACAGGGCGGAATTCCTGTCCAGGGATGAAAAACACACCAGCCTCGCTCAGCACCCCCTGCAGGCAACTCCTGTCCTGATAACAGTGCCTCGCCCATTCTCAGTATTGCCTTCTCTTCCCCACATCCCTGCCTCAGCCCACTACTCACCTGGTTGAACATTCAGGATAGAGGGCCTATTATCATCACATGTTTCGAGGACCTTCCAGGTAGTTCTTGCTTCATGGTGTGATTTAGGGTTTCTAGCATGGCCATGTGGGGATGGCCCAGTTTTTATTTTCCTGAGTGGGCACTACAAAGCCTCACGCTGGCACTTACTGCACAAACAACTGGTCACTTAAACCTTCTGAGGATTCTCTTTCAGGGACTCATCGCGAAGATGGGGTCTGTACTGTGGACCTGTCTTGTAAGTTTGTTCTGAGGAGCAGAAACTATGTGATACCAAAGGCAGCTTAGCATAATATCTACTATGGAATTATTAGCAAAAAAAGCGACTTAAACCTCTGTGCTCCAGATGCATTCTGTGTGTGCATTCTTTTACATTTACTATAATTTGTTATGTACATTAATGTCCTTCATTCCTACCCCCACAACTTTGTATCTACTTTGAGGTTAATTTAGTCTGAGTCTGGCATGAGCTAAGTGTGCTTGTTGACTTGAATTAGTTTATAACCATAGCTTTCAAGGTCTTAATCAGAAAGAATGAGAAATTCCTGGAATTTCAGCTCTGGGAGAAGGCTACTGGAAGAAATGGGAGAAATCTTTGGGAAGGAAAAACAATTTTCAGTGGTTCTTAACTCATACCAGTAAGAAATCACAGCTACTGCTGAACCTGCTGCATAGCCACCTACAAAGTCCTCTAATCAATGACAAGATGGGAATGGGTTTCCCCCTGAAAATTTGGGACCCATCTATGTTTAATTTCTTCACCAGAATTCTAAGCCTACCCCTTTCCATCTGCTTTGGTTAGGACATGTTTACAAAGAACAGAGAGAAGTGGGAAATTTGAAACTGTTATGGAGTGGCTTTGCCATAATTTCCTCTGCTCCCCTTTCTGTTGGGGAATCTTTTGAAATATGAGAAAACTTAGTGGAAATACTTATCATGCAGGGATTTCTTAGGCAGGAACATAACCAATCCTGCCTCCAAGAAGCAGATCCCTCACCATCCTCCAGCATGGGGCTGCCGGCCATCCAGCACCAAGCTCACCAAGTAGCAGAAAAGCCCAGTGCTTCCGGCTTCCCTTTCTGGATGCAGCCTTGGACACTGTCTTCATTTTCCAGGTGGTATTTCCAGGGCCAAAGAGAATTTTCTGACACTCATTGTAAGTCACACATAAAATCCCTGCTTTCATCCCAAAGCACAGGCGCTGCGTTGCGGAGCCTGGTCCTTTCCTTTGCGCAGCTGACAGGAGGCTGCCACATGGCGGCGGCTGCAGAAGACTGTGGTGAGCCAGTCAGTGATGTTGGCGAAATATTGGAACTTTGCGTTGTGCCATTCTTTCATCAAGCTCTCAATCTATTGTCATTCTGGCCATGGGATTTGTTTGATCTTTGTGGTGGGTGAGTCTGAATTGATTGCTGATGATTCATTATTCAGTCTCTGGCCAGTTGGCAGCAGAAATCAAAGCCTTTTCACACTCATTTATAACGTCTAAGAGCCGAATAATCGTGTTCTGTGGGAGAGAAATTTACTCCTTCGTGTATTCAATCAAAACCTCTCTTGAGCATTCACTCTGGAGCAGGCCAGCTCCTTGGCATCTGGAACACAGCTCTGAGCAGGAAGCAGTTTCTGCCCCTGATGATGTTTCAGTGTCATGGGGAGGTGGACTCACGGGTATGATAGGTGTGCTAACTGCAAGAAGCCCATAAGCACGTGACATTCCATCTGCACCACTGAGGGCCACCTAGCCCTTTAATGCCTAAAGGCTTCTTTAAGAGGCTAGCTATGAGAAAGAGCACAGGTTAACTAGCCATGGCCATGTAGAACTCCAGACTTTCCCTGAGAAGAAGAATAGAGAAGCCAGAAAGACAGGATTATGGTATGAGTGTCAGCCCTAGAAAAGCAGAGGTTGACTATGCCTGGTTCTCTTCCTCACTGCATCTCCAGCATCTAATCTCAATTGTCCGTTAGCCTCATTAATGGTAGGGATCCCATATTTGTGAAATTGAACTGTTCGGAGACTCAGAGGTGTCACCAGCCCCAAGGATCTAGATAGCCCACTGTCATCCACTGTCATACACAGGCCATTGATGTCCCCACATAGATCCCCACAAGGGCATCACTTGAAGGATACAGTATCCAGCTCAAGCCTATGGTTTGGTTTTGATTATAGGTTAGTGATTCTCAAACGTTTTCATTTCAGGGCTCCATTATATTCTTAAAAATTATTGAGGATCCCAAAGATTTTCAGTTTTCATAGTTTATACCTATCAAAATTTATTATATAAGAAATTCAAATTGACAAATGTTTAAAACAGAAGAATACACAAGCACACATCCCATTTATTGTCAGAAAAATAATGCCATCATATGTCAGGGAGCTTCTGGAAAAGTCCACTGCACACATTAAAAAGTTGGACTAAAAGGGAATAGCAACACTTTAGTTTTATCATGGAAAAAGTTTTGTCCTCATGGACCAATTAAAAGTGTCTTGGAGATTCTCAGGGGTTCCTGGATTTTGCTCTGAGAACCACTGATGTAGACTAAGGCACCCACGCACACCAGGGCCAGCCCCAACAGGATTGGAGCCTCAGGCAGTGCAGTGGTGTTCCAGGCACACGTCATGGCCCTCCCCTCATGTCTTATTTCTGTCCTGGCTGCTCATCTCCCCAGCGATGTCAGGGTATATCCAGTCCATCACTTTTTAGTTTCCTTTGCCATTCTTACCTCTTCTTATCCATGATTTAAGGTTTGGCTTCTACAGTGTTGACCTCAGTCTCATAGATGAATTTCTATTACTGGCTTTATTGAGATACAATAGTATATTCATGGAGTTGTGTAACCATTACCACTATGTATTTTTAAGACATGTTCATTGCTCCCCAAAACACTCTGTGCCCACCAGCAGTATTCCGCATTCACCCTCCTCCAGTCCATGGCCATCACTAATCTACTTTCCTTCTCTATGGATGGGCTTGTTCAGAACTTTTATGCCTGGCTTCTTTCACTTAACATAATGTTGTCGAGGTTCATCTACATTGTAGTATGTATCAGTACTTCACTCTTTTTTAGGAAAGAATAATACATGTCCAATGACGTACCACATTTTGTTTTCCACTCATCAATTGATGAATACATGTGTTGTTTCCACTTTAGGGTTATTATGAATAATGCTGTTATGAGCATATGAACATTTATGTACAAGTTTCTGGGTAAACATATGTTTATATGTTTTCATTTCTTTTGGGTATATATCTACGAGTGGAATTGCTGGGTCATATGGTAACTCTAACATTTTAAAGAACTGAAAAAATGTTTTCCAAGGTGATTGCATCATTTTACATTCCTACCACCAGTGAATGAAGGTTTTGATTTTTCCATCCTCTATCATTGTCTATCTGGGTGATTATAGACATCTTAGTGAGTGTGGAGTGGTAACTCATTGTGGCTTTCACTAGCATTTGCCGAATGATGAATGATTTTGACCATAATCTTATATGCTTATTGGTCATTTGTATATCTTCTATGGAAAAAATATCTATTAGATCCTTTGCCTTTTAAGTATCTTATCAGATACATAATATGTAAATATTGTCTTCCATTTTGCAGGTTGTCTTTTTATCTTCTTGATGCTGTCCTTTGAGACATAAATGTCTTCAATTTTTCACAAAGTCCAACTCATCTATTTTTTCTTTTATTGCCTCTGTTTTTGGTGTCATATCTAAGAAACCACTGCCTAGCCCAAGCTTACAGAAACTTACTCCAATGATTTCTTCTAAAAGTTATATTGTTTTAGCTCTTACCTTTAGGTCTATTTTTAACTTGGCAGTAATATTTGTTTCTGGTATAACATGTGTGAATTAGGTGTCCATTTTAATTCTTTTGCATGTGTATATTAAGGTTTCACAGAACCATTTGTTATAATTACTATTCTTCCTTTATTTCTTAGATGAATTTTAAAAACTTTCTTCTCATGTATCAGCCTGAAATACCTTGATAACATCTCAAACTAGCCAAGCCTTCACTCTCTCCCCTTCAAGACCTGATCTTCCTCTTTAGAGTTTCTCTGTCTCTTCTGAGAGGGGATTGGACAGCCTTTTAGTTAGGATACACTGAAGAAATCCTTATGATCTTTAAGGAAGTTTGGGACACTCTGTATTGGCAGTGGTCCTGCAAATGTTCAGGCGTTGAGTGCCTGTGGAACTCCAAAGTCTGAAGAAACAAATTCTTGTTCTGCTGTAATCTGACTTTATAGATCAAGCACATTTTTCAATATTCACAGTCATATTGTGAAGATAGAATCTTTTAAATGAGAAAGTCGCTGCCACAGGGTTTCCCACATAGATAAAATTAATGCTTTTTAAAAATTTTCTTCTTCAATCATTTCAGTTTGAATATGTACCAAATGAGGAGTTGAAACACTATGAGACTCAACCTAGATTTGTCTCTATGAAATCAGTCAGTTCTGGTAGGGTGGGAATTTAGATACATTTGGAGAAGAAAATACATTAATTGTTGGAATTTATTGAGTGGTTATTATGATCCAGATAGGTTGCTAAAGATTTTTAGACATTTTTAATTTAATTTCTACAACTCCTTATGAAGTGACACTATAACTACCTCCACCTCTGCCAAGTGAGGACAATGCGGCTTTAGAGGAGGTATTAAGTTGCCAACAGTCCCAGTTTGAATAAGGCAGAGCTGAGACATGACCAGGAAGTTTGACTGAAAAGTTTGCATTTTTAATCATTGCACTAAACATTTCTAGGAAACCTGCTTACCCAATTTTTCTGTTTTTTATAGTTTCATATTTATACCAGAACATATCTTTGCTTTATGTGTTTTGTTTCGTTTTGTTGTGAATCCAGGGTAGTTCATTCAATAAATATCAATGCTAATCTTGTTTTGATTCATAATCAATTAAATCGAGAAAAAGAAAAAAAGTGCTGCAGGGGCACTTACTCTGAATGCCTGAGTCCATGTTCTTAGTTAGAAAAGAGATGCAAGGCTTATTTGAACTTGGGGCCACGGAACCCAGTAACAACATTTAAGGATGGGTGATCATCACTCAGTCCCTGCAGGGCCAGGACTGCAATTGTATAAGCTCCTTTTGGTTTTAATGGGAGAGAGCTGAGGTCTACTAACAACATAAAAGTCTCTTTGGACCCACAGATTAAAACCAACACAATTCTGGTTTTAATGCCTGCTTGACAAGCATTTAGAGCAATAGACTTTACAGAAGATTATAGGGTAAGAAGAGTGCCAAGACCCCTTCTAGCAGCTGGTGAAATTGTAACATACTTTTTTTTTTTTTTTTTTTTTTTTTTGAGATGGAGTCTTGTTCTGTCACCCAGGTTTGAGTGCAGTGGCGTGATCTCGGCTCACTGCAAGCTCTGCTTCCCAGGTTGACGCCATTCTCCTTCCTCAGCCTCCCGAGTAGCTGGGACTACAGGCGCCCACCACCACGCCCGGCTAATATTTTTGTATTTTTAGTAGAGACGGGGTTTCACCATGTTAGCCAGGATGGTCTGGATCTCCTCACCTCGTGATCCGCATACCTCAGCCTCCCAAAGTGCTGAGATTACAGGCGTGAGCCACTGCGCCCGGCCGAAACTGTAACGTTTTGTCAGGGGTAATGTCTGATAGCATCAGGGATCTCCACAGTGCTAACTTCTGAGAGGACCAATGAAGAGCTATTGAGGTCATTGAAAAGGTCAAAAGCCTTAGCAGTAGGGAGTCCAGTCTTCTGTTTCGCTTAATGGACTAGTGCCTTCATGAGGCAACTCTTGAAAAAGCCCCAGCCATGGAAAAGACAATAGGAGTGTCAACTGTTAGAAGAAGGGCTTCCTCATGAACCCGAGATGGAGGGACATCCAGGCTGTACGGACTCTTCGTGCCCACGTAACAGGTGCCAATGCAGAATGGGAGCATTCATACATCAAACCTGAGCGGGAAAGAGGTGGAGTGCCGATCATCAGGATATGGTAAGCTGTCCAGGCCCAGAGGGAAGTGCTTCTGAACATTCCTTCCGGAAAAATCCGCCAGCGAGAGCTAAAACGCAGACAGAGCTTTCTAACTGTTCATTTCATTATTATTTATCATAGTGAAAAAATGAACATTACCCCAATGTTATAGTAGTAGAACATTTGAATAAATTATAATTTCAACATATGATGGATATTATACAATTATTAAAGTGAGGATTGTAAGGGATTTATTAGTACTTCCTGATGACATGTTGAATGACAAAAGCATATTGTAAAGTTACATGTACGATATGATTAAAACTATACATGGACTTAATAAAAAATTGGGTAGCTCTAGTTATATGAAGAACATTTGAATTTTTAAAAAAACCTAGAAAACAGGCCAATAAAATAAATACTCAACATTTGAGTAAATATATAACACTGTTTCAAGAAAAGAAGGAATCATAGAGTGGACATAATGCCAGAGATAGATGAAATCTGAAAGTTGATCACTAATACATCCTAATTTTGGGAACAGAAACCGAAGCCAAAAGAGAAGTTATTTGCTGTTGATTAAGTTAGTGACAAAGCTGGAGTTAAAATGTGGTGCTCTTAAACCTTTTCTCTTCTCAACTTCTTGAAAGATTTTTTCACATTCACTGATGTGACTATTTCTCTTACTTCCTTCCCTCCTCCTCAACAATTCCAGATCCATCAAAGGCTCTGGAAAGGTTGAATTAAACCAAGAGACTTGAACTATGTCCAGCAACCTCACTATAATTCTACTCCATTCACTGCAGTTGAAGAAAATAAATAACATACAAAGGACTGAAGATAATGTTGTGATGTGGATATTCAATTATGCTGTAAATATTTAAATATTCATTTGGAGTATGAAAAATTTGTTATTAGTAAAAAATTATTTTATATTCACTCACCTTTACACAGATTTTATGGTTGAGAGCTATTAGGTCTCAAGGTCCGTTTCACCTAAAATCTGACTACTTTCTTAGAAGTAAGGAAAAGTGAATTTCTCAGAAGAGGAAAAGTAAATTTAAAAGACCCCTCATTAATGAGGCGAGCATTTCAATGAGCAGTATTCTGGTCTTGCCTTCCTGAGCTCTGATGGAAAGTTTCTATTTTAAAGGAGTGGCAGCCGTTCTTCTCATACTTCTGTCTAGCTCATCCAAGCAGAGTGGCAGAATAAGTGGGCGTTCATCAGCAGATCTTCTCATGAGAATGTTTAGAGCTTCTTATGGAAGTCAAGGATCTTCAGTAATACAAGACTAGCTCATTCTCTAGACATGTTTTTTACACTTCCAACTAAAAGTCACTGTCATGAATAAAAAGATCAATTATTGGAAAGGCATAACAATCCTAAAGGTATATGTACTTAGTAGAAGACCTTGAAAACACATGAGAAAAAAACTGATAGAAGTTAAAGGAGAAATACACAAGCCCGCAATCACAGGGAGAAGTTTTACAATATCTTTCTCAGTATTGTATACGACAAGTAGACCAAATGTGAATAGAGATATAGATTTCAATAAAACTATTAACCAAATTGATCTAATTAACATTATAGAACACTACATTTAAAAATAGCAGTATACATTATTTTCAAGTGCTCATTAATTATTTACCAAAATAGATCATATGTTGGGCCATGAAATCAGTCTTAAGAAATTTCAAAAGTCTGAAGTATTATAAATTATGTTATTTTACTATAACATTTGGATTAGAAATCAACAGCAATTTCATATATAGAAAAAACCCAAACATTGAGAAAATAAACACTTCAAAATAACTCCTAGGTCAAAGAAACATAAATTATAAGACAAATTAGAAAATATTTCAAAATATATTTTAAAAATATTTCAAAATAAAAACAAAGCATATAAAATATGGGAATGTGCCTAAAGTAGAGCTTAGAGGGAAATTTATACTCTACATGTTTCTATTGAAATGAAAATTTTAAGTCAATGGTCTAAGATTCCACAGCAAAAAAACAAAAACAAAACAAAACAAAAAAAACTAGAAAAAGAGAAATGGGGAACATTTTTAAAAATGAAAACTAGAAATTTATGAAATACTGAGCAACAATATAGCAAATTATCAAAGCCAAAACGTAGTTCTTTAAATAACTTAATAAATTAAGTAAAACTCTAGGTAAACTGGTCAGAAGTAAAAGAGAGAAAGCACAAATGCCAATATCCTGAATGAGCAAGAGGATACTATAGATTGCACAAAAATATAAATATAGATTGCACATTATAAAGCACTATTCATGAATGATATATCAATAAATTTATAATGGATAAATTTCTTGAAAACATGATTTACTAAAACTGACACTAGAAGAAATGGAAAATTGGAATAATTAATATACATAGGATAAGATGTATTTATAATTAAATACCTTCTGACAAGGAATACTGCAGATCCAGATATTTTTACTAGTAAATTCTATCAAACATATACAGAATAAATAATAAAACTCTTTAAAAAACTGAAAAAATTCTTAGAAAATTGAATTGATATTCTAACATTCACCAAGTCATTTTTGTGAGGCCATCGTGAACCTGATACCAAAAAATTACAATAACACTATAAGAAAAACTCAAATTATAAAAACAGATGCAAAAAAAGACAGTATCTATCTTTTTGTGACTGGCTTATTTCACTTAGCATAATGTCATTGAGGTTCATCCATGTCAGAGCATGTGATAGAATTTCCACCCTTTTTAAGGCTGAAAAATATTTCATTGTATGTGTATACCACATTTTTTTATTATTCATCTGTTATGGACGTTTGTATTGCTTCCATCTTTTAGTTATTGGGAATAATACTACTGTGAACATGAATGTGCAATTATCTCTTTGAGATCCTGCTTTCAATTCTTTCAGATTTCACCCAGAAGATGAATTACTGGATCATATGGGAATTATATTTTTAATTTTTTGAAGAATCTCCATCCTGTTTTCCATGGCAGCTGTACCATTTTACCTCACCAACATTGCACAAGGATTCCAATTTTTTCCATATCCTTGCCAACAGTTATTTTGTTTTTTTGATAGCTGCCACCTTATTGAATGTAAGGTGGTATTTCATTGTGGTTTTAATTTATATTTCTCTGATGATTAATGAAGTTAAATATATTTTCATATACTTATTGGACATTTATATGTCAACTTTAGAGAAATGTCTATTCAAGCCTTTTATCTATTTTTTAATTGGGTTATTTGGCTTTTGTAGGTGAGTTATAGGAGTTATTTATATATCACAGATATTAATCTTTTATCAGATGTATTATTCACAAATATTTTCTCCCATTCTGTAGGTTTTTTTTACTCTATTAATTGTGCTCTTTTATGCACAAAAGTTTTTCAGTTTGATGTAGTACCATTTATCTATTTTTGTTTTTGTTGTCTGTGCTTTTGGTGTCGCAGCCAAGAAATTATTGTCAAATTCAGTGTCATGAAGTTTTTCCCCTATGCTTCTAGGAGTTTTATAGTATTAGGTGTCAATTCATGTCTTCAGTCCATTTTGTTACTTTTAATATATGCTAAAAGATAAAGGTCCAGCTTCATTCTTTTGCATGTGGATATTAAATTTTTGCACCACTATTTCTTGAAGTGATTTTCCTTCCCATATTGAATGATCTTAGCACTTTTGTTGAAGATCTTTTGACCATATACACTACGGTTTATTTCTGGACTCAGTATTCTAGTCTGTTTGTCTGTCTGTCTATATGTCTGTGCCACTCTGTTTGATTACTGTGGCTTTATATGCTTTGCAATCAAAAGGTATGAGTCCTCTAGCTTTGTTCTTTTTCAAAAATATTTTTGCTATTTAGGATTCCTTGAGATTCCATATAAAATTCAAGATGAACTTTTTTCTATTTCAGCAAAAAAAAGTCATTGGGATTTTTATAAGGATTGTACTGAATCTGTAGATTGCTTTAGGTAGTGTCAACATACTAACAATATTAAGTCTTCCAGCTTATGACCATAGGATATATTTCCATTTATTTGTGTCTTTAACTTCTTTCAGCCATGTTTTGAGGTTTTTATTGTATAAGTCTTTCACTTTCTACGTAATGTTTATTCTCAAGTATTTTATTCTTTTTGATGCTATTGTACATGGGATTGTTTTCTTAATTTGCATGTAAGATTTTTCATTGTTAGTGTGTAAAAACACAACTTACTATTGTGTGTTAATTTTGTGTCCTGCAACCTTGCTAAGTTTATTTATTAGTTCTAACAGGCTTTTGTGGAATCTTTAGAGTTTTCTACATATAATGACAAACAGAAACAATTTTACTTCTTCCTTTCCAATTCAGATGCCTTTTATTTCTTTTTCTTGCCTAATTGCTCTGGCTAGGAGTGGTGAGAATGAGCCTCCTTGCCTTGTACTTGATCTGAGAGGGAACATTTCCCATCTTTCACCATTGAGTATGACGTTAGCTGTTGCCTTTCATACATGACTTTATTATGTTGAAGTAGCTTCTTTCTATTCCTACTTTGTTCAGAGTTTTTAATCATGCAAATGTGTTGAATCTTGTCACACTATTTTTTGCATCAATTGAAATGATTATGTAGTTTTTGTCCTGCATTCTATTAATGTGGTATATTATACTGACTGATTTTTATGTATTGAAACATCCTTGCATTCCAGGAATAAATCCTATTTGGTCATGTTGTAGCAACCTTTTAATGTACTGCTGAATTTGGTTTGTTAGTATTTTCCTGAGGATATTTGCATCAATATTCATAAGGGGCATTGGTCTGTAGTTTTCTTTTCTTGTACTGTCTTTGTCTGGCTTTGGTATCAGGGTCGTGTTCGCCTCATAGAATGAGCTTAGAAGTGTTCTTTGTCTTCAATTTTTTGAAAGAGCTTCAGGAGAATTAATGTTAGTTCTTTAAATGTTTGGTAGACTTCTTCAGTAAAGCCACCCTGTCCTGACCTTTCCTTTGCTGAGAGTATTTATTAGTGGTTCAATCTCCTTACTTTTTCTTGGTCTATTCAGATTTTTTATTTCTTTATAATTCAATTTTGGTAGATTGTGTTTCTAGGAATTTTATCTATTCCTTCTAGGTTTTCCAAACTGTTCACAGTATCCTATTATAGTCCTTTTTATTTCTAGGGTGTTGGTTATGATGTCCTCCTTTCATTTATGATTTTAGTTATTTGAGTTTTCTTTCTTTTTTTCTTAATCTTGCTAAGGATATATCAATTTTGTTGGTCTTTTTCAAAAACCGACCCTTCGTTTGTTTATTTTTTACATTGCATTTCTATTCTCTATTCCATTTTTCTCTGATCTAATCTTATGATTTTCTTCCTTCTGTTAGCTGTGGATTTTGTTTGTCCTATTTCTAGTTTCTTGAGGTGTAAATTTAGATTGCTGATTAAAGATTCTTTTTCTTTTTTAATGTATGCATCATAGCTATAAACTTCTTTCTTAGCACTACTTTCACTGGAACCCATAAGTTTCAGTATATTGTGTTTTTATTTTTATTTGTCTAAAGGTGTTTTAAAAATTCCCATGTAACTTCTCATTGACCCATTGTTTATTTAAGATTGCATTGTTTACATATTATGGATTTTGTAGTTTTCCTTGTGCTAGTGATTTGGTTTCATTCCATCAAGATCAGAAAAGATTCTTCATATAAATTCAATCTTCTTGAATTTTAAGTCTTGTTTAGTGGCCTAATATGTGATCTACCCCAAAGAATTGGTCCATGTATGTTCAGGGAGAAAGACTATTCTGCTGCTTGTGGTGGTCTTTCAAGGTCCAATTGACCTGTGGTGTTGTTCAAGGTCTCTATTCCCTTATTAATCTTCTGTCTGCTTGTCCTACCCATTATTTAAAGTTAAGTATTGAAGTCTCCTACTATTATTGTATTCTTGTCTATTTCTCCCTTCAATTCTGACAAAGTTTGCTTTGTATATCTAGGAGTTTGAAGGTGTTGGATAACTAATTATAATGGTTGTATCTTCTTGGTGAATTGACCCTTTTATTATTGTATAACATCTTTTGTCATCTTTTTTTTTTTTTTTTGAGATGGAGTTTGGCTCTTGTCACCCAGGCTGGAGTGCAATGTCACAGTGTCGGCTCACTGCAACCTCTGCCTCCTGGGCTCCAGTGATTCTCCTGCCTCAGCCTCCTGAGTAGCTGGGATTACAGGTACCTGCCACCACACCCAGCTAATTTTTGTATTTTTAGTATAAAAGGGGTTTCACTATGTTGGGCAGGCTAGTCTCAAACTCCTGACCTCAGGTGATCTGCCCGCCTCAGCCTCCCAAAGTGCTGGGATTACACGCATGAGCCCCTGCACCTGGCCTTTTGTCATCTTTTGTAGCAGTTTCTAATTTAAAGTCTGTTTTCTCTGATATTAATATAGTCACTTCTGCTTCTGTTTTGTTACTTTTCCAATATCTGTTTCCATCCTTTTACTTTCAGCTGATGTGTATCCTTAAATGTGTAAGTTTTTTGTAAACAGTATATAGTTAGATGGTGTTTTGCTTAGTTTTGTTGTTTTCCATTCAGCTAACGAATCTGTGCCTTTTCTTCAGGGAGTTTAATACATTTATATTTAAAGTAATTGTTGACTGGAAAAGACTTGCTATTGCCATGTTGTTAATTCTTTTCTGTACATTTCCTACCTTTCTTGCCCCTCCTTTCCTCTCGTACTCCTTTCCTTTGTGCTTCATTGATATTTTTGTAGTGATATGCTTGATTCCCTTCTAACCTCCTTTTGTATATATTCTATAGGCTTTTTGTAGTTACCACTGAAGTTGTATCATGCTATTTTAAATTGATAACAACCTAACTTCAACTGCATATGAAAACTCAATTTCTTTACTCAATTGTATTTTTATCTACAAAAAAAGAAAATAAAATTTAAAATATTCAATTTATAATATCATAAAAACATAAGTTTATAGTAATAAACAATAAAAGACATGTAATCACTCTTTACTAAAAGCTATAAAACATTACTGAGAGATATTTTAAAATGATCAAAATTGAGAGAAAAATATTTCATACTTATGGATTGCTATGTAGTTATACTGGCTTCTGAGTTTTATCTATTACTCAGCATATTCCCAACCAAAATCTTAGTAAGCTGTTTCATAGAAATTGACAAGCTGATTCAATTTATACGTAAATGCAAAGTACTTTAAAAAGCCAAAACAGTTTTAAAATAAAGAGCAAACTTGGAGGATGTACCGTATCTGATATCAGTATTATTTACTAGATAGCTTTAGTAATCAAAATAATGAGTTAAGGATAGACGGATTTCTCAAAGTCAAGTCAACTAATTCACCCTCACATGTTTACTGCGTAGATTTTCAACAAAAGCAACAAGGCAATTCAGTGAAGGATACTAAAGTATTTTTGTCAAATGGTGCTGGGATACATAATTAGGTAAAAAATTAACTTGACTTATGCCTCACACCAATTATGATTATATAATGATTATATAATCATTCTATATAATTATATAATGACATAGAATATAACATTTCCAGAAAAATTGTTTTTTAAAAAAAGAATCTATGTAACCTTTCAGGGAGGCAAAGATTTCCTAGACAGAGCATAAGAGCATTAGCCACAAAAGAAAAAAAAAGGATAACTTAGACTTCATAAAAATTAAAAACATTGGCTTATCAAAAGGCTATTAGAGGCTGGGCGTGGTGGCTCACACCTGTAATCCCAGCACTTTGGGAGGCCGAGGTGGGCTGATCACTTGAGGTCAGGAGTTCAAGACCAGCCAGGCTAACATGGTGAAACCCTGTCTCTACTAAAAATTCAAAAACTTAGTTTGGCATAGTGGGGTGCACCTGTAATCCCAGCTACTAGGGAGGCTGAGGCATGAGAATGGCTTGAACCTGGGAGGTGGAGGTTGCAGTGAGCTGAGATTGTGCCACAGTACTTTAGCCTGGAGTTTTTTAGACTCCGAAAAAAAAAAAAAAAAAAAAAACTACTGGGAAGATGAAAATTAGTCACAGAATAAAAAAATATAACGGACATAGGACTTGTATCCAGAATATGTATAGAATTTCTACAAATCAAAAATAAAAATAAAAATAAAAAAACAAGCAAGCCCAGTTAAAACTGGCTAAGCTGTGTGAACAGATACTTCTCATGGAGATACATGTAAATGGACAACAGACACAGGAGAAAAGGGGCTTGCTACTCTTGGCCCTCAAGGAAATGCCAACTAAAACCACAGTAAGAGCACATAAGACTCACACTTTCTACACGGTCAAATCTACATGGCCAAAACATCAAGTCAAAATATAGGAACGAACAGACAGAAATGTATCTTAAAAATGAAATACCAGCTCACATATTCTAGAACAACTAAAACTACAAAGATTGACAATAAGATCTTGAACACCTGGCACTTTAAATTTTTACTAACCCGAACCCAACTTCAATTTCATATGAAAGCTCTTCTTCTTCACTGAATTGTACTTTTATCTATAAAAATCAAAGACATTGGAAAATAAATTTTAAATATCACATTTATAATATCAAAAACATCAAGTTTATGGTGATAAAGTTAATAAAAGATATGCAACCACGCTATACTGAAACCACAAAACACTGCTGATAGATACTTGAAAATGATTTATACTGAAAGATTAAAATGTTAAAAAAAAACCTTTGGAAAATTGCGTGGCACTTATTTATAATCCATCAATTTCACTCCTAGACATTTATCCAGAAGGAATGTAAACAAAAAAATTGAAATAAAAATATTAATAGCATGTTTATTATAACCTCAAATTTGGAAAAACCAAAATGTCTACAAACAGAAGGACTGATAAACAGTTATTAGTACATGTATACAATGAAATACTACTCAACGATTAAAAAAAAAAGAATTGCTGGTATTTGCACCAATATGGATGAATCTCAAAAACTTTATCATGTGAACAAGGCCAGGTACAAAAAGTACACCCATATGATTCCATTTATGTATAATTCAAGAACAGACAAAACTAATTTCTCTGATTATAAAAGTCAGAACAGCGAGAAGTGAGGAAATGGACTGGTAGAAGTCTTGGAAACTTTCTAGATCTGGATTGGGGTGATGGTTACACAGGTATACATACAGGTACTTGAAGTTAGAATTTAGTTAAAATTAAGATCAGGGCCAGGCGCGGTGGCTCACACCTGTAATCCCGGCAATTTGGGAGGCCGAGGCAGGCGGATCACAAGGTCAGGAGTTCAAGACCAGCCTGGCCAACATGGTGAAACCCTGTCTCTACTAAAAATACAAAAAACAAAAAAAATTTATCTGGGCATGGTGACACGCACCTGTAATCCCAGCTACTCAGGAGGCTGAGGCAGGAGAATTGCCTGAATCTGGGAGGTAGAGGTTGCAGTGAGCCAAGATCGTGTCATTGCACTCCAGCCTGGGTGACAGAGCAAGACTCCGTCTCCGGGAATAAAAAAAAAATAAGATCAGTGTATTTACTTTAGGTTTACTTGAAGTTTTTATACATATAAAATCATCATCTTCAACTTTTACATTCTGACCTTCCTGTAAACTGCACACAAGTCTGGCACTGGTTTTTCACTGAATACCCAAAGGGTGCTCTCTTTCTCCACAAAATGGAGTCATCATGCCTTGGAGACGGCACTGACTCTGACGTCCAATCTGGGTCTAGTTTTGTCTCTGTCACTTACTCACTGTGGGAATTAGGGTGGTGACTTAAGCTCTCTGAAAGTAATTTACTTCATTGTCAAGCAATAAAAAGTAACTTTTAACTCATAGCACTGTTGAAAGAATTAAATTTTTTGAAAAAAATAGAAGTACAGTGTTAATCTCATTTAGGCACAAACAGTAAATTTAATTCTATTCCCTGTGTATGCCCAGAAATATGTTAGAGAAAAACTGTTCTTGATCATTATTATTATTATTATTATTATTATTATTATTATTATTATTATTTTGAGATGGAGTCTCACTCACTCTGCCACCCAGGCTGGAGTGCCGTGGCAAGATCTTGGCTCACTGCAACCTCCACCTTCTGGGTTCAAGTGATCCTCCCACCTCAGCCTCCCGAGTAGCTGGGATTACAGGAATGTCCACCACACCCAGCTAATTATTTTTGTATTTTTAGTAGAAATGGGGTTTAGTCATGGTGGCCAGACTGGCTCAAACTCCTGACCTCAAGTGATCAACCCACCTCGGCCTCCCAAAGTGCTGGGATTACAGGCATGAGACAACAAGACCAGCTGAGAAAAACCTGTTCTTTAGAAACGGGCTTAGTGAGCTATGAGTTTTTAAAGGATTCTCTATTTACTCATCCAGAAAGTTTTCTCATTTTTCCACCCATATTTGCATTACTTAGCACATGTGCACAATTCCATTTTCACAATTGCTTGGTCTCTTGCAGGAAAGAGAACTCTGCAGGCTTCACAGCCTGTGCCTTCCTGTTATCACTCCTCACCTCCTCTTCCGATAACAAATACCAACTGATCCAAATGGGTAGACTGCGTTGTCAGGGAGCTCGTTCAGAACATAACGTGGTCTCCACACAGACATGAGTTCGTTTTCTTTGTATAGTTTATCTAACCAAGCAATGAGGAAACAGAAAAACATGGACTGCTAATTGATAAAATAGAAAAGATCAAACACATGTCAGAGAGCAGAGCAAATCTTCCCTTCAACTGTAGATGTTCCTAATTTGGAAACATCTGAAAATGGTTTACTTGTGAGATGTTCAAGTTCAGGAATGGAATATGGGCCTTTTCTAAAAACACTGTATCTGTATTGTGGTTTACAATGTAGGCATGTTATGAAGACTCTCTAAGAAGTTCTAGGAAGAAGAAAAGGCCATCTGGCCCATCAGCCTCCACTCTCTGTTCTAGTTTAATTTTACCCGCCTGCATTTTCGCTCTGCCCTTTAATCCCTTCCTTGTCCAGAAAAGGACTGAGGTGGTTATTGAAGTGATTTATTCTGTTGCCTTCAACAGCCTAGTCTGGTAACCTTTTCCATATGTTTCGTAGCCTTCCCTTTAAAATAAAAAAGGTGCCTACCTTCCTTCAGCATTTCTATAGGTTCAATATGTCAGTTTTACTCTTTAGTCTTTTAACTCTTTCCCAATAAAAGATATTGAATTTCTTACTATTTGGTTTAGTTTCTACAATATGTAGAAACTACAAAATGTAGTTTTGAAATGAAACTGAAATATGTAGAAACTACAAAATGTAGGAACTAAACCAAATAGATAGAAATTCAATATTCTTATTGGGAAACAGTTAGAAGACTAAAGAGTATTCCTGATTTCTTTTTAATTTCTTCTGTGGCAGATTGTTAAGGTCTTTCAAAATATTCTTATAGCTTGATAAAATTTTCTCACACTCGGTTTTCCTGAATTGGAAAGTTTTGCCATGTCATACACAACCAAAGAGAAAAATGACCACTTATATTAGTTAGGATAAAGCAACAAACTGCAGTAACAATGCTACAGTTAAAAACAATCTGACATTTTCAATTCATTAGTGCAACACTAGACTATTTTCTTGCTCACCTATGCATCCAGTGTGGGTCGTGGCTGAGCTCTGCTCATGGTAGTCACTCGGGATCCCAGGCTGGTAGGGGCTCCATCGTGGGGATGCGTGCTTTTGTGATCACTCCATCAGTGGAATGGAAATATGGTGGATGCACGCTAGGTCTTAATTCTTCTCCTTGGAAGTGACACATTTCACTTTTGCTTACATTTTCTTGGCCACATCAATAAATATTGCCACCTAATATTGAGGGGGTAGAGAATTACATTCCTTATATGCAAGGAAGGGGATATTATGAGAAGATTTGGTACAGCTGTAATGACCACCATATAAAGTGACATTGACTATATGGACCAGATCACAGTTGATGCTGCTGGTTTCAGGGAAATGGCAGTGCCTAGCTGGGACTAAAATTCTTCATGGTAGAGTAAGGATGGGGCTAAGAAGTGGGCTTTACTATTGAAAGGGCATAGCTAGACTTCCAAATACTTCAACTAGAGAACTGATATCTCTGCCACCCCAATGTACTTCCTGTTTTCCCACAGATTGTTTCTGGCCCTAGATCTGTAGGCATGGCTGTTAATCTAGAAGGATATCCAGGGCTAGCACCTGAGTGAACGGAGGGAAAGAGGAAGGAGGTGACCAGAAACAGCCCGAACAACAGGCAGAATAAAAACAGGTCAGGAACAAGACCCTCTGCCTCATGTCAGGATTAGCCAAATCCACATAAGAACACAGCTCCCATTAAGACTCTGACTCCCAGCCTCTGCTGCTTATATTTCTAGGGGACTTTCAAGCTTTTAAAACACATTCACATAGACCATTCATTCAATGAAACTTAATGAATGCTGCAGAAAATAGTAATGTCCTGTCCTGGGAAAATAAAATGTTTTCTCTGCCTATGAGATGCAACCAAGTGGCCCTGTGGTTGAGAATGAGATACAAACAAATAAACCATCCATGAAAACATAACCAGTGCAGCAGTGGCATGCAGGGAATCCTACTAAGGTTGTTAAGTCAGATATCTCATATAATGGGAGTTAGAGGAGATTTTTTGAAAGTTTTGAAATAGCATGGGGAAGACGCCTACCAGAAAAAGAAAAGGACTATGCTAGGGAACCAGACTGAGCAACGAGCATTTCCGAAGACTCAGATGCATGAGGACATGTGACTGCAAGGCAGTTGGTAAGAAGGAAAGAATTTGAGACTTGTTACAACACAGTAAGGTTGGAACATGAATGCTGAGTTTAACATGGGACCATGTGCTCTTAGAAATGAAGCATTATACAGCTTGGAGAGGTGTCACTAGCACTATCTATTGACATTCACTCTTCCTGTCTCTGAAAAATCCCTAACATTTTGTATGCTCTTGGCCTTTCCTATAATTGCCAGGCAATCACTACAGGATACAGAGCCGTTTATGATGGCGTCAAAGTTTCTCACATATCTCCCTAAATACATACTGCTCCCCAACTCTTCTGATTCAACTCTTTTCTTGAAGGAAACTTGAGTATTTATTCATTTATTTATTTTTTGAGACGGAGTCTTGCTCTGTCTTCAAGGCTGGAGTGCAGTGGTGCGATCTCGACTCACTTCAAGGTACACCTCCCGGGTTCACGACATTCTCCTGCCTCAGCCTCCCAAGTAGCTGGGACTACACGCGCCCTCCACCACACCCGGCTAATTTTTGTATTTTTAGTAGAGACGGGGTTTCACCGTGTTAGCCAAGATGGTCTCAGTCTCCTGGGCTTGTGATCTGTCCGCTTTGGGCTCCCAAAGTGCTGGGATTACAGGCGTGAGCCACTGTGCCCCGCGAGTACTTTTTAAATGTACATTTTCATAATGAACATGATAGTCTACCCCTGTTTCTTGTAGCAGGACCAGCACTATGATTTTCATAATATCAATCAACCAGGTGGGTCAAAACTATTTCCAGAATCCAATGTAAATGCCAAAAGGAAAATAAGCTAGGGCAAGACAGCACATCTTACCAAGCACTTTCACATCGCAGGAGAGGGCTTGTTGGCTGAGAATGTCTGTGATGGGGAGCGTGTGCTCATTAGCCCAAGGCTATTGTCAAGTCCGTGGTACATTTCTCATTGACTGCTGGTGTAGCTGACCCTCAAAGTGCGAAGAACTGCATCAAAGTTGATTAGTATGATACAAGACACATCAATATAATTTGGCACAGGTTATAGCATGTCACCAATTATTTTTCTGAAAGAAGCTTCAAACTCCTTATCATGGCATTGAAAATTTCTGAATTCTGCGTCTACCAACATGTCCAGTTTCCACAGCGATGCACATTACACTCTGGCTGTAGTGGATGGCTGCCAGTTTTCCAGGCGCAGCAGTTGCTTTTAGCCCTCTGTGATTTTTTTTTTTTTAAGCTCTTTTCTCAGCACAGAACACAATATCATTTTCTGCCCATCATAAATCCCTCTGTTTGAAGCTCCAGGGTGAATGACATCTCTACCATAATAACTATTTTGTTCACTGTAGTCAGGACGCATCATATCTTTCCTCTCACTTGTACCTCTATTACAGAACTTATTGAATTTTTGCTTGTTTTGATGGTAGAGGATACAGTCTAGCCCCACTGAAGACCAGAACTATTTCAAAGATCTGTTTACTTAAGGACAACCTGTTACTGTCCCACTTGTACACACACCAAATCTTGGTGGAAAAGAATGATCTTCCCCAAGAGAAACTAACCGAAAGAGGTAGACTCTTCTTGCATGGAAGCAGAGCAGCACTGCAGCTGAGGGCCCTGGTTCTCTGCAGTGGTGGGGTGTGGAGGGAGCCATTGCTAACTGTTACATCGTGTTACTGCCAAGTGGCACATGGAACCCATGGAAGAGAAACTGAACTGTGTCTTCAGATTTAGGTACGTTAGAAGGGATGGAATTGCAGGAGGGATTTTGCAATGGGCTGTGAAAGGAACAAGAGGATTTCTAAGAGGAAAAATTAAATTCCATTTATCCCACTTTAAGTATGGCTGGAATTTGACCAGTGTTGATACTAAGCAAGAGACCCAGGGAAAAAAATGGAAATGGAGTTCTACTCTAGAATGAAACCTACTTCTTGAATTCACTGTCCCCTTAATCCTCCTGAAGGTATCTCTAACACTCAGAGGGGACATAGATGCAGTAAACGGAAGGAAACACCACACTGAGGTCCAAGCAGTTCCTTTGTGGGAGCCTCCCTTTCTCCTCTTCTTTCTTCTCCACAGGCCAGGACTCAAGACCAGAAGGCTGTTTTCCCACAGGACAGAGAAGAGGCAAGCATGAAAGTTAAGAGTGAACAAATACCACCACATGAGTGGATGGGGCAGAGCACAGGTGGGTCATGAGATATGCTCCAGTAACACCCACATCAGAAAGTGATGCTGGAGAAAGGCAAGGGTGGCTGCCACAGCAAGCGTGTGGGCTGCACTGTGACGTGGGGGTGAGACAGTATCATCATTAGGGTACTCCCATGGCGTCATAAGAAAGAGGGAAGCAAAACTGATATTCTGCAATTTGGCAGGCAGGTAGGAGCTGGGGGTTGAGTGGCTATTGAACCAATGGACCTGGATGCAAACTGTTAAAATGACCTTAGCAAGGCTCCTCACACTGGCAGGGCTGTGGAGACATTTGGGTTGCCTGAGTGCTATTTGCGGTATGTTTCATGAGTTTCCCTGACTTACGATGAGCCTGTTTGTATATACACTATCTGTGCTTCTTCTTTTAGTCTTTCACAATGGTCTTTCAGGTAGGCCCTAAATAGAAATCTGCATTTTTATGTAAAATAGTAGCAGAAGATAATGGAGTTCTAAACCACATAGATAACATTTCCATTTCAATCAAGAGTTTTTAAAATCTAATTTTAGATGAATTTTAATTTCTCATTGATTTCTTTAGATCACATTTAGGGCATTTATGTCATGACAAAGGCTCCATTATAATGACTTTTCTTATTTTTGTAGCCCCATCTAGGGCTCTAGAGCCCTCGGCAGCCTGGGTTTTTAGATAGTAATGACCTGTGTTTAGCTTACACATATGTAGCCTCTGTTATTCAAATTGTAGTTGAATATCCAGAGGGCATTGATAGAAATCTCTCCCTCTCACTTCTTTTATTTTTCCTCTTAAAAAATTTTGAATGTTACATTACAAATAAATTAATAAATATCAGATGTTTCATCACTTTTGTCCCTTTTACCAATTTTCTGTGATTTATGTCAGCCATGCATTGACCTCAACTCATTTTAAAAATAAGGGACATACCTGACTCCCACTGTATTTCATTTCAGAAATGAGTATTTTTCTCACTTTATTATAACTTCATTATTATTTGAAAATTATGTTGCATTTGGTTAAACTGTTTCCTTTCATCCAGTGGCCTTAGAAACACTTTGCTTTCTTTCAGAAAATAATTGATAAGAGAAACTTTGCTCTATTTCTCTTCCCAATCATTTTCTGAAATAAAACTATTTAAAAGTCATTGTGGTTCATTAGGGTCATAATAAATACTCTTGGGCCATATCTTGCCTTTCTAGTTGTTTCCATAGTGAAGAAAATAACTTGTTTCTTGGTATTAAAAAACAAACAAAAACAAGCCAATGGATACAGGAACATTGCCGTGAAAATAATGTATTTTACAATAACTGTAATTATGTTATTTTTTCTTGCCAAATTGGCCTTACTCGAAAAATTAAAAAGCTTAAATATCAGGATTACAATAACTCTATATTTCTAAAACTATGAATAATAAATTTTGACAAAATTTCTCTCTGTGTAAATAAGAACTTTCACTCATTGTGATTGTATTTTGGCCATTTGTTCTTTATTTCCTAGAGTTTAAAATCAAATCGATTTATTTTAATGATGATAATATTGAATGGTTGATCAGAGAACAAGATGTAGAGTTTTGACTTTTGTGGTCTCTAGTTATAATTTCTGTGTTATTTTTGACAGTATTGTTTTATAAAGACCACCCCAAAGAGTTCTTCAATTCCCTCTTCACAAAATAAATAAAAGGCACTGGAATTTGTGTTTTAAAAATTTGAGATAAATCACACATCCATACAATATTCTGTATTCACTAAAATCTCCATTAATTAAAGTTTTGATAATGGAAGTTTTATTTCCACTTCTTGAAATGTCTACTGAATTCAGATATAAATAAAATCCTGTTTTGATACTCACTGATAACATTTCTAAAGGTATTAGAATATGTTACCTTGTGAATAGTCTTTTGATCAAAGTGCAATGTCTGTTTGACGTTTAAGTTCTTATATAGCCCAGTAATAAGTAGAAATACCAAATATGAGTAAAATTTTTTATCCTGGAAGCTTATTTGTATGTATATTTGACTTGAGGAATGTCACAGAAATTGTTCAGATTAAAACAAAGAACCTGAATTACCAATGCTAGTTAGTTTTGCTCTTTCTTTCATTCATTTGATAATATATTATTCTTGCAGTATCTGCTAAAGATCTGGAGACATGGAAGTAAGCAAAACTGATCAGGTTTCTGCTTCCATTCACTTTACCATCTGGTGAATCATCGTTTGTCAATCTTTTTAAACCAGAGGCTGTTTAAAAAACACACTCATGCCATGCCACCCAAGTGTCTGTTCATTTGAGGGTGCTAAATAAAATAAAGATGAATTTATTTAGAAGTTAGACTTTAAAATTCACATTTTTTAAAACTTTTTGAATGTCAACTACATGCTAGCCAGTGCCTAAATACTGGCATGTGTGTGATAAGGAAAAAAGAAATGTGAGTTTACACAATGGCAAAAAGTTGGGTGAGACTACATTTTTGTCCTAAGGTACTTCCAGCTAGTGAGGGAAATACACCAAAAGTAGGAAGTAATGACGGAATCTGCGACTCATGAAGAGAAAGCTATAGAGTAGTTCAGAGAAGGGGTTTAGGCACAACTTCTGAGAGGCAGTGTATACGGTTAGGAGAACAGGGCTAAATCAGATACACCTAGCCTGGAATTACTTCCTGGATGGGCACCATGGAGCAAATTACTTAACTGTAACTTCTTATCCTGTAAAATGAAAGTAATAATATCTGCCTCATTAGGATTGTTGAGAGGATTAGATTTGATACGCTGTTTTTTGGTTTTTGTTTTTTTTTTTTTTTGAGACAGAGTCTCACTCTGTCACCCAGGCTGGAGTGTAGTGGTGTGATCTTGGCTCATTACAATTTCCACCTCCAGGATTCAAGCGATTCCCATGCCTCGACCTCGCAAGTACCTGGGATTTCAGGTGCGCATCACCACACCTAGCTAATTTTTGTGTTTTTAGCAGGGATGGGTTTTTGCCATGTTGGCCAGGCTAGTCTCGAACTCCTGGCCTCAAGAGATCTGCCCACCTCGGCCTCACAAAGTGCTGGAATTACAGGCACTAAATTAGTTTTTAACGTAGCAAATTGACTGGCACTGAATAAATGTTAGCCAGCATCAACATCATCATCATTGTCACCAGCATCACTATTATTACCATCGCCATCATCAACCTTACTCATATTTTGAAGGATATGTAGGAGTTGGCTTTCCTGAGAGAAAGGAAGAGCCATCAAGGGACTTACAGCTGTAGAATGACAGGACCTGATTGAGAAAGTGCTAATAACCAATATCTAATGCAGATTGAGTTGGTTTTGTCCACTGTCAACCTGCACCTCCTCACACTGTCCTCACTTGCCTTTTCCTCGTAGACTTTTGCTTAAACTCTTCTCCCAAGCAGCTCAGGGGCCCTACTGGGAGGCACATCCCTGCCTGCATTCATCAGCTCACCTTTCTTAGCAGCTCATTAGCCCCAAGGCTTTATTGTTTAAAAATCTCATAACCTAAGGATCTGTTCCCTGACTCCTGGATTAAAACAAATAATAGCTTTTACAAAAGGAAAATAAATAATGGATCTGAAAATGCAAATAGCATACATACAACTCCATCTGTACATGTGATCACGTGTAGTCCTCACAATGCCTGAATCAATGTTCCATCAACCCCACGTTGTGGACAAAGAAACTGAGACTCCAAGAAGCTCAGGGGCAGCAAATGGCAGAGCGAGGCCCTTAACTTGGGCAGAATGAACACCACCTACTGGCTTTTTGCACTGTGTTCTCTTATCATAAACATACAAGAAATCTGAATGCCTTCCTTGCTTTCACTCCACATTCCTATTCCAGCACACTGACCACAGTCACCTTTACTCTTTCTCCTTCCTCTAGTTCATTCTGCAGACTGAGAAGTGTTCTAGATTCTTCCCCAGAGAAGCCTCTCATGGTGAAGAAGGAGAACTCACATTGCACAGGTGGTGAAATACTTGGGTGTGGCACAGGTGGTGGAGTGCCAGTGTGTGGCACAGGTGTTGGAATACCCGGGTGTGGCACAGGTGTTGGAATACCCAGGTGTGGCACAGGTGGTGGAGTGCCCGGGTGTGGCACAGGTGTTGGAATGCCCAGGTGTGGCACAGGTGGTGGAGTGCCCGGGTGTCGCACAGGTGGTGGAGTGCCCGGGTGTGGCACAGGTGTTGGAATGCCCAGGTGTGGCACAGGTGGTGGAGTGCCCGGGTGTCGCACAGGTGGTGGAGTACCCGGGTGTCACACAGGTGGTGGAATATCTGGATATCAGGGTGCTTTTTGTGTGACATCATAGATGATTTTTTTTGTTGCTTTTTAAAAAACTTTTAATTAAAGCATAAAATAGATTAAAGAAAAGCAAACAAGCCATAGCCATGAGCTATCCACAGAGGACACCAGCCCTGCACCCAGAAACAGACCATCACCTGCACCTGAGCAGGCCATCCAGGCCCTCCCTGGCACCTTCTCCTGCCAATACCAGAGTGTTTGATATGTCATTGTTAGATATATTTTGACATTAAATCAGACACAACTAATGTGATGTAACCCATTTTATCCACATGGAAACAATGAACAAAACTGTAAAAAAAAAATCATAAAAAGAACAACTTCAATGTAAAACTCATTATGAAAAAACTTGATTTTCCTGGAGAATGTAGGAAAGACTGCCACTGCCTGAGTGGCTCGGATCCACCTGGGGACAGCTCCCGACCAAAGGGCTTCTGCAGCAGCCTTTGGAAGAGCCTGAGCACCAGCACTATGGTGCGGGTCTCCACGCTGGGACAGCGCCTGTGCACCCTCCACGAATCCCCCAGCCCAGGGCCGCACTGCCAGCACTGTCGCTGTGAGGGGGACTTCTGACCCCTGTGGTTGCGAGAGCACAGCCCCCTTTGTCCCAGGAAGAAATTCCCACTGCATTCTTCTACATTTCCCACCAAGATGTGGCAAAAAATGCCATGACACCTGGGCGCTTTCTCCCAGGCGGTCCCTGTGTCACTCTCTCCCGGGCAACACCCACATCTCCCGGTGTCCTTGTGAGGTCATTTTCCTGCTCTCTTACACAGACATGCACACACACCACACATACACGCACACACACACCCATACCACACACACACCACTGCATGCAAAATATCCCGCACACACTGCACATCTCACATCTCACGTAGACACACAGTGCACACACACTACACATGCTCCACACACACCAAACATCCCCCACAACACACATATCCCACACACCTCACACTTAAAACTCCTCTCACAACACCCCCAACACATTACATATACTTCACCACACACGCACCATGTACAACTCACACACTACATACACCATAGAGACTTCATACATGCCACACACAAACACACAGAGACAAACCCTACATTGTACACACATACCACATGCACCACACACACACGCAGACATTCACACACACATGCACACACACACACATCCCCACATTCACACACAGGCACACATTCACACACACACATTACACTTTGTCTGAAGGGTTTGCTTCAGGCATTCTGGGCACCCCAGTTCAGAAGAATTATGTTCTCTAGCAAATGGTGTGTGCTTTGTGGAGCAGGAGAGTTCCAGAAACAAAATGCACAACCCCCCGTGGAGGATGCACTGACAAAGCCAGCCTGAGCCCGATGCGTGCGCTTTCTGCCTGCCTGGCTGCCCACCTCCCTCCCGTATCCTTCCTGGGAAATTTGTTTCTGATTTGCCTGCATTTTTTATTTCAGCACAGACTTAGTGTGACGAAAGGGAGAATACCGCCTGAAGCACTCATCACACCCGCCACACGCTCCCATGGTTCCCAGCCAACTCTAGAAAGAAAGAAAAAAATCTGTGTGAACACATACTCTAGAATCTGGAACAAACTCTGCGAAAGAGCAGTGCTCTGCAGATCTGTCTTGTACGATGAACTTCGGGAGTCAGGTGAACTCCCCCCAGTGGATGGAGACCTGGTGCAATCGCTTCCCTGGATATAATTGTTTTTCATGGTGAGACGATTACTTCAACTCGAAATCTCCCAGTGTGAACAATCCTCAGGATGGCTAATGTCATAATAAGGCGATTGTTCCAAGTACCGCAGTGGGAACTGCGTCAAAACTTGTGTTTAAATTTGTGGGGTTACATTAGGGAAACCGTCACGATTACCTCAGTTTGTTGATAAAAGATGTTATGATGAATGACACAGAGAGGTCTTATATTTCTAAAGTACCATCATTTTTGCAAAGAGATACATGGTATCTTCACAAGCATGTTATAAAGTGTCATAAATAATTAAAATTAAATTTCATTTGTCCAAGGGCAATAAAGAAATTGCACTTGATAATGAAATCTCCATGTAGTTTTATCTTAATCTCCTTAATTTACTGGACAGCAAAATTTACCAGATGGTTGCATCTTCCTGTTACTAATATAAATAGTGAAGTTTTACTAGGTGTACTCGAGTCCACCGTAGATCACAAATAGTGAATGTCAGCACTAAATAATATACTTCCCTGAAACAAGTATATATATATTTAGCATATAGAAATATATGACAGGTTGGGTGTGGTGGTTCACACCTGTAATCCTAGCACTTTGGGAGGCCGAGACAGGCGGATCATTTGAGGTCAGGAGTTCAAGCTCAGCCTGGCCAACATGGTGAATCCCCATCTCTACTAAAAATACAAAAGAAATTAGCGAGGTGTGGTGGTGCACACCTGTAGTCCCATCTACTCAGGAGGCTGAGGCAGGAGAATCACTTGAACCTGGGAGGTGGAGGTTGCAATGAGCCGAGATTGTGCCACTGCACTCCAGCCTGGGGTAGAGCAAGATTCCATCTCAAAAAAAAAAAAAAAAAAAAAGACAGTATTCTCTATTGGTTACATGTATATATATCTACATATGTATATATATGCATGCATGTCCACACACACATATGTATACATATAATACATAGAGATAGCTGGCTTCTGATGGGCCCTTCGAGGGCAGTGGTGACTGCAAGGTGAAGCTGACCTGGGCCTTTGCCCCAGCACTCTGAGGCTTCTGGTTGGTTTGGGATGCCACAGCCCCTCCCTTTCCCCATGTGGCATGCTCACCAGCTTTTCTCCCACCTTCTGCCCTTGATTTATTTATTTATTCTGCTGGCCGGATGTGGGTCATGATTCATAGAGCATGTCCACTGGCTCTGTCCTCCTTGGCTGTTTCAGCCACTCCCCACTCTGTGGAGCACTGGTGGGGAGCCATCCAACAACAACACCCCCGCAGCCAGCAGCAGCTCTCATTAAACAAAACACATGCAGAAGCGCAGTCATCTGCTTGGCAAAGATACCGACGAGGCTACCATCAAACTAGAGCAGCAACGTGAGTGCTGGCATTCAGGGCTGAGTGCTGTGCCCGAAGCCCTGGAGTCGTGTAGATGTGTTTGTGAGTCTGCTCCTGGCAATGCCTTCCTCCTTGTGACTGACCATACATGAGAGGAAGCTGCTCACCCATGACCCTTGAAGCAGCGAGAGAGGTTTCGGCCCTTGTCATTTGTTTGAAGATGCCAGATGTGCCATCACTTTCCTAATGCCAAATTTGTGGAAAGGAGATGGAAGTAAGAATGACAGCTGAGATTTAATTATTGCAGGGAATTCTTTTTTTCAGGATGTAACCATCATAATGAGAAAAAGTCATGCTCAATAAGTAGGGTGTCTATAATCATATGTGTTAAAACAATCAATCCAGTAATACCATACATGATACAGTGGCTGGAACTCCTATGTAGAGTTTAGTACATTCACCAAGGAGTTTCAATTTCTGAATATTAATGTTGTCACATATATACAAAACTGACTTTCAAAAATAAAGCTACAAGTATAGATTTATAGAATTTTTGCCAATAAGTCATAGCCAAGAATGACACTGAAGCTACATCATCATTAGAAAAATCCAGAGATAAATTGGGTTGTTATCTGAGAGCAACTCATATATAAGGCATTTTGATTTCACCTTTCAAATTTCAATTAAATGTACAATCAAAAGTTTTTTATTTGAGAGAGGGTCTTATCAGTGTGTTTGCGTTGTTCTCTTTTGTGCAGATTTAATCCTACTTCTGAGTAATTAAGGCAACTTACTTTGAAATTTGAGACAGTTTAGAGTTAAGCTGAAATCTGTTTACTTACATAATTTTCTTGGGGTTTTTTTGTTACCACTGACTGGAAAGGGTGAATTTTATAATAGGGAAAGTAGACATGTAAACATTCTGCTACATTTTGCAGACATGCATTTATTTTAAGTGACCAGTCTCTAATGAAACAAAGGTGTGGTAGTGTGCTTGCAGAAAATCAACAGGTACTTACAACCTAATTTGATAGGCACTTACAACCCTAATTCATTTTAATGCATAAGAAAAGTAGATTTCTCTTGTCCTCTAAATGAATTTTTAATCTCTTTATCATCATGTTTGAATGAAATCTGAAAGTCAACTTGTTGGATTTCATGAATTCAGTCTTTTGTACAGTTAAATAAAATTAAACGGCAAAGTCATTTGCTGCTTCAGTGTCAAACTTTCATAAAGAGGTGATATGATTTGGCTGTGTCCCCACCCGAATCTCATCTTGAATTCCCACATATTGTGGGAGGGACCTGGTGGGAGGTAATTGAATCTTGGGGTCAGGTATCTCTCATGCTGTTTTCATGATAGTGTGTAAGTCTCACAAGATCTGATGGTTGTTTTAAGGAGGGGTTCCCTTGCACAATCTCTCTTTGCTTGCTGCCATCCATGTAAGACGTGACTTGCTCTTCCTTGCCCCCCACCATGATTGTGAGGCTTCCCCAGCCAAGTGGAACTGTAAGTAAATTAAACCTCTTTTTTTTTTTTTTTTTTTTGTCAATTGCCCAGTCTTGGGTATGTCTTTATAAGCAGTGTGAAAACAGACTAATACAGTAAATTGGTATCAGTAGAGTAGGGTGCTGCTGAAAAGATACCTGAAAATGTGGAAGCAACTTTGGAACTGGGTAACAGGCAGAGGTTGGAACAGTTTAGAAGGCTCAAAAGAAGGCAGGAAAATGTGGGAAAGTTGAGAACTCTCTAGAGACTTGTTCAATGGCTTTAACCAAAATGCTGATAATGATATGGACTATGAAATCCAGGCTGAGGTGGTTTCAGATGGAGATAAGGAACTTGCTGGGAAATGGAGCAAAATGTGACTCTTTTTATGTTTTAACAGAGAGACTGGTGGCATTTTGTCCCTGCCCTAGAGATTTGTGGACCTTTGAACTTCAGAGAGATGATTTAGGGTATCTGGTGGAAGAAATTTCTAAGCAGCAACACATTCAAGAGGTGACTTGGGTGCTATAAAAGGCATTCAGTTTTATAAGAGAAGTAGAGCATAGAAATTTGGAAAATTTGCAGCCTGACAGTAAGTTAGAAAAGAAAATCCCATTTTCTGAGGAGAAATCCAAGCCAGTTGTAGAAATCTGTGTAACAAGGAGCCAAATGTTAATACTCAAGATGATGCGGTAAATGTCTCCAGGGCATTTCAGAGGTCTTCACAGCAGCTCCTCCCATCACAAGCCCAGAGGCCTAGGAGGAAAAAGTGGTTTCATGGGCCAGGCCCAGGGTCCTTGTGCTGTATGCAGCCTAAGGACTTGGTGCCCTGCATCCTAGCCACTCCAGCTGTGGCTGAAAAGGGCCAACGGACAGCTTAGGCCATGGCTTCAGAGGGTGCAGGCCTCAAACTTCCACATGATGTTGAGCCTGCCAGTGCACAGAAGTTAAGAATTGGGGTTTGGGAAACCTCTGCCTAGATTTCAGAGGAGGTATAGAAACACCTGGCTGTCCAGGCAGAAGTTTGCTGCAGGGGGGCAGCTCTCATGGAGAACCTCTGCTAGAGCAGTGTGGTGGGAAATGTGGGGTCAAAGCTCCCACACAGAGTACCTACTAGGGCTCCACCTGGTGGGGCTGTGAAAGGGCCACTGTCTTCCAGACCCCAGAAGGGTAGATCCACTGACAGCTTGTATAGTGTGCCTGGAAAAGTCTCAGACACTCATGGGCTGGAAAAGCCAGCCCATGAAAGCAGCCAGGAGGGAGGCTGTACCCTGCAAAGCCACAGGGGTAGAGTTGCCCAAGACCATAGGAACCTACCTCTTGCATCAGCATGACCTGGATGTGAGACATGGAGTCAAAGGAGATCATTTTGGAACTTTAAGATTTGACTTCCCTGCTGGATTTCAGACCTGCATGGGTCCTGTAGCCCCTTTGTTTTGGCCGATGTCTCCCATTTGGAATGACTATATTTATCCAATGCCTATACTCTCGTTGTATCTAGGAAGTAAGTCACTTGCTTTTGAGTTTATGGGCTTATAGATGGAAGGGACTTGCCTTGTCTAAGATGAAACTTTGGACTGTGGACTTTTGAGTTAATGCTGAAGAGTTAAGACTTTAGGGGACTGTTGGGAAGGCATGATTAGTTTTGAAATGTGAGGACATGAGGTTTGGTAGGGACCAGGGCAGAATGATATGGTTGGGCTGTGTCTCCTCCTAAAATTAATCTTGAATTCCCACATGTTGTGGGAGGGATCTGGTGGGAGGTAACTGAATCATGGGGGCAGGTCTTTCCTATGCTGTTTTCATGATAGTGACTAAGTCTCATGAGATCTGATGGTTATTTCAAGGGAGAGTTTTCCGGCACGGGCTCTCTCTCTCTTTGCCTGCTGCCATCTGTGTAAGATCTGACTTGCTCTTCCTTGACTTCTGCCATGATTGTGAGGCCTCCCCAGCCACATGGAACTATAAGTCCAACTAAACCTCTTTCTTTTGTAAATTGCCTAGTCTTGGGTATGTCTTTATCAACATTGTGAAAACGGACTAATACAAGAGGCATATTTAGTTTATTTACCACTGAAAAGTGAGTTTTTGGAGTAAAATATATCAAGGTATTGTACCCAATTAGATTTTTACAGATGTTGTTTTGTTCTTTAAACTCCTACTTTTCTAGTAGTTGTGCACATTCTTCATTGTTGAAATCAAACAGCCTTTAAATTTAATACATTCTCTTTTAATTAACTCAAACACATGCTTGTAGACAGGAAAGATACATTTAACATGAATATGGACTCCTTACACACACATATACACATGACTTATTTTTTAAATTTGAGAGTTCAAGTTTCTTTTTTTTTCATTGCAAACATTATGCATTTTCAAGTTCCAAACTTAAAACCTCATGGTAAAGGTTTTTTTGTTTTGTTTTAGAGTCCAATTTTATTAACCCATGGTTGAAATTTGGAGGTCTTAAGACTCAAATCTCACATGACTGAGCTAAATCCATCTTAACTGGTGACCTCTGACAGGAATTCAACTTCCATCATTAGACAGAATGCTCTACCCAACCTATGTGCCTGAGAGAAATGTAGCAAGTTGTAGCAGCATGTGTGCATAACCATGAATAGATAGGCAAATTCCAAACATATTTTCAACATTTTAAAATATTTACTTTTGACCAGGTGTGGTGGCTCACGCCTGTAATCCCAGCACTTTGGGAGGCCGAGGCAGGCGGATCACCTGAGGTCAGGAGTTCGAGACCTAACCAACATGGTGAAACCCCATCTCTACTAAAAATACAAAATTAGCCAGGCATGGTGGTGCATGCCTCTAATTCCAGGTACTAGGAAGGCTGAGGCAGGAGAATTGCTCGAACCCAGGAGGCGGAGGTTGCAGTGAGCCGAGATTGCGCCATTGCACTCCAGCCTGGGCAACAAGAGTGAAACTCCATCACAAAAAAAAGCAAACAAACAAACAAAAAAATGATTTTTTGGTTTCTCCACTTCAAAATATGTATATGTATACATACACACACGCACACACACACTTACTTACACAGAGGTGGACCCCAAAAGGGTATAAAAGCCGCTGTTGGTCCAAGATAAGAAGAAAAATGAATTGTATTTGCATTTCTCCACATAGCAATTAATGGTTCAGTTTTTTTTTTTCTTTTACTTTGTTCTTTAAGGGCGCTGCTTCTGAAGTATGTGCCAGGTGGGCATAAGAGAGATTTTCAACAATTCCAAACGAGGCGGCCGTGCAATGCTTGAGTATGCAACTGAAAACGAGCATCCTCAGCCAACAGAAATAACAGCAAAGTCATGAGCAGTGTGGCCGCTTTGCATGTGCTGCTGCTTGTCCCTTTGAGAGATGTGCTGTGCATCCCAGTTCCCATTCCTGCATTTTCCCTTCTCCCATCGGGGCAGCCATGCTGAGAGGGCGGAGCTCCTCCCTCACACTCCTTCCGCTTCTTGCTCCGGCTTCTGCCGCCTTCCCCAATGAATTTCTGAAATGAAAGGAGCCTATTCCCTGCCTTTCCACCAGTGCAGAATGAAAATGAGAGCAAGGAACAGCAGAGCACAGGGTCTTGCTCTGAGTGAATGCACCCCTCGTGCACCCGGGAGCTGAGGTTAGTGCTATCAGTTACATGTTAGCAATCGATCAAATGGAAAGGGGTGTTGTTTGAATGGAAGGGAAAGTCAAGGAAATCAAACCTTTCCAAAAGTGAGGATCTCTCACAGGGCGATCCCAGTGCTACAGAGGCCTGCCGGAGGCGCCTGAGAAGCAGGGCACCTGGGTTTGGCAGCCCTTCCCCCGTGACCAAGAGCCCCTGGCGCTGACTGCCGTTGACCTTGACGCATAACCTTGGACAACTCACTCAGTACAGTCTCAGGAGCTCCTCTCCTTATCTCCCCAAAGTGGAACTGCTCAGAGCGCATCATTCCCAAGCCCCAACTTTCTCTGGCCCTTTCCCCAAATCTGTCTTAAACAAAGATACCCAGGAAAATAACTGACCTCTCTGTGTTTCACATTTTTCTGGAGCCAAAAAGCAATGTGGTTGCTGTTTGAAGCTGCGAACCTGGCAGAAAGAGCCTGTCACAGCTGCCTGTCCGGCCGGACTTCCTTTCATTGGCTCCATGTCCCGTTCTACCCTCTGTCCTCCAGGTCTCCCCAGAGCTCGCTGAGATCTTCCCAGCCCAGGCTGTGGGGGCAGCTCCCTGGAAGGCAGCTCAGTATTAAACTCCCTTCGTTTGAGAAGTGAATCTGAGAAACTCCTTACTATCTATCAGAAGGCTAGCACAGGAATGCATTATACTCCTCAGAAGGCGCAGGTACCTTATAAGAGTGGTTTCAGCTCCCCAGGGGGACTTCAGTTTTGTGAATTACCAACACATAACAGACTTGTGAGGACAGAGTGACCAAAGCATGGTTCACAGGCTCAGCTAAAATCTTCCTTCCGGGCCGGGCGCGGTGGCTCACGCCTGTAATCCCAGCACTTCGGGAAGCTGAGGAGGGCAGATCACAAGGTCAGGAGATCGAGACCATCCTGGCTAACTCGGTGAAATGCCGTCTCTACTAAAAATACAAAAAATTAGCCGGGCGTGGTGGCGGGCGCCTGTAGTCCCAGCTACTCGGGAGGCTGAGGCAGGAGAATGGCGTGAACCCGGGAGGCGGAGCTTGCAGTGAGCCGAGATTGCGCCGCTGCACTCCAGCCTGGGGTATACAGCGAGACTCCGCCTGAAAAAAAAAAAAAAAAGAAAAATCTTTCTTCCGACCTCATTCTCATCCTCTCAACTAACATTTGGCCAACATAAAGGATCAGGACGGAGATGATTCGGTAATTAATTTTGATTTGACAATGTTTTTTTTGGGAATTCTATCTAGACTCACTTTTATAAGAACCTGTCTCTGAGAGGTTCAAGAAGAGTATTTGTGATGCTTTAGAAAAAGGACAAATATATTATTTGAAAGACAGGGACTTAAAATATCTGATCGTGTATGAAAAAATTCATAGTAAACAAAATTGTCCATAATTAATCTCATTTAGAGAATTTTCAAGACAGTGCCTTTCCATAAGATATCTGAGAGAATATTTTAGTAGCTAATACCTGTGCATGTCTCAATGATCATGTTTCTGTAGACATTTACCAACATAGGATGAGGCTGGCATGCTCACGTGTCCTCATTGTTCATGAAGGGATGTGCATTCATCTGCTGAGTAAATGTCCCTGACCTCATACAGCTCATGCTGTAACGCTTTTATTTGACAGTCTATTAATTTTACTCTTAAGTTCTTTCTAGTCACTATAAATTCCTGGCAGAAATTCACATTTTGGGTTCAGTAACTATCTGAAAAAATGGCAATGTTTTATTATGCAGTAATTCTTGTATTTTAAAAAATCCTTTGGTTTAAAGGAACTATTTAGCACAGTGTATCTAACATGAATTTGTAGCCACACTGAGCTGAGCTCAAATTCCACCTCCGCAATTAACAGTGTATCATAGGAAACTTAGAATAGCTTTCTAAGTTACGCTTTTGCTACTACGTGCCCCATGAAGCCTCATTCTCTCTCCTCTTTTTATTGAACTTTCCCTCTGACTTTGCAGGACATTCATATTCTTATTTAATTGTAGTTTCCATAGTTGTGATTCAGCTCAGGTCTGCAAAGAGTTCTCTTGCCATGCCCTGGGCTGAGGTTTGAAAATGTGAGACCCAGTCCCTGCTCTCACTGAGCTTGTAGTCTAATGGTCTCATCCCCACATATTTTCATCTTCCTGATTTGTGTGTGTGCATGTATGCACACAACTTCTTTGGTTGTAATTTAATCACATGCAAATTCTAGGCTGTGTTGCCTTCACAATCCCGTCTTGTTTCTGCTTGAAAACGTGCCACAGATGCATTTTCTGGCATAAAGGAATTTTCCACACTGGTCTTCCCAAGCTCTTCTGCAAATATCATCATATTTGTAAGTGGTTGTTTCGGAGTCTTCCTCATTGTCCCTTGACTGATTTCACCTCCTCTTCCCCACCTCCTTGGGCTGGACTCTAGACTAGACTGGGGCTTGGCTGCTACGTGCCTTGATGGTGGTTTCTTCCCTGAGGTCCTCAGATGCAGAGCTTCACCAGATCCCCTCCAGGAGGAGCCGAGAGTCCAATGTCCTGAGTCTTCACTTGTTCTGAAATATTGATTGAACAAATAAAAATGTAAAATGCTCTTCCCTTGGAACAAAATGTTTCTCCTTTAGACCTCCCTCTGAACAAAGAACAACAGTGGCCCTCCCTAGAACAATAGTGGCCAGAGACCACACAATCCCTTTCCATTGGGAAATGCAGAGAGCCAATGAGTGTAGTTGATAGAGAAGGTGGAGATGTTGAAGAGGGTAAAGAAGATGGAGCTGGTGGAGGTGGTAAGATGGTAAAGAGGTGGAAAGGGTGCAGGTGGTAAAGACGGTGAAGAGGGTGGAGAGAGTGGAGGTGGTGGAGACAGTGGAGATGGTGGAGAGGGTGGAGAATGTGGAGGTGTGGAGGTGGTAGAGATGATGAGATGGTCGAGAAAGTGGAGGTGGTGGAGATGGTAGAGGTGTTAAATGATGGAGAGGTTGGGGAGGGTGGAGGCGGTGACGGTGGTAGAGATGGTGGTAACGGTAGAGAAGGTGGAGATGATGGAAGTGGTGAAGATGGTGAAGAAGATGGAGAGGGTGAAGATGGTGGAGCTAGTGTAGATAGAAGATATGGTAGAGATGGATGGTATCAATGGTGGAGAGATTGTAAAGGGTGAAGAGCATGAAGGTGGAGGAGGTAGGTAGAGGTGGTAGATATGGTTGAGATGGTATAGGTGGTGAAGATGGTGAAAAGAGTGGAGAGGATGAAGGTGCAAGAGGTGGTGAAGGTGGCCGAGGTGGTGGAAAGAGCGGAGAGAGTGAAGGTGGGGGAGATCAGGAGCTGGGGAAGAGAGTGAAGATGGAGACTGTGCAGGAGTGCAGGGTGAGATCTGTCACCCCTCCCACCAGCAATGCTATTACAGGGAATGCCGCATTACCACATCTTCCAATTTTTCAAAAGAAGACAGATATATATATATGTGTGTGTATATAATCTATATCATCAAATTTTGGTAACACTTTAAAACAATTTCAAATCGTGATCACTGCAACATCTGCAAACAACATTCATTTCAAAACTCTATTTAAGCATTCAGAGTCTTTCCTTAGCCTCCATACTTATTCTAGTAAATATGTGACAGTGGGCTAGAACAGCATTGTATTTTTCCAACATAGTAAGGGTTTTGCATTTAGATAAGCCAGTGATTTTGTTGTTCCCTCCCCTTAGTCCCTATGACACCCAAATGGAAATTTACGTGACATCCTTGTGGTAGGTACATCTGAGCAATCCATATTATTTGTTGGTCCAAATCAGGCCAAGCCAACAAACATGGTGGCACTCATCCACATCATCTTGAAATCCTACAGCAGGACTCTGATTTGGACTTCAGTGACATGCAGTTAGTTGAAATAAAAGGACTTGAGAATTAGCCCTGCATACCAGTGACCAGATAGCTGTGGGGCTCTGATCGAGTAGCCTGTCCTTTGCAGGAGTCAGGGAGTGCACGCTTGTTCTCCCTGCTCCCTCACCCTCTCCAGCCTATCTGACATCTTCACCACTTACACCATTTCCACCACCTCCATTGCCTCTACCCTCTCCAACCTCTCCACCATTCATCACCTCCTCCACCTTCACCCTCTCCACTTTCTCTACCATCTCACCACCTCTACCACTTCCACTGAGCTTGAGAGCTTGGCTCAAGAGGTTAATACCATTCCTAAATGCCAAGAAAAGCTTCTTTCTTGGAGAAAAGCACCATGCTAGGTGGATTTCCCTGATGGAGAATGAGACTTTTATAGTTCACTAATTTCCAGCTGTGAGGCCCTCTGGGTGCCATCCAGGCCCTTCTGTGGCTCTTTGAAGTTGGACTAAGAAGCAAATCTCTACTTGCACTTTAAGCAAAGTTGTTCTAAGGGGATCTCATGTCATTTTTCACTTTCAGTCACATGAAAGAGTTAAATAGCTTTTTAGAGAGCCACTGATGGAGACTATTTCTACTTCCCTTTTTGCATTGGTTGTCAGAGGACTCAGAATCTCATTGTGTCATCTCCTGCAGCCGGCAAAAATGAATTTTATCTTTCACAATAATTTATATCAGCATAGCATATGCTTTGTAGTTATTAATGTTTATCTACTTTATTTTACATTATTTTAGAGGCCAGTTCAAATCTTCAGAGAATGAGTTTGGATGTTAAATAAAATGAATATATATTGTGCTGTTGAGCTGTTGTCATACCATATATGCGTCAGAGGTTATCTGTTGTCAAACCCTGGTACGGGCTCTGTTAGGTCTACAAAAGAAATGCTTGGGGGAAATAGGTTGGTGGTTGATCCTCAAAATGTTATTCCTGGAACTATCATATAACCTAGCAACCCCATTCCTATGTATATACACAAAAGAATTGAAAACAGGGGTTCAAGCAGATACTTATGGACAAATGTCCATAGCAGCACTATTCCCAATAGCCAAAGGGTGGAAATATGTGTCCATTAACTGATGAATGAATACATAAATTGTGATATATCCATGCAATGGAATATTATTCAGCCATAGAAAGAAATGAAGTTCCACTACTTGCTACAACATGAATGAATTTTGGAAGCATTATGCTAAATGAAATAATTCAGACACAAAAGGACAAATTTGTATGATTCTACTGGTATGAAATATCTACATTGGGTGCAGTTATAGAGGTAGGAAGATCAGAGGTTATCAGGGGCTGCATGAAGGGAGAATGAGAAATTATTTCTTGGTGGGTAAAAAGTTCCTATTTGTGGGTAATGAAAAAGTATTAGAAACAGATAATGGTGGCAGGGTACGGTGGCTCACACCTGTAATCCCAGCACTTTGGGAGGCCGAGGCTGGTGGATCATGAGGTCAGGCGTTAAAGACCAGCATGGTGAAACCCCGTCTCTACTAAAAATACAACACTAAGCCAGGCGTGGTGGTGGGCGTCTGTAATCCCAGCTACTGGGGAGGCTGAGACAGAGAATTGCTTGAACCCGAGAGGCGGAGGTTCCAGTGAGCCGAGATCGCACTACTGCATTCCAGCCTGGGTGACAGAGCGAGACTCTGCCTCAAAAAAAAAAAAAAAAAAAGAAAAGAAAGAAAGAAGAAAGAAATAGATCGTGGTAACAGTTACAACTGTAACTACCTACTATAATGTGATAGTACAGCATTGTGAATAGAATTAATGCCACTGATTTGTACACTTAAAAGTGGTTAAAATGGCAATTTTTATTATTTTTCATATATGTAACCATAATAAAAATAATTTCTAAAAAGAAGTGCTTAGAAAATATTTATTGCTTTTTTTCTAGATTAATAATGAATATAAGAAAACGTTTGTGAAAATTAACTGCAAGTGATTGGGAAGCTTGTGTGTATTGGGCTTTGGTTTGTTTCAAAGATCATCCAAATCAGAATCTGAGCTTATTAAAATGCTGTTTCCTGGACAGACCTCAGCCTGCAGAAGCAGAATCTCCGTGGTGGGATCCAGAGCTTGTATCTTGGCCAAGCCCTCCCAGAAGTTTCTAACATACACTGAAGGTTCTCCTGCTTCAAGAGCCAAGATCCTCAGGCACAAAATCAGGCAACAGGAGTCCTGGGCTCTGCCCTTGCTTGTGGAGTTCTGGAAACGAATGCATTTGGAGTAGGTGATGTTTAATGATCCTTTCTGTTCTCAATTCCTGTAATACAAATAAACAATAAAATACTTACATCTTTATTATTTACATTATAGTTTAAAGTTGTATATATTGATGCAAACAATTAGGTAAGATAAAATAAACAGAAAAAATAACAGATTTATTCATCAGAAAATATGATCTATTCATCAGAGAATGTCAAAGAAATCCAAGAAATGTCTTTGTATGAGGAAAATGAGCAATTGTGGATTTTACCAAAGGATTAGAGACACTGGGTTTTCTTCAAATCTGTCTGTGAGGCTTTCAAAGGGCAGGGCCTCAGCCCAGAGCACATGCTTGGTACACACATGCATCAGTGGTTCCTTGAGCTGTATTAAATTCATGGAGAGAAAAAAATCAAGGTCAACTTGTGCTTTTTTCCCCGACTGTAAAGGTTTTGCCTGTAATCCCCTGCTTTATGTGAATAATTTGTTTCACATGAGTTGAATACTGTTTAAACAAGCCAAGTATCACATTCCTTTTGTCTGAATAGCTGTAGAGGACATATTTTAAGGTAAACTAATTAAGAATGGGCTTTCAAAAGGCCTATTTTTAAGAAGGTGAAAAATCAAGAGATAGGAAGTGTTGTCTGGGTAAAGTCAAGCAACGTGAAAGCCGGTTGGAATGTTTATGACCAGCTCCCTCTCACTGTGGTCCGAGGGCCAACCTGAACACAAATTCTTCTTGTGCTAGGAGCGGGGTTTGGGGTTGTAATTTGATCCTTTCAATTATACAGCAAATGCAGCCACTGTGAATTGTACCAGGACTATCCAGCTTCCACAGTGCATGACTATACTGATATTCTCCTGCAGAAAATGAAATCTTCCAGACTGCCATTGGTTCTGGCCATTTGAATGTTAAATATGGGTAATAACTGCAGTGGTTTACACTCAAATATTTAGAAAATGCTCTTTAGCAATCCTAACGAAAATCAGATGTACCTTGCCCCAGCCCCACATAAGCACTTCTGTAAATGTCATTTGTAAGTCTACAGCTTGCTTTTCTGTCAAGAAATGCATGCCGCTTTTGGGGAATATTTTCAATTTACAATCCATTTTCACCTGCGAGCCTCTAGAATGATTGCTGGGGAATGGGATTTTTTAGATGGTTTAGGCCATTTCCGACTATTCCATGGCATGGCCCAGAATTTTGTGAATTACAAAGAAGTTAAGATCAGCATTGTTTTTGATGATTGTCTGGTTGAAAATGTATCCATCAATGAAGAATCATGCCCACTGTGATTTATTTAAAAAATTACCGCTTTTATGTTGTCCTCTTCCTTAAGAGGTCTATTACAATTACATAATACTCTACTCACACAAAGGATGTAATTTTCATTTTGTCTGTATTATTGTCCTTCATCTAAAACAGAAAGTTTAGTTGGAGAACTCTGGGAATCGTTCATTTTAGTTTTTGTACAATGTCAGTGTGGGTCTGAGTGTGGCCTTGGCACACTGCACAGAGGTGAGCTGACAGAGAGCTCTTGCTAATTGACCACAGACTTGTTAGAGGCCCTCAGACCAGTTAGTTACCCTCCCAGCCTCAGTTTTCTCAATTTGAAATGGACATATATGTTGTATAAGATCATCTGTAAGATCTGTGGTGGAAGTCTCATCTAGATAAGGCAGGAACTTTGATATGACTTGGCTGACATTAATACTTTTGGATTGAACCATTGACTGGCACCATGTGGAGAAAGATCCAGGCTTGCCTGCCCACTGGGAACAGGGCCGTATGTATGCATCAGGTCAACTGAAAATGAAACAGAATATTCTGGATCTGCCATAGTTCATGCACACCCTCCTTTAGTTTCAACTGGTACCAACTTCTAGAAGAGGAACAGGAGATCAACGGCTCTTCTCCTGATGAGATTGTTCTTATTCTTAGTCATCTCTGATTTTTCTCAAATGCCAAGTTCTGGTTCCCAGATGGTGCTTTGATGAAAGGTGAGGCAATATGAACACTCAGCCCATCCTGAAATAGGAAGAGTTTTGATTCATCAAGTGCTTTGGCTTTCTTTTCCCCTTTCATAGATTTAAAAAATTTTGCATGTTGGAGGAAGATGCTCTAGTTTAAACATACCTTCTTAAAGGGCATGGTTGGAAAGGAGATAGCATCCCCCTTCCACTTTGTCACCTATGCTGTGCCCACACTCCTTGGCAATGCTAAGGCAAGGTAAATGATTAGTTTACTTTGTGCATTTTGGAGGGGGCAGTGAAATAGCAAGATCAACAGATGAGGATCCCCCACGTGGGTCAGTTTCAGCTGGGCTTCTCCCATGGATATACTGTCTACATCTCTTTAGTAAACTCTAATTCACAGGCCTTCATTTCCATGAAGCAGAAAATACTGCAATCAATAATTGATAAAGTCCATTTTGGAGCTTATAACTTACCATTTTGTTGTGGTTAGAAGGGATTTGTAGAGGGTGGTTCTGAATCCATCAAAATCCCTTGGGAAGCTTGTTGAATATGCAGATCTTGAGCCCCCTTCTAAGAAACACTGGGTCAGTAATAGAACCTACAAATCAGTGTTTCACAGAATTTCCTCAAATGATCAGGAAACACTTTATTGAATTTACTGATGAAAATTGGCCTGGGTAGTTTATTTTAAATTGGAATCTAGTGATCTTCAAGATTATCTGCTTTAATATTTTTTACTCCTTTTTCTGTGATCTTCATGGTATTGATACAAATAAAGGTGCCATGGTCAAACAGACTTGGTAAGAGAAGAGGCAGGTTTCTTCACTGTGTGTTCTCTGGAGCCTTTAGCCTGCTACTGTGTCATGAAGCCTCAGGGTGGCCATGGGGTATGCAGCACCTCAAACATTCTTGACCTGGGGATATTTTATCCCCACACTGTCCCTCAATGTTTCCAGAAATACACTTTGCAAATGCAAATTTATTTACCTTCTCTCTCTCTCTCTCTATATATATATATATACACACACACATATACATACACATATATATACATATATACATACATATATATGTATATACATATGCATACATATATACGTATGTATATACACACATTCTCTCTATATACACATACACATATACACATATACATACATATATGTATATATACACATACATATATGTATATATACACATATACATACATATATATGTATATATGCAAGTATACATACATATATACATATATATACACACACACACATATATATATATATAGAGAGAGAGAGAACTTCTTGAGACCTCCAATGAGGTGCTTTGGTTCTCTGAGGTCTCACGACCTCATTGTTTTCAAGGAAACTTATTCCCAGGAGACTTAATGACATCACAATTGGAAGTCAACATTTCTTTATTGTCCTATAATACTCATCATTGTCTAAAACTAGTTACTAGTTACTGGCCAGCTTTGAATAAATCATCTAGATGAATCAGAAGGTGAATTCTAGGATATACTTTTGTCTCTTGCATATTCAGACTTGTGGTAAATGGCACAAAGTGGAGGTGACTCCTCCAGAGTTTAGTCACAAGCTCTTGAGTCATTTCTATGAGCAGGTTGATGAGCAATATCAATCCAGCTTTTATGGTGCACTTTCTTATATTTTATTAAAGCATCAATAAATGTAGGACTCCTTGGTGCCTGATAATTGGTTACATTTATTTCTTTAAAAATAATGTTTTTCTTGGTGTATAATGTAGGGTAATTAAAAAAATCAAATTCCCTTTATTGCAAATTAAAGAAGTGCAAAGTTGTGTGGTCAAAATTAAAGCTCATTTTAGAGTTTTTTACAAACTCATTTTAAAAAAATTTCATAACTTTATTAGTCATTCCTGAGATACCATTTTTAGCCATGACTTATTTTTTCCTTATCACTCTCTAGGTCTCCAGCCCTCCATTCCATCTCTATCTGTCTATCAGAAATCAATACATCCCTCAAGGTCCTGCTCAAATATCCTCTTTTACTTAAAGACTTTTGGGATTGTCTTCACTGGGAAAATACCTCTCCTACCTCAGAGTTTTGATGTTGATATTTTAAATTTAGCACTTTTGTAAAACTTATCATTTTATGAAATATTATAGTTAGTATGTACATGTTTTCTTGTCATATTATAAACTCTTCAAGATAAAGACAACTGTGTCACATTAGACCCACAACAGAGTCTTGGTCAGTGCCAAGAACATAGTTGTCTTTGTAAGCTCTGGCTGCTAGAAGAGAATACCAGATGCTAGGAGGATTACATAACAGACACTTCTTTCTCACAGTTCTGGAAACTGGGATGTCCAAGATCAAGGTGCTCACAGATTTGATTCTGGTGAGGACCAGTTCCTGGCTGCCTGCAATATGTGTCCTCATACTGTGAGGGAAGAGAGAGAGAAAATTCTGGGGTCTATTGCTCTTCTTATAGGGACACTAACCCCATTGTATTTCTAGCAGTTCACACTACTAGAAAGAACTACCTGAGACTGGGTAATTTATAAATAAAAGAGATTTAATTGATTCACAGTTCTACATGGCTGGAGGTCTCAAGAAGCTTACAATCATGGCAGAAGGTGAAAGAGAAGCAGTACCTTCTTCACTAGGTGACAGCAGAGAGAGCAAGCACAGGGGAGACTGCCACTTTTAAACCATCAGATCTCATGAGCTCTCCCTCACTATTATGAGAACAGTATGGGAAAACTGCCCTGACCATCCAATCACCTCCCACCAGATCCTTCCTCAATACATGGGGATTACCATTCAAGATGAGATTTCAGTGGGGGCCCAGAGCCAAACCATATTATTCCATCACTGGCCCCTCCAAAATTTCATGTCCTTCTCACATTGCAAAATCAAACATGCCTTCCCAACATTCCCCCAAAGTCTTAACTCATTCCAACATTAACTCAAAAGTCCACAGTCCAATGTCTCATCTCAGACAAGGCAACTCTCTTCCATGTATGAGCCTGTAAAATCAAAAATAAGCTACTTACTTCCAAGATACAATAGGGGTACAGGCATTTGGTAAATATTCCCATTCCAAATAGTAGAAATTGGCCAAAACAACAGGGCCACAGGCCCCCTGCAAGTCCAAAACCCAGCAGGGCACTCGTTAAATCTTAAAGCTCCCAAACACTGTACTTTGACTTGATGTCTCACATCCAGGGATGCTGATGCAAGGGGTGGGCTCCCCTGGTATTGGGCAGCTCTGTCCCTGTGCTTTTTCAGGGTACAGCACTCCTGGCTACTTTCATGAGCTGGTGTTGAGTGTTTGCGACTTTTCTAGGTTCATGGTGCAAGCGGTCAGTCCATCTACCATTCTGGACCCTGGAGGACAGTGGCTGTCTTCTCATGGCTCCACTAAGCAGTGCCCCAGTGGGGACTCTGTGGGGGTTCCAACTCACATTTCGTCTATGCATTGCCCTAGTAGAGGTTTTTCATGAGGGCTCCACCTCTGCAGGAGACTTCTGCCTGGACATTCAGGTGTTTCCATGCATCCTCTGAAACCTAGGTGGAGATTCCCAAAGCTCAGCTCTTGTTTTCTGTGCACCCACAGTCCCAGCACCACATGAAAGCCACCAAAGCTTGGGGTTTGCACCCTCTGAAGCAATGACCTGAGCTGTATTTTGGCCCCGTTTATCCACAGCTGGAGCTGAAGCAGCTGAGATGCCGGGTTCCATGTCCTGAAGCTACACAGACCAGCAGGGCCCTGGGCCTGGCCCGTTAAACCATTTTTCTTTCCTAGGCCTCTGGGCCTGTGATGGAAGGGGCTGCCATGAAGATCTCTTAAATGCCTTGGAGACATTTTCCTCATTGTCTTGGTGACTAACATTGGGCTTCTCATTACTTATGCAAATTTCTAAAGCTGGCTTGAATTTCTCCCCAGAAAATGGGTTTTTCCTTTCTATTGCATGGTCAGGCCACAGATTGTACAAACTTTTATGCTCTGCTTCCCAATTAAATAAAAGAACCAGCTTCAGATAATCTTTTTTGTGAATGTATATGATTGAATGCTTTCAGAATCGCCCAGCTTTTGAATGTTTTGCTGCTTAGAAATTTCTTCCACCAGACACCCTAAGTCATTTGTATCAAGTTCAAGTTCAAAATGCCACCAGTGTCTTTGCTAAAGCATAGCAAGAGTGACCTTTGTGCCAGTCCCCAATAAGTTCCTCATCTCAATCTGAGAGCACTTCAGCCTGGACTTCATTGTCCATATAACTATCAGCATTTTGGTCAAAACCATTCAATAAGTCTCAAGGAAGTTCCAAACTTTCCCACATCTTCCTGTCTTCTTCTGAGCTCCCAAAACTGTTCCAACCTCTGCCTGTTACCCAGTTCCAAAGTCGTTTCCACATTTTCAGATACCTTTATAGCAGTGCCTCAAACTCCCAGTACCAATTTCCTGTTAGTTCATTTTTACACTGCTATAAAGAACTGCCTGAGACTGGGTGATGTATAAATAAAAGACATTTAATTGACTCACAGTTCCACATGGCTGGAAAGGCCTCAGGAAACTTACAATCATGGCGGAATGTGAAGGAGAAGCAATACCTTCTTCAAAAAGCGGAAGGAGACAGGGCAAGTGCAGGGAAAACTGCCACTTTTAAACCATCAGATCTCATGAGAACTCCCTCTCTATCATGAGAACAGCATGGGGGAAATTGCCCCTATGATCTAATCACCTCCCACCAGGTCCCTCCCTTGACACGTGGAGATTACAATTCAAGATGAGATCTGGGTGGGGACACAGAGCCAAACCACATCACCCATCATGGGGGCTCTGCTCTCATGACCTCATTTAAACTTAATGATCTCCCAAAGGAACCACATCCAAGTACCTGAGGGTAAGGGCTTCAACATACGAATGTGTAGAGGTAGAACTATTCAGTGCATAAGAAGGGTAGTATTCAAATATTTATTGAATTAATGAAAAATGAACCTGTTTTTAATGTTAGATGGTATTGGCAGGAGAGTACTTAATAGTAGATCGATGCATTCCTAAGACTGTAGAGGTTTGAAGCCTTTGTGGAATCCCCAGCTTCATCCATTAGCCCTGAGTGGGAAGGATCTACTATGCTATTTTTGTTTATAGAGGAGGTGCTGCCATTCAGATGGTTAAGTGACTTTCACGGGATAGCAGTGGTGAGACCAGAACCCAGGTCTTGCACCTTCCCATAGCCCAGTGCCCTTCCCTCTGTGCCATCTTTCTCCTGTTCAGTGCAGGCCCTCCCCACTACTCACCTGCCATGATGGCTCATCAAATCAGTTATTTTTTCTAGATAGTGACAAGGTCCGGAAACTTTGCACAAAAATTTTAAAAGTATGGAATATTGTACCTGCTTGTTGGATTTGTTACAATCTTTTTTTTATTTGTACAAATGGATGGGGTACATGTTCAATTGTGTTACATGTGTAGAACTAAGTAGTGGTGAAGTCAGGGCTTTTAGGGTATCCATCATCTGAATAACATGCATTGCACCCATTAACCAATTTCTCATCTCGATAAATCAAAATGAGTTCACCAATTAATGAGAGTCTTACTTTCTGCTATTTATTTACCAGATTGCCAAATACCAAAAAACAGCCAGAATGATAGCTATTGTTTATTATGTACCTATTATGTCTTAGTCCATTTGGGCTGCTCTGAAGGATACTAGAGACGGGTGGCTACTAGAATGCTAGGCGGCTTAAACAGAAGTTTATGCTGTCACAGCTCTGGAGACTGAAGTCTGAGATCAGGGTGCCAGCATGGTTGAGTTCTTGTGAGGGCTCTCTTCTTGGTTGGCAGGAGGCCACCTTCTTGCTGTATCATCATATGGTGTACACCAGGGTGAAGCAAGCTCTCTTCTATCTTATTATAAAGATAATCCCTTTCATGAGGGCTGCGCGTTATATTAGTTCATATCATATTACATGCAAAATACCATCTAGAATCTTAAAATTTAAAACTTCTATTAATTGCCACAATCATCCTAAAAGTAAGGAATATTCTTTTTTGTACAGAAAGGGGTGAGAGAAATGTAACTTGCCTGAGACCACAGAACTCATAAACAGTGGAGCTTGGATTTGAGCTAGGGAGTTTTTAATTTCAAAGTCATACTTTTTTTTACAGTACTAAACTACCTCTAAACTCTGCGTGAATGATATTAGGTGTGTGGGATCACAAGCCCTGTTGGTGTCACTGCCCCTTACCTACTACTCCAGACTTAGAAGGAAAAGCATGAAGTTGATAGATTTCACTCTTACTTTGGTTACCTTTTTATTTCTTCTACTCCATGCCTTTTATAGCCTTTTAAATATTTTCTGCTTGAGAGCCAGTATTTTTGCCTTTGTTTTGTTTTTGTCTTTTGTTTCTTTTTAAAAATATGTAACTAGAAAAATACATATACATTAAAACATATGTCAGTTTATGATAAAGAGGGAGACAACATACATTCATTACTTAGGTAGAAAAGAGATGTTAGAAGCAGGCATTTCCCATTCCTTCTCTTCTGATTATTGTGAACAATAATTATGATGACAATTGTTTGCTAGGTTCACATCCTCAGACTCTTAGCTCAAAGATAAGCTTATCTGTAAACCTCAACTGTCCTTTTTAATTTTTATAATGTCTTCTTTTCCTCTGGAACGGAACTGGAAAAAGATTTCTGAGGACTCTTACAAGGAGAAAGGAAAAAAACAGGAAAAATAAATAGAAGAAAGAAAACATTAAAATAGTTGAGGCTGGGTTTTGTGTGTGTCTGGGGTTTGGGCTGGTGTGCCTGTTTTTTATTAGCTCTGCCCACAGCCCAGGGTTAACCTGGCAGCTCTCTGTGGAGTTGGCTGGCCTCTTTATTGCCACGTGCACCCACCAGCTGAGCCAAATCCCCGAATATGGAGCTATGGGTGTATAAAATCATACGTGGGTTTGGGGGCACTAGCCCTTTGCTCAAAGTAATGATGGATGCCTTAGCTTTGCAGTAATTTTAGTTGACTGGATCAGTTTTCATATGGAAATTTAATTTTCGATTTTCTTTGATTATTGCACTTAGGCATTTCAAAGGACACATTTATGTAAACCATTCTGAGTCTTTTCTAAGAAGCCAGCCCACAAACTTACCTTTTCTGTTATGGATAAAAGCAAAATCAGTTTTTTTTTTTTTTATTTAAAAACAACAGAGACATTGTAATTGTTTATATCAGTGTATTGTTTCTCCTAATTTTTATAATAATGTACTTATTGATCTCAATTATAAAGAAGTAACAATGGAGAGCTAACTCTATATATTTATATTGCGTTTTAAGGCAAAACAAACAAGCAAAAAACAGCAATCAAAAAACAGTCCATTTTACTAAGGCAAGAATCCTGGATTTATCAAAAGGAAGTAGGAGTTTCGACTCCCATCTCTACCGTATATGGCATTTCAGTTTTCTCACCTGCAAAATGGCAGCACTAGGTCTACTGTGGGGACTCAGTGAGAAAGGATGTCAAGCGTTGCGTACACGGCGAGGGCTCCGTATCTGCTACTACCTTTCTTTGACTTATCTGTACAAATTAATGATAGATTAAAGAATCCATCACTTAAACTTACTATGGTTCGTTGTCCTCCTCTGCTGTGCAGGTAATTTTTGCATCATCCAGTTTTAAAGTTTGTAAGCAGAGTTCTGTCCCATGGAGGGTACCTTTAAAAAATCAAACTGGACTGAGAAACACACCAGCAAGCAGACTCGTGCTCCAGTCTGGGCATAGCTCTTCAGCCCCCTTCTGAAAATATAAACACAAGCAGAAAACTCCCGCAGCCGCTGGAGCACTTGGATAAACACAGCAGCCCCCTCCCCGCCTCCCCTCCACCTCCCTCACCGCCTGTTTTTCCGGAAGTCTGTGAAGTTCAACAGTCTCTCCTTCAGACCTGCAGAGCAGGCAGGTTCTGCGTCCCACAGCTCCCTCCCCTGACCCTGGCCCCCGGGAGGCTAAATCTCCTCCCGGTGCAACACACTGGGGCCCTTCTGGGGTGAACTAAAGGGGACAAAGGAATTTCCCAAGCAGAAAGGACCCAAAGGTTACCTAAAGCAGCACGTCTCATCTTGGGGAGTCAGCTACTGTGAACTTGTCCGCAGGGATTTTTATAAAAGCGGTTTTATAAAATCCTTAAACTAGAAGGTGCTGGCTTCTCCTGCTGGGGGTTGGGGGTGTGCTGTCTGAGTTGTTTATCAGATGGTTTTGCCCTGGGTCAGCCATCGTTTTCACCCCATCCTTCTTGTGGTCAGTGACTGGGGTCAGGAGGTGTCTCTGGTTCTTGAGTAGTGTTTTTTCTCTTGTAAGTGAACTGGGTCCTATGAGGATTGAACCGGTGACCTCGCCTCCATTAGCACCAGGCTTTCATCACTGGAACTCACCAGCCCAGATGAACTAAACACACTCTGATGTGTGCTCTGCTGAGTTTGGAAAGCTGCTCTGTTTAAATTGCTGAGGGCCAGACCCCACGGCACACCTCAAGTTCACTCCCACACCCTCTTCTGCTGCGATTTGGGTAGCCTTGGAATTTTTATTGAATGTTCATTGTTAGGTGAAGCATGAAAAAAGAAACGCATGAGGCTATGTCCAGACATGGACGAAGAAGTGTACAAAGAGCAGCAAGTCCTTCCCCCAGCAGAGCTCAGGAGTAAAATGTAATGGGTCTGTGTGCTTTCTTCCTCTGATTTCAAAGAGCCTGCGGCTTGTAATGAGGCAAACCCTCAAAACCAGAGCATGCCCCATGCTAAAAGTATCAGGTCTTTTGATACCTGAGGGAATGAGTCCCCCCTTCTGCATGAGATGGGCTATATTATACACAGCTTGTTAAGTGTGTGACAGATCAGCTGGAGGGTAGACTTCTTGTGGGCTCCAGGCCTGCACATTGGCTAATAAACCAGCTCCATACACAAACAGCCTATTCCGGCACTCAGATGCCCTGGTTCATGTTTCAGCCTGCAGCCATTCTGAAGCCGACGTTTTCTGCAGGACGAGCAAGACCACGGCTGTGCATTTCCCTTCCAGACGCCAGCCTGCGCCAGATGTGGGGCCTTCATTTTCAGTGTAGCAAGGGTGTCTGCTGACCCCTCACCCCGTGTCTAATGAAAGATGGACTGTGCTGCGTTTTCTTATAGCAAATTCTATATTAGAAGACAGGAGATTTAAAAATTAATTCAAGATTAATTCAGGGATGACTGCACATGGAATTATTTGGCCAACTAATGAAAAATGAAATTTTCACTATAAAGAAGGAAAATTGTAGAAGTGTCCAATTTTAATCCCATTTCCCATAAAGAATTATCATGTCCCAAGACCTATCTTGGAACCCCAATTAATCACTGAAGCACCAGGCTTTCCCACACTGTCTGTGAGTGAGCACACATGAACCGTGATGCCATGTGTGTTTGCTAAAAGATTCCTGTTTGGGGGAAGGAAAACACTAATCAGCCCTATACTAAGCCTCAAGGGAAGAAACCAAAAGCAACAACAACAAAAAATAATCAAAGGAGATTTTTTAAAAATCCAGATCAAGAAAAATTTGTTAATTTTTAAGCACATGAGAAATAAATAAAAAAAAAAAACAGGAAAAATATTTTCTTATTTGAGGTCCTGTTAAATTTTAATGTCTACTAGAAACAACATAGGCCTCACTGTCTCATTGAATCAAAAGGAAAGCAACTCAGGAAAATTTGTAAATGTAAAGACCTTTTTGATGGCGGTGGGATTGTGGTTAACTCTAATTAAAAAACATACATGCTAATTGAATCGACAAGAATTAGGTCCTAGCCTCAAATTGAGAGGTGTATTGGAGAAAAATATACATTTTTAAAAACAAAGGTATTACCCATCTAAGGCATATGCTACCCAAATGAATAATCACGTAATAAAATCACCCTGGGGTGGTTGTGCTATATTTTGAAATATTAAAAGCTGAACTTTCTCTGCACATCTCCCAGCTTCAAAAAGCAGAATGCATCTGGACAGCTTTTTATGGCTTTCATTTTCTTCTCCTCCAGTTTTATAGGCGAATGCACATTTGAGAGAGGATATACGTTAAGCAGTAGACTAAACTTCAATAATGCATTTTGTTTAATGCCCTGTTTGGTCTGATCATTTCCTGAAAACTACTCAACGTGGTCCCTTACTTTCTAAGCACAGACAAAAAAAAATCAGGCAAGTTATGGAGGGACTTTGAAAGAAATGGAATGGAATGGAATTGAATGTGTTTTCTGAGCAGTCCACAGTACATTACAGGGCCCAACAATTATGAAACTAGCAATGAGTCCTCACACTCCTGCTATGTGCAAATTAGATGGGCCACCGACAAGGCAAGATGGAAATTTTGCCAGATCAGGTGTTTTCATCCTTGGGGAAAGAGCCCTCATTTACATAGCGCTCCCCCTCCCAGTCCATCTTGTGCCTCTCTGGGGCTGGTTACCTCATTAAAGGAAACTTTCAAAGGGACTGCTGTCTGCTGTGGTTGATGGCTTTTTTTTTTTCTTTTGCTGAATCAGCAGGCTTGATGTTGAATCAATTTCTATTACCTTTACCTTTTGAAAGCAAGAAAATATGGTTAGCTGAACAACACCTTTAATTTGCAGAATATGTGAAGACAGAGGTAAGAGAAGCCAGCTCTCAGAGAGAAAGCTTTTATTTGTAGAAGAGATTGGTGCTGAGTTTACATTTCCTCACTTTATTGTAGTTATTATTACAGTTTTTTCCCCATTCATATTTCCAAAATGGTGTAGGAGATTGAAGATCACATAGAGTAGTGGTTTTTAAGACTTCCAAAACAGCCATTACTCCCAACACAGAAAACATGAAAATGGCGATGGGGCCTCATGCCTCTCTGGGATTTGGCATAGGGGAGATTCAAGCCCAGCTTCCCCATTCTGTAGAGGGAAGGCACCACTCACACTGCTCTGCATGTCCGGAGTCAGGTGGCTTTGCCCAGGTCACTTCTATCAGGGGTCAGGAAAGAACGTAGCATCCCTTCCTGGAGTTAGGAGCACAGGACGAGGAACAGGGTTGGTGAGAGGGAAGATGGCATTCTGTTTGGAGCACATGGAATTTGAAGTGCCTTTGAGACATCAGGTGAACAGGCTTAACTACAGAGTTGGATGTAAGAGGCAAAGACTTAGAAGAGGTTGGGTGGGTGACTCATGGGTAGGAACTGAAGTCATCAAAGTGAATGACGACCACCAGGAAGAGTGTTGTGGAGAAAGAAGAGGAATGAAGGAGGAACCCCAGAATATCCACAATATAATGTTTTGGCAGGGGAGACTAAGAAGGTGTAGCCAAGCAGCAGTATAAAACCAGAATTTCATGGTTTCAAAGAGCCACAGCAGAGCAGGTTCAAGAACAAGCCAGGGCTGGGCGCAGTGGCTCACACCTATAATCCCAGCATTTTGGTAGGCTGAGGGGGGTGGATCATCTGAGGTCAGGGATTCGAGACCAACCTTACCAATATGGTGAAACCCTGTCTCTACTAAAAATGCAAAAAATATTAGCTGGGTGTGGTGGCGTGCACCTGTAGTCCCAGCTACATGGGAGGCTGAGACAGGAGAATTGCTTGAACCTAGGAGGCAGAGGTTGCAGTCAGCCGAGATGGCACCGCTGGACACTCCTCTCCAGCCTGGATGACAGAATGAGACTCCGCCTTAAAAAAAAAAAAAGAAAAAAAAAAAACAGCAGCAGCCAGTAAGAAAAGAAGGTGGGCAAGTCAGCAGCCCACAGTGGGGCACCTCCTTCATGAGAATGATGAGGGTGCTGTTTGTGGACAGCCAGTTGGATTCTTGGTTTGAGGATTACCTGACTTTGAGCACCTTGGCCGTATGCTTGTTCAAAATTGAAACAATCCAGGAATTTTTAGCACTTTTATTAGAAATAGACAACGATCACATGAAACTTTGAGCTCCCAAAGGGAATGACCATATTTTTCAAAAATCTGGGGAAGGACCATATTTTTCAAAATTGCCCAGAAATTTTTCTCTCCACTCCTAGCAACAATGTAGTGTTGAGAACACGTGAACTGAAGGACGTCTTCTTCTTCTTTTTCTCTCTCTAGCGGATGTGCAAAGCCCTGCCTTTCTACATAAGCTGATAGCTCTTTGGAGGGAGAGACTATATGAAAAGAGTTCTCTTATGAAATCCTCAGAATTTTTCTGGTCACAAAACAAGGACTCTAAAAATTTCCTTTAAATTGAATGTATGGTTCATTCAGAATAATTGATGATAATGTACAAGGCTAGAACAACAAACAGAATGTTGGAGATAGGATCTGTGATTATTATCAGATGATTAGATTTCTCCAGGTTCTACCTTCAACGAACATCCAGCTACCCAGAGCATGAGCATTGTAGTTAAGAGTGCCCCATAGCCAACAGGCATCAGACAAGAAGGCCAGGTGGAAGCCAGCTGTTGTAAGGTCCGGCCCCCTGGGGCACCTTCCCTTCCACATTTCTAATGCCCCAGCCCCTGACGTCTGGGCCTGTGAGGTTTTCTGAAAAATATGAATGGCTTGTATTTTAAGAGTGGCTCAATTAAGATGTTTGTCAAACCTCTTATCAGCATGATTTGGTAGAAAGAGCACCTGATTTAGAATAAGAAAACTTTAACTGATTTTTTAAAAACTTTTATTTTAGTTTCAGGAGTACATGTGCAAGTTTGTTCTATAGGTAAATTGCATGTCATGGAGGTTTGGTGTACAGATTATTTTGTCATCCAGGTAATAAGCATGGCACCTGGTAGGTCGTTTTTCCATCCTCTCCCTCCTCCCCACCTTCCCCCTCAAGTATGCCCTCATGTCTGTTGTTCCCTTCGTCATGAAGATCTACATTTCAATCCCCATTTTACCCAGGAATGTAAAATCCAGCAAGTCCATTTATCTCTTTGAGATGTAATTTAGTTTTCTATTAGATGGTGATGATTATACCTATTTCTTGATGTCTTTGTGAGGATCAAATATGATAATATGTATGAAAATTCTTCGTACGTGATAAATGTTAGTGGTTCCTCAAATGTGCCAAATGTGGGCAAGGAGTTTAAGATCTCACTTTCCCCACCTTTCACTCTAAAATGGGAGCTAATGTTCATTTCAGTTCAGAGGGAACTTGGTGTGTTCACAGAGCTAAGGATGGAATTTGTGGTGTGAAAAATAAGGATGCCTTGATTCTCTTTTGCACAAAATATGTCCATTGTAGATTGCTCCTTTTTCTTCTGAACCCTGTCTCCTTTCTCTCTCTCTTTTCTGGAATTTCTCCTGCTTGGAAGAGGGTCATTACCCTAGAAAAGCTAAGTGGGACCAGGCCTGTGCTCAGGGTAGAGAAGGCGGGAAGCTTCTTGGGATTTAGAATTGAAACCTGAATTAAGGGAACAGCATGGAGTCCCTTTTACAGCATCTTGGTCCTTTCTGCAGATCAGCTCTGTTATATTCTTTTTACCAAAGATCCTTCCTTATTTGCTCCTTGTTTCTTCTTCCTTATAATTGAGGCAAACATATTGGAGTCATTTTCTCTCCGGCCCTGATTCGATGTGACCTTCTAGCTGCAATACCCAACCAGTAACTAATCACTTTGTTCTTTTTTTTTTTTTTTTTTACATCAAGTTCCAAAGAGCTGCTCTGCCTATTTTTCTTTCCATGTTAGACCACGAGACACCATCAGATCTTGGGTCCTGCCAGCCCACTCCAGTCTAGTCCGTTGTGATTGGGATTAGATGGAGAAATCTGATATTTTAAAAGTGACTTTTAGGGGCAGCAGAGATTATGGACAAAGCAGCTGTTCTCCAGGGGAGTGTGGGATGATAGGTTGTGATTGGCATCACTGGTGCAACAGCAAGCAGTAACAAGTGAAATAAATGCTGGCTGTTATCACAACATTCAAATATGTATACAATATTGTCGGTTTCATACCAACAGGGTTTTAGCTACTGTGTTAAGATGTTGTGAAAACCAACTATAAATTAGCCATTGGTATTTTGGAAATTAACATTGTATTGGGGAAGGAATGAAAGCATGCCAGTAAGTAATTAATAATAAATAATAGTAAACCGGCCGGGCGCCGTGACTCACGCCTGTAATACCAGCACTTTGAGAGGCCGAGGCGGGTGGATCACCTGAGGTCAGGAGTTCAAGACCAGCCTGACCAACATGCTGAAACCCCATCTCTACTAAAAACTCAAAATTAGCCGGGTGTGGTGGCACATGCCTGTAATCCCAGCTACTCGGGAGGCTGAAGCAGGAGAAGCACTTGAACAGGGAGGCAGAGGTTGCAGTGAGCAGAGATCAAGCCATTGCACTCCGGCCTGGATGACAGAGGGAGACTCTGTCTCAAATAAATGAATAAATTATAGTAAATCAATAAATAGACCTAATTCTTAAGGTAAAATTGTTTTCTAGTGTCTCACTTTCTCCTGGCTTACCTTGTTAGCTTTTCATGTCAGTACTTTCAGGAAGATAGTGTGGTTGTTTTACAGAGGAGAACATAAAGTTCCAGTTTTAAAGAGTGGCTTATGGTTCCAGAGCTTGTCAGGCTCTACCAGGCTTGTCCAACCCACAGCACACGGGCTGCTTGCAGCCCAGGATGGCTTTCAATGAGGCTCAACACAAATTTATAAACTTTCTTAAAACAGTGTGAGTTTTTTGTGATTTATTTTTCTCATCAGCTATGTTATGATCATCTATTTTAAAATCATCAGTATTTTATGTGTGGCCCAAGGCAATTCTTCTTACAATGTGGCCCAGGGAAGCCAAAAGGTTTGGACATCCCTGCCAGTGGTCTTTCCACAGTGTCCTGATGTAGGACAGGCACCACATCCTTCTGAATCCTTCCATCCTCAGCGAGGGCCACAGAAGACCTTTCACTGGTCATACACAGAGTGGGAATAAGGACATTTTGCAGGATTTGAGACCTCATCATTTTCAGGAGAAGAACAGAGTTTTGTGAAGTGGAGAGAAGCACCAAGGTGAGTTACCCTCATGTTAGGAAATGCAGGAAATGGTTCAGGTTAGGCAGCTGCAGTGAGCAAAATTCCGAAAAGCATGAACTTCTCATTGGTATCATCTTCGTCATATGTGACCTAGGAAGGCCAACAGACCTAAGATGGAGCTGGACTGGTCAGGGGAGTTGCTTCAAAGTAAACACCAAAAGCTGGATGTGGTGGCTCACAGCACTCTGGGAGGCTGAGGTAGGAGGATTCCTTGAGCCCAGAAGTTAGAGACAAGCCTGAACAACACAGTAAGTCCTGCCTCAACAAAAAAAATCAAAAAATTAACTAGATATGGTGCCTCTAGTCCTAGAAACTTGAGAGGTTGAGGTGGGAGAGTCACTTGAGCCCAGGAGGTGGAGACTGCATTGAGCCATGATTGCACCACTGCACTCCAGCCTAGAAGAAAAGATAGAACAAGTTCCTGTCTCAAAAAACAAAACAAACAAACAAGAACAAACAAACAAACAAACAAACAGGCACAGTGGCTCATGCATGTAATCCCAGCACTTTGGGAGGCCGAGGTAGGAGAATCACTTGAGGTCAGGAGTTCTAGACCAGCCTAGCCAACATGGAGAAACCACATCTCTACTAAAAATACAAAAATTAGCCAGGCATGGTGACTCATGCCTGTAGTCCCAGCTATTCGGGACTCGGGGTCGGGTGGGGGCATCTGAGGCATGAGAATTGCTTGAATCCAGGAGATGGAGGTTGCAGTGAGCTGAGATCCCACCACTGCAACCAGCCTGGGCGACAGAGGGAGATTCCGTCAAAAAAAAAAAAAAAAATCCAAACAAACAAACCATAAAACAAAACAAAAACAGCACAAACAACAGCAACAAAAAGCAAAATAAGTAATCTTTATTCAACTATGGATTAGGATGGTGAACATAAGAACAGTAGGGCATTGCTATCCCTGAGTTGCTAATTTTTGTTGTCTAACAAGATATTAATAAATAATGTCTTATTTATTTGTGGATATGACACTCACGACTTGTGGCAATCATATTGAAGTTTATGTCCGGCTTTATCGTGTGGTTTAAACACGTAGGATTTTGTTTTGTTTATGCATTCGTTGAATAATGTTATTAGGCACTAACTACTTCCTAGGTGCTGGGAACCCAAAGTTGAGCAGACCAGGTTGGTATCTGCAGGAGCTTACATTGTCTCTGTGTTAGGACAGGGGAAACATCACCCTTTAAGTTCCACTTCTGGCCATATGACCCAGGGCCAACTGATCCTTGGTTTCCTCATCCATAAAATGGGAGCATTAGTACTTACCTTATTCATAAAGTTGTTCTGAGGATGAAATGAGATGATACTTAAAAAGCTAAAGCAGCTAAAGCCTGGCTTGTGGTCAGAGATCATGTCACACCCCCCTAAATCAACAGTAACTGACACAGTGACCGACATATAGCAGACATGCAATAAATATTAGATCCTTTCTTTTATTCCCCACTCAATGTCATATTCTTTTTTTGAAACACAGTCTCACTCTTTTACCTAGGCTGGAGTGGAGTGGCGCCGTCTTGGCTCACTATAACCTCCACCTCCCAGGTTCAAGGGATTCTCATGCCTCAGCCTCCCAAGTAGCTGGGATTACAGGTGCGCACTACCACTCTGGCTAATTTTTGTATTTTTAGTAGAGATGGGGTTTCTCCATGTTGGCCAGGCTGGTCTCAAGCTCCTGACCTGAACTGATCTTCCCGCTTAGGCCTCCCAAAGTGCTAGGATTACAGGAGACGTTACATTCTTTTAATCCTTCCCAAGAGGACATTGCCTTTTTCTTCAGTCTTACTGAATTGCTGGCCCATGCATCTCATAGTTGAGGAAATCCTTCTCTACTCTAACTGCATTTTCCCAGGATGTCTGCATTCTGTATTTTGAAATTAAATGGGCTCCTCTTTTGCATACAGCTTTAACATCATAAATGTTATTGCTGAAATTTATTCCGTATATTTATTGGCCTTTTTTTTTCATTAGTCACATTGGACAATTTGAAGTTACTGCTATTGCCTAGGTAATTACTTCCCAAAAGAACTTTCTGGAATGAGAAAATGTCCTATACCTGTACAGACAATGCAGCTATTGAACATGTGGTTCTTGACCACTTCAAATGCAGCTGATGCCACTGAGGACGTAAACTGTCACTTTGGTTTAAGTTTTAATTTTAATAATCCCATGTGGCTAATAGCTATATATTGTACACTGCAACTTTAAAATTATTAAGATCCCCACTTAATCAGAAACCACCTAAAAATGTTTAATTACATAGATATTAGGACTAATTCCTAATATCCACACAGTATATGCTACTTGCTGTTACCTCCTCCTAAATGAACACATACACAGGACTCTAACCGCAGGCTGTGCATCTACCACCTGCACGCAGCAACGGGAACCCAGTGGCACTTCCTGGTGTGGACATGACATGCTCCACTGTGCTCAGTGATCTAGACACAAGACAACTACTGCTTTTCAGTATAATGCTTCTGAAAACTGGTTTCCATAAGAGGAAAATTTTTTTGTCCATGTCTTGCTTCAGGTAAAGAGAATGAGAAATGAATACTCCATTTGGGACTTAGGCTAAGGCCGGTGAGCAGGCTGGAGGAAGGAGGGCCTAGCGGTGGTTTCTGGGAAGCCACAGCATCATCTGATATCGCAGACTCATGGGTGAATTGCTGCGATCCCAGCCGGCCAGAGTATTGCCTGCCATCTGGTAGCAGTTGGATAGAGAGTTCAAGCTGATGAAGCCGAGCCAGACAGCTGGTATCAGATATTAGAAAATGTTCAACTCAAACTCCAGAGTAGCTTTTTGAGCAAAGCTGGTCCTGAGCCTGCGATTCTGGGACGGGACACTAAAGTCTCCTTTATAAAGCTGACTAAGCAGGTGGGATTTTCTGAATGTGTAACTAAATGTTTAAGACCCTCTTTATGTGCTCATGAGGGAGTGCGTGGCACATCCATTCTTAAGCCAGCCAGGTTGTGGTCAAACACTGTGTTGTCTCACAAATCACCATTCTATTTTTTTTCCCAATATGATTTGGATAATCCTTTCTCTAACAGCACATCTCAGAATTAATTGTGAAACATCCAGCTATGATCCCTCATAATTATAATGGAAAACTGAGGAGAAATGACCATCAGAAACAATCCTCATCTGATCCTGGTGCAGTTTAAAGATGGACTATAAGCCTAAGGGATTGTGTAAAAAGTATAGGAATAGATGCACTGCCCGACAGGGCTAGCGTGTCAAAGCTGCTCAGCGGAGCCAAGCCTCGTGTCCACTGGTTCACATTGACAGTTTCCATTGCTGAAGGAGTGAGGGATAACGAGCCACTTCCTCTCTCTCCCATCCCCAATTTGGCTGCCGGGCATGTGGAGGAGGATGGAGATAAGTAAAGAAAACTCTGGGAACTCCTTTTAGGTCAGAAGGGCTGCAAGAGAGACCCTCGGATGGCCAGAGAGGGAAGCCCACTCAAAGTTAGTAACAAGACGTGCTGCTCACAAGGTACTGTCTAGTGTGCATTCACTGAAGGACAGTCTCCCTAATGATGGCCTGTGAATATCATGTTTCTGGGGTGGTAGGAAACCCTGAACAGCCTTGTGTCTCTAATGTTTACAATGGAAGCACCATTACCCTAATGCCAGAAGCCCATCCTCCAAAACAGACATGGAAGTTGTACAGCCTCTTATGATGCTCTGACACCATAAACGGTTTTGCAAAATGGGCACAGGTCACTGACCTGCAAACAAAATTTTGTCTATTAAAAATGGCAGTTCCCAAGTTCAGATGTAAAGAAAAGAGCTATCATTGTCTTTTCTTCCTGTCAGTGTTTGGCATGAGTTATTAAACCATGTCCTGGAAAGAAGCCAAGGGTGCATGTGATTAAAGTGAACCCCTGAAGAAGTGTCAATTTTTCAGTGTGATATCACACGCATGCAGATGCAAATCCACGTCTGGCAGGCTCCGCGGCAAGAAGAACGCTCTTCAGAAGGTAAGTATGTGTAAGACACTTCTTGATAACCCAGATTTCTAGCTGATAAGGAACTGAGAAGATGTGTTTCCCCCCAGAAGGTGGTTTCCATCTGGCCCATGTTGAAAAGACATTAGCGGGAGGACCTCACTGCCAGAAGACATCGCGGCAGGAAGTGCAGCCCTGCTAATTTATGAGGGTCCCACACCTTAGAACTGTGGGCCAGGCCGGGCTTGGCCCTTTCTCACCCAGCATGGTCTCTCAGGCCAGGGGCTGGAAAGTTTCCAAACCTCTTAATTGATTGCTTTCTCTGATCAAAAGCCTTGAAATACCGGAGTTTCCAGCATCTTTTGGTAGCTCTGTTCTGATTCCAAATTGGCTCTTGAATTACATGAATGATAATTTTGTTCCAAGCTTAGATCCATAAGGGATTCTAATCTTGGGATATTTTGGAACACACAGTGGGTTTTAGTAGGTAGTTTTATTTCAGAAGCACCCGAGTGAAGTATAATGAGCTTAATAGCACCGGGTTGCTGCTAGTTTTGGAAAGCGTTCTAATGTAGAGTGAGTGGAGAGCCCTCTGATTATTTGAATATAAGTGGAAAAACGAATTTACAAGACACAGAGGACAAGAAATCTTAAGTGGGCAACAGAATATTCAAAATGAGATTAAAATACTTAGGAATCCTTCAGTGAATTCATGCTAGACAGTGCCTTGTGAGCAACACGTTTTGTTACTAATATTGGGTTGGCTTCCCTCTCTGGCCATCCGAGGGTCTCTCTTGCAGCCCTTCTGACCTAAAGGAGTTTCCAGAGTCTTCTTTACTTATCTCCATCCTCCTCCACATGCCCTGCAGCGAAAGTGGGGATGGGAGAGTGAGGAAGTGGCTGGCTGTCCCTCACTCCTTCAGCAATGGAAGCTGTCAATGTGAACCAGTGGACACGGGTCTGGGCTCAGCTGAGCAGCTTTGACACGCTAGCCCTGTCAGGCAATGCATCTTTTCCTGTACTTTTTATACAATCCTTTAGGCTTATAGTCCATCTTCTTTTAACTGCACCATGATCAGATGACGAGTATATACTGTGACATTGCTTTGGTTGCAAGTGTGTCCTTCTGGGCAGAGAGAACTTGATACTTGGAGAAACGGTGACACAGCATGAGGGAAACTCAGGTAAAATTCAGCACCAACATCAGGGAGAGCCAGTGTGTCCCCAGTGCTCAGACATTCACTGGAACTTTTCTTGGTGTCCCGGAATTTCTATTGAGGACTTCATGTTGAGGTGGACGGGTAATAAAGCTCCCCACATCCCTACAGAGCTTGCCAACAGGTGTTCAGAGCAGTCAGCCGGATTACCCCCACCTTTAGTCTACTTAAGAGAATTTTAAAAATTCATCAGAAATAAAATTTTTGAGACGTATGAGTATACAGCGTTATGTTGGATCTGGTCCCTTCTTCTCGGGCAAACTGAAGCCATGTCACAACATCCGTCTGTTAAGGTTGGGATTGTCGGCCAGAAGGTGAAACTGATCTCTCAGTGTTCTCGCACCCAACCCACTCCCTGCCTCGATGGCTGCTGAGCTACAGAAACTCACAGACCCTCCAGACTTGAGCACGAAATTCTCAGGAGAACCTGACGTGTCCAGAGTCTGGGGACAGAAATGTTAATCGCAGACTCCAAGCTGGAGAGATGTGAAGGTGGGTATTCTGGGTGGGGGACTCCCACAGGGCATAGGGCAGGCAGAGCATCAGGTGAGGGCTTCCACCCCAGAGTTTTCAGGGCACGTGCCACACAGGCCCTGTGGATTCAGGACAAATAAACCCTCTAGAAATTCAGATAATTGAACAGACTATTAAGAAGAAATGATAGGCCAGGAGTGGTGACTCACACCTGTAATCCCAGCACTTTGGGAGGCCGAGGCAGGCAGATCACACAGTCAGGAGATCAAGACCATCCTGGCTGACACGGTGAAACCCGGTCTCTATTAAAATACAAAAAAATTAGCCAGATGTGGGGACAGGTGCCAGTAGTCCCAACTACTCGGAAGGCTGAGGCAGGAGAATCATCGTGTGAACCCGGGAGGCGGAGCTTGCAGTGAGCTGAGATTGCGCCACTGCACTCCAGCCTGGGAGACAGAGCAAGACTCCATCTCAAAAAAAAAAAAAAAAGAAGAAATGGTAGAATTCCAGGAACACTGGAATTTTCTGTATGAATTTTTAATACGTCTCTCACCAAAACTGACTAAACAACAACGACAACCACAAAAATGTAAAAATGGCAAAGAAAGATCAGGAGCGGAGGACTAGGGAAGGCTGATGTCATAGCACAGACACTGAGGAGTGTTCACCAAAAGCAGTCAGATGAAGAAATACAGACACAAGTCCATTCCTCAAGAGACTAATGTTATAAAATAAAAAATAGATGAATGAAATTCTGAAAAAGTCTCTTTCAGGGACAAAGCCTGCCAATGCAGGGGCCCAGGGTTGGGCCTGGGGATCCTGCGTGGAGCTCCTGTCTCTCCTGTGGGTGACGGCACCTGGTACAGCAGCAGTAGCAGACCGGAGGGAACTGTGAGGCCACAAGGCAGAGCTCTGTTTGCTGACAGCAGAGTGGATCCATTCTGATATCTGAGAAATGTATCCGCTGGGTGCCATGGCTCACGCCTGTAATCCCAGCCCTTCGGGAGGACGAGGCAAGTGGATCACTTGAGGTCAGGAGTTCAAGACCCGCTCGGCCAACATGATGAAACCCCCATCTCTACTAAAAGTACAAAAATTAGCCAGGCGTGGTGGCACACACCAGTAATCCCAGCTACTAGAGAGTCTGAGGCAGGAGAATCACTTGAACCCAGGAGGCAGAGGCTGCAGTGACCTGGAATCATGTCACTGTACTCTAACCTGGGCACAGAGCAAGATTTTCTCAAAAAACAAATTAAATTAAAATTAAATTAAAGAAGAAAAATACATCCAACCCAAGGAGAGGGAATGTTGAAGGCTGAACGGCCTATGGTAGGAAAAATGGGGCATTTTTCAAAAACCTTTTTCTTCAAAACTAAAAACCAGTAGTAACTGAAGCAACAGGAAACTCACACTGTAGCATCAAAGAGCCCTTAAAACCCAGGACTTCTACTCATCCCACAGCCTGTGAGCCTAAATTGAGGGAATAGGCAAATCTATGGGGAACGCCCATGGCAGACTGGGCTGTGCCTCTCCAGTGCAGGGGGCGAGGCGAGAACTCTGAATAGGAGGGAGGAGACCCCCAAATCTTCTCTCAGAACCTGGCACCCATTCCGCCTCCCTAAAGCACCTGCGTTCATGAGCAGGCAACTTAGACATGGTCACTCAGAGCTCCAGGCAATGGCAAGGGGAGGGTACACATGACATCCAGGCAGGTGCGGACAGGAGGGCCCGGACACCATTTGACCTACATTACTTTGGGGCCAGTTGGTGGTCGAAAATGAATTGCCTCCTTTCAAAGATAAATAAACAACTAGGAACAGAAATAGAGGAAAATAACCATAACAAGCAGAATATGTTCGCGGAATGTTTTGGAAGATTTACATCAGGAAACAACTATTTTATCAAAACAGCACATCTTTGAGAACGTAAAAAAAATCTGAAATAAAAAATTATTTGCTGACAAATTCTGAAATACAAAGAAAATAAAGGAGAAAGGTAATATTGCAGCAGTAAGTGAGAATTTAAGATCACCTAAGTTATTAATGGCATGTGAAGTCAATAAAAATAAATTTACAAATATGCAGTCTCAGGTGGCTCATGTTCTCGCTCCCTTTCTTCCCTGGAAGTTATGTGAGGACATAATTGGAATAAATAACCCATATATGGGAAGGCTTTGGTATAAGACCAGGCAATAAGGTTAAAAATAAATGAAATTAAATTCAAATAAACAATTATTATGTTTTCTAAATATGTCAATATTATCCTTTATGAAAGAAAACCACAGTAAGGTGGATGCCACCTAAGTGTGCATTAATTGGATGCAGCTATATATGCTTGGGCCCCCTAAAAAAGTGATGGAGCAGAACTTAAATAGTGCCATTAATTTAGCCTGCCATCCCACTCAAGGCATATGTCCTAGCAACCAATGAGATGAAAGGCACTTCTGTGGTCCCCTTAGAGGGGCTCATGTCCCATGCACTTCCCGGAGTGGGAGCAGCTGTCTGCATTGTGGTTCAAGGGCTTACAGATCTCCACTTTGTTACACTGGGGTCCCTAATAGCAGGCCATTTACTTTATCTGATACTGAACCACATAAACAGCTATTTTTTTCAACATTTCATACCAAAAGCTGAACTTGTTAATCTTATCAAAAGGCTTTATCATAAAGCCTTCAGTAGTGTGTCTCCTTAGGAATTTTCAAGGGTAATTTTGACTATAAATGCTTTTTATCTTTTCCATGATATTTGAAATCAAATCCCTCATAAAATATAGTTCTGCAAAATACCTGTAGTAGACTAGGAAAAAGATTCAAAAACTTAACTGCCAAACTTGGGCTATGAAGTGGGAGACGTGTAGATATCCTAATATAATTTGCTTTTATAAAATGAATAAATATTCCTTTGCTTAATGTTGGCTTTTCACTAGTATAAATAAAAACAGATTATTTCCTCAAAGTAAATGGGGCAAAAACCAAAATCCAAAACACAAGATCATGCAGCAACTAATTAAAAGCAACAGTAACCAAAAATAAAAACAAACAATTGTAGGAACAAGAAAAACATGAAAACATAATTTGGACTTAAAAAATTGGGATCACGAGCCAGTATGTACTGAGAAGAAGGCTAAAAATTGTATTCAGGTATGCACCCAGTTATTTATATTGATTAACTCAGGTGACAAAATGTTTGGAAGGTTTTATTTTATTATTGAAACTTTTGTTTCAGATTTTTTAAAGAGAAACACGTATTATTTGTGTGTGTGTGATTAGATCCAACAACAAAGTTATTTCATTTAGTCCCATACACTTTCTACCATGAATATCTAGTCTTGGACGATGACTTCCAAGGGTAAGAGTGGGAAACCTTAGGCTCCACATAACCTTCAGTCTTTGGAGAAACGTCTGGTGACGTTCAGAATCTGTACTCTTTTAGTTAACATGGAAAGTACACCAATGACTATTATCAAAAAATTTTACATCAATAAAGTTGTTTTTTTTTGTTTTGTTTTTGTTTTGTTTTTTTTGAATTGGAGTTTTGCTCTGTCACCCAGGCTGGAGTGCAGTGGAACAATCTTGGCTCAATGCAACATCCACCTCCTGGATACAAGTGATTCTCCTGCCACAGCCTCCTCAATAGCTGGGATTACAGACGCACACCACCATGCCTGGTTAATTTTTGTGTTTTTAGTAGAGATGGGGCTTCACCATGTTAGCCAGGCTGGTCTCGACCTCCTGAGCTCAAGTGATCCGCCTGCCTTGGCCTCCCAAAGTGCTGGGATTACAGGCATGAGCAACCTCACCTGGCCTTCATCATAAAGTTTTGATTAATTTCCTGATCATGCAGAATGTTAAATTAATCAGTGTCCCACTCTTAACATATTCCAATCAATTGATCAGCTAAAATTTCAAGGCTCTTCTTGGATACATAAAAACGTCTCCCTTCTCTTTTCCCTTCCTACTTCTCTCTTTTCTCTGTTACATAAACTTGGATCTCTGTAAAGATTTGAGATATCTTGTGGTTTCTTTCCATGAAAATCTTGCTGTCTTACCAAAGTTATGGAAACAATGTAATTATCAGTATGTATTTTTGGACATACTCCCTATTTTCTCTTATTTCATAAGCTGTTGATTCTGGTTTTGCTTAGGCCCAAGTGATAAAGATTTTTTTTCCATCTCAACAAGTAAAAAGTGCTATAATTAATGGTTCTTCTCCAGGAACAGAGCAAAGAAATTGTCTCAACTGGCTTGGAATAAATACAAAATAGAGAATAACTTTGGTTAACTTTGGTAGTGGGGAGCATTCAGTGAATATCTGTCTTATCAGTTCTCTGACTATACTGATGGTTCCTTTCCCTTCACTCCATACACATGGTTCCTTTCCTTTAAAAAGAAAAGCACTTTAGATTTAAGAACTCCTCGGTATCAGAATTTGTTGTGCTAATTTTATATTTCATGCCATAAAACTCATGTTCTATACATCAAAGCTTTATGTCTACTTTAAATTAGAATTTACTATTTGGCATTTAATGGAGGCCAAAGAAATATATCTGTGAAATTAGGCTAAGATATTAGTAATTATCTTGCCAAAGTCAAAAGTCAAGACAGTTGCCTGCGTATTTTAATATTAAGTACTAATTTTGGTGATGTAATATGCATATTTGATTAACTATTATACATGTGATATATTGGATTTCATCAGGGCCATATTTGCAGCATTGGTGGACAGAAACGAGTTGAGCTCCAGCTACTAGCCCTGTTGTTTTCAGGTATGAATGAAGACAAATTACCTACTATTACGAATGACCTTTAATGATATGCTGATGACATAAAAATAAAGATTATTTATCTATCCATATCTATATCTATATCTACATATTATGATTATATAAAATTGTAGTCTATCTATATATACTATAGATATAGATATATAGATTTTTTTTTTTTTTTGAGACGGAGTCTCACTCTGTTGCCTAGGCTGGAGTGCCATGGTGCGATCTCGGCTCACTGCAACCACCGCCTCTCGGGTTCAAGCAGTTCTCCTGTCTCAGCCTCCCAACTAGCTGGGATTACAGGCATGCACCACCACACCCGGCTAATTTTTGTGTTTTCAGTAGAGATGGGGTTTCACCATGTTGGCCAGGCTGGTCTCGAACTCCTGACCTCAGGTGATTTACCCACCTTGGCCTCCCAAAATGCTGGGATTACAGGCATAAGCCATCATGCCCCACCAAGATAATAAATATTAATCCACTTTGTGGTCCTCTTTCCTTTTTGTTGCTGACATTTCAGCCTGATTTCTTATGCTGCCTTAAATGTAAATAACTGAAGCTCGGCTCCCCAATTGTTTATTTTGGGAAAAAGATGGAAACTAATGCAATGGTGTGAAGCTGGGGTCTTCAGGAGCCGCTCTAGCCACGAAAGAACGACTTGGGGGCTTCACCTTTCCTGATTAGGGTCATGAAACGGGATTGTCCAGGAGGCAGAGAGGTTTCCATGAGACTGTCCTGTGGCTGAGCCTGCTGGTTCCTATCACTCAGGAGTATTGGCAGCCTCCCTCGCTGCTCGAACTGAGACCAGCAGCTGCTCTAAGTGAGCAGTGATGAGTTGGCCCCTGTGCAATTGAGATGGAGACTGTCACCTTCACACTGTGACGACAGCTCACAAAGCCTCAGTGAGAGAAATCTCAGCCTCTTCCTCATCAAATCATCTCATCTCTCTCCCTTTTCAAGAATGTAAGTCAAAGCCTGTTTTCATTAACATACAACATTAAAACAGCAACCATAGCAAAAATTATAGTTTATTTTCAGTGCCAACAATCCACTACCTTTAAAGGAAAAAAAAATAGATATCTGGATGGCATGATCCACTGGGACACCATCAAATGTTGGATGCATCAAACAAAAACAATAAAAACAAAAACAAAAACAAAACAAACCAGGGAAGAAAATCAAACTAATTTGAAAAATCACAACAGAAAATGTTCTGCTAAGGTGGATTGTGAATAATTACCTTTATAAAATTATCCTACAACTTCCAGAAGCCAAAATGTTCCTATTTTCACTATTCTTTCTTTCTTTCGGAAATATAGTTAACTAAATATAAACATGGCCAGATCACTGCAAAAGTTCAAATTTTACGATTCGGGCTCCAACAAACATGATAAAATAATTAAAGAAATGGCTTTGAAAACTCTGCTGACTTTTAACGTAAAGAATGTTTCGGAATGGTTAATGATTTCTAATAGATCATATTCATAAAAGCTGCCTTTGCAGCACATAAAGCACCTTCCATTTGGAAGCATGAGTCACAGCTACTCTGAGGTCAGCCGCTCTTTATTGCCAGTGTCAGGAGTTCTCTGGGGGCCGTGCTGCTGTGCTGGAAACAATCACAGAGCAGGCTTGATTTCAAGACTGTTCACCATTTGACTTCTCCTCAGAGACTGCCAGAAATAGTAGCAAGGAGAGCTTAAAATGATGACAGTTTGAAGGGACTGGTACACTCTTGGGTTAGGCCCTGGATGGGGATGATTAATGCTTAGCACACAAACCCTGAAGCAAGCAGAGGGAAGCGAGCTTTAGCTGTCCCTAACTGTTCATTCACTCTTTCAACAAAAATGCATCGAGCACTACTGCATGCCCAGCAAGGACCTTGACTGTGGGAGCGCAGCAGTGAGCAAAGCAAGGAGGCTTTCTCGCCTCATGGAGCTGAGCTTCCTGTGGGGAAGGAAGAAATGAGCAGTCAGGCTGCAGCATGGCGGGCAAGGAAGGAAACACAAATAAACGCAAGGCAAGAGACGGAGGGAGGACAGAGGGCAGGAGCTGCTGTGTGTGTCACTATAGACGGGCCATGGAGCAAGTGCTTGAAGGAAGATATGCATCCAGTGATGCAGATATCTGGGGGCTGGAGGGACATCTGGTGATGCAGGTGACTGCAGAAAGAGGGGTCTGGGCAGAGGAAAGAGTAAGTGTCCTGAAGTGCAAGCATTGGATCTTAGAAATAAGTGTATGGATTTAGAAATAAGAAATATTACTCAATGTTGGAGAGCCCTAAAGCTTGGTTCTCAGATCTCTTCCCTTTTCTGTAAACAACCCCTTCAGGGTTAATAGTCCCAGATCGTGACTTTCAATACAAGTATATTGAACAGCTGAATTCATATTTCTAGCTACACGTCTCCTTCGAACTCCACTGCCCACCTTATGTCTCCACCTGGAACTCAAGCAGGCATGCGCCCAAACCTGCTGCTCCAGCGTTTTTCTCAGGCCTGTAAATGTTGTTATGAGTTGAATTATGTCCTCTCCAAACATTCATACATGAAAGTGCTAATCTCTAGTCCCTCAGAGTGAATATAGGGTTGTTGCAGACATAATTAGTTAAGTCAAAATAAGGTCATACAGGAGTAGGGTGGCTCCTAATCCAATATGACAGATGACCTTATTAAAAAGGGAAACTTTGATGCAGAGGCATGCACAAAGGGAGATACCATGAGAAGGTGAAGGTAGAGATCCAGGTGATACTTCCATAATCCGGGGAATGCCAGAGATTGCCAGAAAACAACCAGGAACTAGAGAAGGATGGAACAGAGTCCCACTCACTCCTCAGAAATAGTCAACACTGCTGACACCTTGGTCTCTGACTTTCCACCTCCAGAAGTGCAAGGCAATAAATTTCTGCTGTTAAAGCTGCCCATAGACAGGACTTTGTCATGGCAGTCCTAGCAAACAACACAAATGATAATAATGCTACTCTTCCTTTTGCTCTAGCCCAAAACCTAGACCCTCTTCCATTCCTGCACCTTCAATCAGTCTATCTGCAAAACCTGAGCACATCTCACCACCTCCCTGCTCCTGGCAGGCCTCCAACACCATCTAGCCTGCAGTCATAAAGTCACCTCTTAACCAATCTACCTGCTCTTTCTCTTGTTTCTCTGCAGTGTCTTCCTTCATAACACCTTTCAAAATGTGTTAGATCGCATCACTACTATTCTCAAAATTCTCTAATAATTTACATACACTTGGTTTAATTTCTATGATGACATTGTCAATGCATATTTTTATTATCTTCCCAATCTTTCTATGGCAATTGGTCTGTTCAAATTTCCACTTCTTAATTCAGTTTTGTTAATTTATGTTTTCCTAGAAATGTATACCTTTTCTCTAGAGTTACATGTTTATTGCCATAGGGTTGCGTGCTGTGTTTTCTTACAATTCTATTAATCTATTCTAGGACTTACATGTTTCCTTTGCTATTCCTAATCTCTTTCTCCTTTTGCTCTTTTTTTCCAACTCAGACAAAAGGAATTTATCTGTTTTATTATTCTTAATAAGGAATAAATAATTTATAAACATTTAAACTTACTTTTTCTATTTTTGTTTTTTTGATAATATTAACTTTGGTTATTATTATTATTTTTCCTACTGTCCTCTTTTTCTTTTTCTTTTTTCTTTTTTTTTTTTTTTTTTTGAGATGGACTTTCTCTCTTGTTGCCCAGGCTGGAGTGCAATGACACAATCTCGGCTCACTGCAACAACCGACTCCCAGGTTCAAGCAGATTCTCTTGCCTCAGCCTCCTGAGTAGTTGGGATTACAGGTGCAAGCCACCATACCTGGCTAATTTTTGTATTTTTAGTAGAAACAGCGTTTCACCATGTTGACCAGGCTGGTCTGGAACTCCTGACCTCAGGTGATCCACCCACCTTGGCCTCTCAAAGTGCTAGGATTATAGGCATGAGCCATCATGCCTGGCCGATTCTTTACATTTTCTATAGATCTACAATAGCAGAGATTTTTAGTGCTCACCTGCATCTAGTTCTCATCTCATGGGTAATATACTATCTAATTTTTTTTGTTTATTTTTAAACATCTTTTTCTTTTCCTCTTTGGTAGGGGGATACTTACTCTTTGAGCTGAGTAGCACTTATTTTGGTTTCAATGTTTTCATTTTCAGTAATCAATGGATATTTTTCACTCTCTATGTTCTCTGGTAACCCTGTGATTTAAAACCTCCATTGTCAGCCGGGCGCGGTGACTCACGCCTGTAATCCCAGCACTTTGGGAGGCCGAGGCGGGCGGATCATGAGGTCAGGAGATCAAGACCATCCTGGCTAACACAGTGAAATCCCGTCTCTACTAAAAAATACAACAAATTAGCCAGGCATGGTGGTGGGCGCCTGTAGTCCCAGCTACTCGGGAGGCTAAGTCAGGAGAATAGAGTGAACCAGGGAGGTGGAGCTTGCAGTGAGCCAAGATCACGCCACTGCACCCCAGCCTGGGCGACAGAGCAAGACTCCATCTCAAAAAAAATAAAAAATAAAAAAATAAAAAATAAAAAATTAAAAAAAATTAAAAAAAAAAAAAACCCTCCATTGTCAAGAGAGGGTAGTGGGCCCTAGAGATTGGTCTGTTTCAGGTAACACTGTCTTTGTCTCTACTTCCATATCACCAGAGCAGGAAAGATTGCAAGTCTCAAACACCATCAGGACTAATCCCATTGTACCCTTCATCTATTTATATTAGTTACCTCCAAAAGTAAAAAATGAACATAAGGCCAGGTGTGGTGGCTCACGCCTGTAATCCCAGCATTTTGGGAGGCTGAGGTGGGTGAATCACAAGGTCAGGAGTTCAAGACCAGCCTGGCCAATATGGTGAAACTCTGTCTCTACTAAAAACACAAAAATTAGTTGGCCTTGTTGGCCTGCGCCTGTAGTCCCTGCTACTTGGGAGGCTGAGGCAGAAGAATAGCTTGAATCCAGGAGGCGGAGGTTGCAGTGAGCCAAGATGGCACCACTGCACTCCAGCCTGGGTGACAGAGTGAGACTCTGTCTCAAAAAAAAAAAAAAAAAAATGAACATAAGGCCAAGATACACGGGCTGTACAGCTCTGTGCACCTCTAAAGTGACTTCATCCCTCATGCTTCCTCAGCTATCAAATCCTTCCCTTATTCCTTCTCTACCTCCTGAGACTAAAGTCTATCATGAACAGAATGCCCACACCTTCAAACTTTCCCTTGAATATTGAATATTGTTTTCAAACTTTGTCTACAACTACCTTCCCCCAATGCCCACAGTCATCTCAAAGTGGTTGTTTTCTCTCCAACATCTTTGCACAGCTGGACCTTGGGGTGAGATCAATGTATTCATTGCTTTTTACTGCCATTTCCAGAGTATCCGGTTCTCCACTCTAACCCCTTCCACCTCTGATGCTTATACCCACCACCACTATCTTTGCTTTTTGCAGTATCTACCAACACTCAGAAGATTCTCTTTTCCTAGTTGTGGCTCCTGGCTCCCTGCTCCTCCCTCCAGGACTACTTCTGCCATAATTCTTGGAAACTGCACTGACTACAGAGATGACCTTTTCATTACCCTGTCTAAGTTCTTTGGCATCCTCTGCTCCAATTATCTTGCACTCCCTCCCACTTCAGACTCCCATTCTCAAGGTCACATTTTGGGACTTGTCATTACCATTGACTATGTCCCTCCATTATCACAGTTTCAAGCATTCCATTCTATGCCCTTAATTTCCTATATCTTCTGCACACTTACTCAAGTTCCTGCAATCCAACCATTATTTAACATGAACAGAATAGACCATCAACTCTTCCTACTGCATTTTATCTGACCCTCATCTTTCTCAGGTTCTCACTTCCTCCCGATTCCATATTAGACTCTATAGTCAACATAAGCCCTCTCTTGCTTCTCTCTTGCCATCTGAGGTGCTCATGAAAACGCTAGTCTAAGTTTCTACCTGTTCTATCTTTATACTCAAAAAGCTGAACTTGGATGTAGAGAAATTCAAAAGCATACTGACTGATCTTTCTAAATGTTTGGGCTGGGCATAGTGGCTCACACCTGTAGCCCCAGCATTTTGAGAAATTGAGGTGGACAGATCACTTGAGCTCAGGAGTTCAAGGCCAGCCTGGGCAACATAGTGAGACCCTGTCTATAAAAAAAAAATTGGGGCATAATATCGGCATAATAGCACACAACTGTAATCCCAAACTATTTGGCAGGTAGAGATGGGAGAATTGCTTGAACACAGGAGATTGAAGCTGCAGTGAGCCCTGATGGAGCCACTGTACTCCAGCCTGGGTGACAGAAGGAGACCCTGTCTCAAAAATTAAAAAACAATTATGACCATCACGTTGAGGCTGTCAGTGCTTTCTAGCAACCCTTGGGTATTTCTGATTCCTTAATTTTTGCTTTTCCTGGATAAGTAGCTTATTTCTCCTTCACATCAAACCACCAGTACCACCTCCTTTATCCTCAATCTCAGCTAATGGCCTTGCCTTCTACATCCTTGAGAAAAATAGAAGCAATCAGAGGAGGATTTCCTATCCTTACAATACACATCAATGAAACCACGTAATTGCCTTAGCTCCTACTCTTATAAATGACTTCCCGATGTTCCTGTCTAGGGCTATCTTCTTCAGAATTAGATCCCTTCTCTTTTGGTCTAATCATGGGCATCACTATATTTTTACAAAATCATCAATTTTTCTCTCCAATTATCATGCCATCCATGTGCAAATATGCTGTAATTTCTCTCATCAAAAAAAAAAAAGATTTATTTCTTTATACCTTGACTCCACATCCCTTCCAGCTACCGCTTCATTTCTTCCTTCACTTTTAACACCAAAATCCTCACATTCTGTTTACATCTCTGTGTGCACTGCCTCTCATTCCATTCCATCTTACATCTCTGAAATCAGGCTTCTGTTCTCACCACTCCAAGGAAGTGGTTTTTCTTGAAGTCATCAATGTCCTCTTTATTGCTAAATCTGGTGGCCATTTTCCCATCTTTATCTTATTTGATCTCCCAGCAGCATTCAACACAGTCTGTTGTTTGCTCCTGTCTGAGACGCTTTCTTCCCCTGTCTTTCTGAACACCCCACACTCCTGGTTTTCCTTGTGGTCACTAGCCATATCTTCCCAGTCTACTGTGCCCACTTCTCATGATCTTCCTCTACATCTAACTGTCTAAAAAGATAGGGCTTGGGCCTTAGATTTTTCTCTTGCTTCTTTCTACATTTATCTCTAGGAAATCTCATTGAACCTTAAATACTTAAATATCTTCCATGTTGTGGCCAGGCGCAGTGGCTCACACCTGTAATCCCAGCACTTTGGGAGGCTGAGGCAGGTGGATCACAAGGTCAGGAGATCAAGACCATCCTGGCCAACATGGTGAAACCCTGGCTCTACTAAAAAGGCAAAAATTAGCCAGGCATGGTGGCATGTGCCTGTAATCCCAGCTACTCGGGAGGCTGAGGAAGGAGAACGGCTTGAACCCAGGAGTCGGAGGTTGCAGTGAACCAAGATCGCACCACTGCACTCCAGCCTGGTGACAGAGCAAGACTCCATCAAAAACTAATAATAATAATAATTAAAATAAATACCTTTCATGTTGTGATGACTCAAATTCACATCTCTAGGTCAGACTTCTTTCCTGACCTCAAGGCTGGTATATACAATTTCTAATTGGATCTTTCCCTTTTTGCTCTGTTAGGAATCTTAAAGATGACACATCCAAAACTATTTTTTTTCCTTCACAATTGTCCATTCTCAGTAAAAAACAACATCTCTGCAGTTGTTCAGGCCAAGAACCTTGGGATTACCCTTGCTGTCTTTTTTTTTTCTCTTACCATATATCCATTCATTCAGAAAATTCCGCTTGTTCGACCTTCAAATATAACTGGAGTCTGATAACGTCTTAAAATTCTATTACTATCTCCATTGTTCAGGGCAGTATCATCTTTCTCCCGGATTATTTTGTTTGTCTGTTAACTGATCTCCCTCCATACCCTCACCCTGCTTACAGGCTTCTCTCAGGACAGCAGCCACAGCTAAAGCCAATGTCATTACATGGCCTGGAAGATCTGATCCTTGCTGCATTTCTGGATTTGCTTTCTGGTAGAGGTAGCACCAAAAATGCCATCTGAAAGCCCACACACCCAGCCGTTTCATGCACCTAGCCTAGCGACAGAGTAGAAAAACATCCACTTAACACAAAACCATCTGAGTTTCAATGCTTCCTCCATCACAAAGCTTCTGTCTTGGTCAACTTATTCATGATCTCCAGTCCTCAGATCATACATCATACTGGGTAATTGTAAGATTCCCAAATGCATGTATCTTCAGTCATCATGTCTAAAATGATAATACTGATGTAAAATTTTGTCCCCTCAAATCGTAAGCCACTGTTATATGTGTCTGTGTCCTTCTGGATATCATAGGAGGAGACTTCTTAGTAAGAATTAATTCCTAGTCTGAAAACGGATGGACTGCTTCCAAATTCTTAACAGTACCTAGGAGGTTTTGTTGTGTTACATTAGGGGAAGTTTAGAGTAGTTTTCTAAGCATTGTACTATATGGGCTACAGATTTGTTAAGACCTCAGCACCTCCAGGCCTTGGAGAAGCCAGAGTTCCTGTGCTTGGTGTCTCTGGTCATAAAGAACCTTGTCCACTTACTCACAGGGTGCCACACGATTATGATCATTTGCTCTCTGTGTTTTGTTCTGGAAGAGCCAAGTCAGACCATATGGATGGTCTTTTCATCCCAGCCTACCCAGGCGTGCATCAGAACTCACTGGTCTTTCTGTGTTTTCATAGCACTTAGAACTTGTGTTTAATGAATTTTAGTTTTCCGCCTTGCATCAAAGTAATTCCTGTATATTTAGTGTGTCTACTATTAAACTACATCCTCGAAAGAGAGAAGAGGAAAATGTGTCATAGATCTGGAGACAGAGGAGATATCATCAGTGGTGGAAGAGTATGACAGAAACATCTGGTTGCTTCCTAATGTCTAATTTCCCCTTCTTCCTCAGGAAAAGCTGAGCTCATTGCTACTCAGAATAAAAGACTACACTAGTACATCTCTAGCACCACGATCCTGGCCAATGAGATATTAGGAAAAAAAAAAAAAAAAGGAAAAGTGCTTAAAGACACTGAGAAAGTGTGTCCAGAGGTTTTGAAATAAAAAGAAGATGAAATATGAGATGGTACTTGGAGGGATAATACTGCCATTTGGAAACTATTTTATTTTTATTTCTTAGAACAAAGTGAGACCAATAGAGAAAAACCAAAGTAGCGAGAGACAGTGGCTATGGATAGAAACATATAGGAGAGAAATCTATGGATTGGGCTGGGCATGGCAGCTTACGCCTGTAATTCCAGCACTTTGGGAGGCCGAGGTGGGTGGATCACCTGAGGTCGGGAGTTCGAGACCAGCCTGGCCAACATGGAGAAACCCTGTCTCTACTAAAAATACAAAATTAGCCGGGCGTGGTGGTGGGTGCCTGTAATCCCAGCTACTCGGGAGGCTGAGGCAGGAGAATTGCTTGAACCCACGAGGCGGAGGTTGAAGTGAGCTGAGATCACGTGATTGCACTCCAGCCTGGGTGACAAGAGTAAAACTCCATCTCAAAGAAGAAAAAAGAAAAGATGTTCATGGATTGTTAAATTACAGCCAGAGTGGTGAGAGGTGTAGAAGAAGGCCTTGGCATTGCCTGGGAAAGGTGCGTTTCCTCCTAGGGAGCAAAGGGGAATCTGGGCTGGTTATGGGGCAATATTGAGGAGGAAAATGGTGAAATTGAAGGAGCTCCTGAGGATTCCATTAAGGGCTTCCAGAAAGTTGAAGCTGGAGGCTTCTGTTCAGGTTATAGAGAGAATGAGAATCCAGGCTTGCAGCACATGGAAAAGGGTAGAAAGACAAGATGCAAAGCACCAGCCATGGGGAACGGAATGGACTGATGAGCACAAGTCTGCTGCAACACACATCAAATTCCATGGTGAAACTAGCAGTTTGCTCTGGGGACTTTGTCTACAGGGCACAGTGGCCTGGGAGAAGGAGGAGACAAGTCAGTGGTGGCAATCCCAGGGATGGGAAAAGCAGAGTGATTCAGGGCCAACATCGGAGCAGAGGGGCTGGTGAGAGCAAGATACACTAAGAGGATAGCCAAGGGGCAAAGGCTGCGCCAGGGACAAGCACTGCCAAGTGAGGAACAGAAGAAATTGAGGCCTGCAGAAAGAACACATGTTATAGGATTGAAGAGTGGGCAGGAGGGGATGATCAGAGATATGACAGGGCATTTCTGCACCACCAGATAAGTGGAGTTATCTGCACCACTTGCTTATTTCCGTGTTTACTTATTTTACTTTTATTCTCAGGTGTCGGACAATATTGTACCATTATTTAATGGTACAATATGTTTAACGGATGTTTACATACAATATGTTTAAATACAGAAACTTACAGTTTTCATGTTCATTTTGTATTTATTGTTGTCACTTAATCCCTCTAACGACCTTGAAATGGTCACATCAGGCAATACAAGTTCAATTTTATAATTTTGCTTTACCTGGTAGACAATGAGAAGAGTTCTCACCTGCCAGACTGCCGTCATCCCATTTTCAAAGCCAAAGCAACTGCGTTGCCTGTAGTTGGGAACAATCTGGGCTGGTGCTCAGCTGTGAAGCCCACCTCCCTGGTCTGTGAAGAACATTCCCTGCCAGATAGAGGAGTTATCTTATTATCTCAGCAACATTATAAACCACTTGAGTACAGGTATCACACATTTCGGTCTTTTTGGAAGAACCCTCAGACTCTAGCACAGATCTTTGCTCGGAAGGAAGAACATGGCCTTTGGCATAATAGTTTTGAGCGAACTATTTAATATTTTTCAGATTCAATTTTACCATCCCTGAAATCTGGGCATCTTAATCTGGGTACTGAGGATATTGTGAGGATTAAATAAGGTGGTTATGAGAGTAGACACTGAATAAGGGGTAGACTAGAGGAAATCACAGTAAGGACATGGGTGAAGGTTGTGGCCACGTAAGTGGACGTTAGCACGCATGGCTGATCCAGGCACGCAGGAAGATGCTGTGGGCCAGATTCAAGAGAAGCCTGCAGAAAACTGCTTTGATATGGGTTGGAGAAGCTGGGCTGGAGGGGGTGGTGGCACATGTTAGAGGTAAGGAATAGAGGGAATTACAATAGGAGGTGTTTCTCGGGGTTTTCACTTCAGTCTGGCTGGAATGCGGTAGACATGACACTTGAAACATTATTTATTTAGAACATTTTGAAAGGATTTAAGTTGCTGGCTGACAAATTTAGACTTCATCCTGTGTAAAGCAATCGACGTGGAACTTTTCTAAGCTGGAGAGTGACCCATCAAAACAGCTTCAAGTGGATGAGACTTTCAGAAGCAGTGTCAGCCTGGCGCCTTCAGTGTGATCAGGATGGCGCAGATTAGGGTAAATTAGAATCCATGTGGTGTGATGATGGCAGCAACTAGAGACCCTCATTTCTAAGCATCTGTGCTTCTGAGAGGGGAGCGGGGTTCGGAGTCAAACAATGCCATCTGGGAACACTTTTGGCCTAGATAAAGATGCACACACGACATGTTTATAAATTCAGCACTTCTTGGTTGACAGGCGAGGAACACTTCCTTCTACATCAGAACATTTACTAATACAATATTAAGCCGCTCTGGTGTGGGTATCTCACAGTGCTGGAGGACAGGGCTCCTCTGCCGTGTGAGACTGCGTAGGTGGAGAGAAATGTGCTGGCTGATGTACGAGTGAGGATCCACCCTCTGAGAGCAACGGTGGCAGCATCTCAGAGGGCATCATAGAATCTGAGCACCTGTGGCTGGGTAGATGTGTGGGATGGAGACCTCTCTTCCTCTTCTGTCACAGACAGTGCATCACACACTCTATAGCAGACACTGACTCCATCGCACACACTACAGCACACACTCACTGCATCACACACATTACAACACACACTACAGCACACACACTATAGCACACACTCACTCCATCACACACACTATAGCACACACTCACTCCATCACACACACTGTAGCACACACTGCATTACACGCACTATAACACACACTCACTGCATCACACACTATAGCACACACTCACTGCATCACACACACTGTAACACACACTACAGCACACACTCACTGCATCACACACACTATAACACACTCACTCCATGACACACACTATAACACACACTCCCGGCATCACACACACTACAGCACACACTCACTGCATCACACACGCTATAACACACACTCACTGAACATACACTGCAGCACACACTCCCTGCATCACACACACACTACAACACACACTCCCGGCATCACACACACTACAGCACACACTCACTGCATCACACACACTATAGGACACACTCACTGCATCACACAGTATAACACACTCCATCGCACACTATAACACTCACTGCATCACACACTATAACCACTATAACACACTCACTACATCACACACACAATAACACATACTCACTGTATCACACACACTATAACACACACTCACTCCATCACACGCACTATAACACACACTCACTCCACACGCCATAACACATACTCACTGTATCACACACACTCACTGTATCACACACACTATAGCACACACTCACTGCATCACACACACTATAACACACACTCCATCACACGCCATAACACATACTCACTGTATCACACACACTCACTATATCACACACACTATAGCACACTCACTCCATCACACATAGTACTGCACAAACACATTGCATTACACACACGACATCACACATACTATGTAACACACTCTAACACACAGTGCATCACACATTCTTCAGCAGATACACACTGCATCACACGGACACTAACACACACACACTTGATCACACATATGACACACGCTGCACCACACAAACATTACATCACACACGCTGCCTCACATGTATTATAACACACACTGTAACACACACTACATCGCACACACTATATCATGCACAGTGCTTCACACACATAACACCTGCACACTGAATCACACACATCATAACACATGCCACATCACGGACCCATGACTCCATCACATGCAATCTATAACACGGTGGTCCCTAACCTTTTTGACACCAGGGACCAGTTTCGTGGAACATAATTTTTCCAAGGACAAGAAGTGAGGGGGATTCTTTTGGGATGGAACTGTTCCACCTCAAATCATCAGGCATCAGTAAATTCTCATAAGGAGCACGCAACCTCGATTCTCCGCATGCACGGTTCGCAATAGGGTTCGCGCTCCTGTGAGGATCTAATGCTGCTGCTGATCTGAAAGCAGGCGGAGCTCGGACAGTAAAGCTTGCTTGCACCTTCCCCACCCCGGACAGTAAAGCCTGCTTGCACCCTCCCCACCCCAACCAATCACCCCGTGCTGTGTGGCCCAGTTCCTAACAGGCCATGGACCAGTACTGGTCTGTCATATGTCTGAATACATGAACTCATGTTATAGTTTAAATGAAACTGTACCAGACATAATTGTTTTTCTGGATGACTTTGATGTAGAGATTACATTTCCCTTTAAAATAGAAAGTCCTTTTTGGTAAATTTTAAAAAGTCAAATGTAAGATAGAATAATAAAGGTGAAAAGTGTTGATTTATTTAAATATTAACATTTAATAATTTTAAATGTTCTTTTCCTCATATAAGTCAAAGAAACTATCTTTAAATGAGCCAAATAACAAGAAAAAATAATAGTAACATACTTCTTATCATCTGTCCTTTAAAACTGAATCTTTATTAAACTAATTTATAGCATTTTGGTATTACGATACTTTCTATGATGTTTTGTGCATCAAAAAATTAGTATTACTGGGGGATTTTTAACATGTATCTACACATAGTAATGTTGACATCATGTAAACAGGCTTCAAGCACCGAAAAAATGTGTAACAACACATGGACAGATACCTGAATAGTCTAAAATTCTTTATACTTTTATTCCTTTATACAAAAGAGCTGGTTGTTTGTTTCATTTTGCTCTTCCATAGCTTGCGTCTTAGAGATATTTCAATGAAGCTGATCTTACAGATCAGAAAGAAAACAACATGGTCCAAAATTTAAAATTAGTGACAACCCGCGAGCTGTATTCTTTGTGCTGAGCACACACAAGTGCACATTTATGTTCAGAGAAAACCGGGGCAGAGATGCGATGACGCTGCCGTCATGAAGCAGATGTTGCGTGGCTGTCCGAGGAAGTTTTAGAGACGAACATGGCTCTACCAGCCACATCAGAACACCACCTCCGGAGCAGGGCAGGTGCAGCAAAGAAGACAGAGACGGGATTCTCTCCGGCTCCTCCACCCCCTCTGTGGCCTCTCCAGACTCCGCACAGGGAGCAGGGCTCCTTTCTGGGCAGCCACTGGAAGGCACTCGCCCCTGGGCATCTCATGGAAGGCACTCCCCCCGGGCATCTCATGGAAGGCACTCGCCCCTGGGCATCTCATGGAAGGCACTCCCCCCGGGCATCTCATGGAAGGCACTCCCCCCGGGCATCTCATGGAAGGCACTCGCCCCTGGGCATCTCATGGAAGGCACTCCCCCCCACCCCCAGCCCCGGGCATCTCATGGAAGGCATTCCTCCCTGCTGGGTGTTCCTGCCCTGAAGGGAACACTGTTGAAGGTGCTGCTCCCTCTGCTTCTGCTGTGGATGCCTGGCCTGAGAGAAGTCAGCCCAAATGTTGATCCCTGGGTGCTGACACGGCTGTGGCCTCTGAGGGTTCAGATTGCAGGCTTTCAGCACAGGCCTGGAAAAGCAAACAAACACAGGAGGTGTGTGTGCGTTAGTTGAGGGGAGTGGGAAGGCCCAGAGAGCGCGCCACCTTCTTATCAGGCCTCTGGAGCTGTTTTGGACATCCAGCCTTCATGAGAGAGCAAAGCCGGGCTCGCGTGGCTCCCCTTTCCCTCTCTCCTGCTCTCCTGCTCTCTGGCTCTCTCCCTGCCCTCCTTCTGCTAGAATCTAGAAGTGCTGTGCCCAAAATCAAGTGGCGTTTTAGAGGCCGAGGAACGGTGGCAAAGGTCTTATTTTCGGTCTAGGATGTCGGAAGTGCTGGCTTTCCACGGAAAGCTTCTCAGTGGAGTGCGCCTGCCTGTGTGTGCATAGAACAGCCAGCGCTGGGTCCATGCTGCGGAACCCCCTCTGGAAAGCCCAGCTGCTAGGGAGGAACGGGGACCCTCAGAAGGACTCCCTGTCCTTGTTGCAGGAAGGCAAAGGTGGCAGAAAACAGCAGCCCCCAACCCTAACGGCAACTTCCTCCTTAGATTTCCAGTCCACTCACCGCTTAGAAGCATCTGCGATTGTTGAGAAAACAAAGTGGGGAACATAATTGATCTTATTTTATTAAGTGCTTTGCAAGATAAACATGCACACACACATGTGTGGAGACGAAGCACATGACACGGGTGGAGGAGCTCCAGGGAGGAGTGGATGGGCCACGGGGTGATTTAACTTCCACTCCTCAGCCAAACAGTGTTTGAAACCTTCTGCCTACGTTGAAGTGTCTCTTCTTTGGTTTATTTCTCAATAAGTAGGATGTAAAATTGTATTTCTGGAAAGAAGGGAAATGAATGGCAATACGGAAATACAGTAACATGCTAGCAGTCATCTTCTGGATGGTACATAGTGTGTATATACGTAATATATATTTTTTTTCCTTGAGCTTTCAATAATGTATGTATATATTACTTTTATAATGGAAAGGGATAATACAATTTACTAATGTCAGGTTTTGTTCTGACACTCTTGGAAGAAAAAGGTGGAGAAATTGCCTTCAATCCTTAAGTAGATGTGACTTACAGCTTAAAATACCATTCAGAATTAAGAATGAGGGCTGATAACATAAGGCTCCATGGAAAGAAACCTGCACTTTTGTTTCCAGGGAAGCTTTTATCATCAGAATTACAATGAAGCTTCCAGGGAAGGAAAGAAAAAGGGGATCTCCTAGATCCCTGATCTTACACCAAATAACACATGTGGAGCACATCTGCCCACCTCAGCGAAAAAATAATCAAAAGAACACAGTCTGGAGACTGAATCTCCATTAACACTCATTAACATTATAAATGGACATGAAAATATTCTAAATTTTTAAAGTGAATTAACAATTTTGGACGGATATGATGAAGCCTTTTTCTATTTCTTACTGATGTCTTTTTTTCTTCTTCCTATTTACATCTGGAAAATCTCAGTGGAACCATAAAGAAAATGAAGGAATGATTTATAATTGCAATTTAATATAGTGAACGTCTACAAGCCCCCAAAATATGCACTTATTGATAAGTTTCATGAGTTCAGAGTGTCATTTCAGGCTGTTTGCTTCCTTTAGAGCAGTCACAAGGATCCGTAGAGGAGATTCTCCTTTAGGTGAAGTGGTTTTTCATTCCAGTGAGTCAAAACGATCTGATAACATACATCGTGAAATTAATTATTTAATCTTCATTACATATATAAATATGGATATAAGTATATTGATGTATGTTTATACATGTTAGGTATATCTTCTTTAAAAATAATACATAAATTATCATATATATATAATATTTAAAGCCTCATCATGCTTTAGTAGGCTTGGTTACCTTTGACTTGGGGCTTTATTCAGTTATACCCCACACCCTAAAAAATGCGTTGTCATGCAAAAAAAAAAAAGGTTCTTAAAGACATTGGCAGCTGTGTCTTCATAAATTGATAGCTATGACAGCAAACCATAGTCATTACCCAGTTCTGAGTGGAAAACAATGGCTCAATTATAATGGTAGAAACTGGTGTCCAAGGCCTCTAAACTTATTTAAGTTTACATTTGATGCCTTTCAAAAATCAATTATGAAAAATGCCTCTGCTCCCTAGATCAGGGTGAAATTAGCATGTGAAAACCCAGAGAAAACCATATGGTTAAAAAATATATCTCCTATGAGCTTTGTTGACAATTTGGCTGAGATCACCTACAATTAAAGATTTCCTCTATTCCTCCTCCTCCTCTTCCTCCTCCTCCTCCTCTTCCTCCTCCTCCTCCTCTTCCTCCTCCTCCTCACCCTCCTCTTCTCCATCTATAACTTTAAATTCAGTCGAACAACTCTTTGCTTTTGAATTTTTTTCAATTTATACCTGTTTCACGGCTTTCATATTCTCTGGGCTGTTCCCCTGTGTCTTTCGGCTTTTGCCCGAGAGGTTTATTGGGCCCTGAATGCACTCTTGTCTGAGTAAAAACTGTCACGTTGAGGCCTGCATTAAAACCTTGGATTCAGACTCAAGAGGAAATAACACTTGTCGCACTAAAAATAAAAATAAATTTGTATTTCAGGTTCATCCTCATTTCTGCTTAGATTCAGGGAATTTCATAGATACTTAGATTTGAAGGGAAATCTTTTGTTCTGTGTTGTTTTGTTTTGATGGGGAGGAAGTGGACTATAGAAACTCAGATGAAGCTTAGTGAAGTGAGCAAGCAATGACTAATGGTAGGAAGTAGAAACAGGGCAGAATTGTGCCAACTTTACACCCGCTGCCATTTGCAAATGGATCCCTGTTAGTAGAACATGGCTTCCAATCAAGTCAGCTTTGAATCAGCCTGCAGTGTTAACAGTTTTCACCGTGGACCCTGCTTTAGCAATTGTTCCAGTGCTGTGGACTCTCCTCCTTCTGCCATACTTTGTCTATCCAGCACAAGCTGTTCTTTGTCACATAGTCTAGAAAAAAACACTGGCCCTAAAGAAGGAAAATTTCTTTCAGTGAATGTCCAGGAGACCTAGGATAAAAAGTCAGATATTAGAAATGTTGAGATAGATACGAAGGATCTCAGGCTTGTCTCAGCCTCCGGGCCTCATCTACTGCCTTTGTAACATCTGGGTGAAGATACCTCATCTGAAGATAGGTCTGGCTTAGATTGTCTTTAACATCCAAGGATGGAGTCACTCCCTAAGTGGATTTCATTAGTCAAAACAGGGTAATATAATTTTAAAAATTATTATTTCTGACTTAGGGAAAACTTGAGAAGTGATAGAAGCTGACTTAAGTGGTCAAAATAAAGTCAGAGACAGAAGAAGTTCTGAACTAAAAGCAACTTTTAAAAGTCTGTATTTTTCATAAGTCTAACTGGTAAAAGCTACTTTTCTTACTTTCCTTATGGGGCCAACGAAGATTATGAAATGAGTGTACATGAAAACACGATCACTCTTCTCTGTCAATGTTGTCATTGTTATGCATACTATAACTACTACAAATTAGAATACAATTATAAAGGCTTTCAAACGACCTTTCCTGGAGGCCTTGGGAGGTGGCTTATTTCAGTGCACCTGGAGGTGGGAAAACGGTATGATTTAATAGAACATGTCATGCGATAGTGCAAAATAATTTTTTTTCATCTTTTAGTAGAAATTTGGCATCTAACATAAGCTAATAAAGCTAAAGTCATAGACTCTACACTTTACATATATAGGATTGTACCCAAAGCTAAAGTGATACATGTAAATGATTGTGATGTCTTTAGGAAACTCTAAAAAAAATGAGTTAAATTTCAGGCACATAAAGTTCTGACTATGAAAAACTCCCTTTCTATATTTTTGTAAAGATAATGTAGTAAAGAAAAAGTAATTTCCTTTCCTTACCATCATAAGGTTCATGGCTAAGGCCCCTATAACAAGAGACAGATTAATAAGGGACATGCATAATACCTTTATTTAATAGGAGCTGTATATGACAGGAGAGCCTGCAAACATGAAGACCAAGACAATGAGGACATCTGTCTATTTTTATGGGCTGTCATGCAGAAGTATGATTGGAGAACTAAATGGTGTGATTTAATGGCAATAAACTGGGTTGTGGGGAGGTTAGTAAGGATTGTTTATTTAGTTTCTTCTTGGTGTCTGTGTATAGGCCAAGACACCTGCCACATGAAGTTCTTCAAGGAAGAAGGGAGGGAGGTCAGAGGATGATTTCCTTATATCTTATGTTCTGCTTCAGGGAAGAAGGGGAAAGGGAGGGGAGAGTGGCCTTCCTGTTTCTGCTGTTTTCTCAAACGCCAAGGTGCCATATTTTGGGTAGTGTGCCCTAAACCTTGTCAATAATCTGTTTTGGCTAATGTAAATCAAATATTCAGGGGGTGGAGGAAGAAAATGGGGTTTGGCGTTAATGGAGAAGAGTGAGTTTCTGGACCGTCCTGTAAGAACACTTTCCTTTAGTTTATGAGCGGATATTTTCTTCAAGATGTTAGCTTGTGGGCAGGGTGAGAAGTTCTGGGAGAGTAGACAAAAATCCCAAGCAATCCTATCATACTGTGGGTCGATGATGCAAACGGAGGAGGCTGAGGAGTGATGACAAGGGAGGTACAGCTCCTGGCTTACCTTCCTACCTGGAGGCAGAAACTCAGAAAGAGCCTGGAGCAGACAGATTAGCACTGGAGCTGGGTCCCCAGAAAGCACCAGAAGGTTCCAGTAAAGCAAAACCTATGAAGTATGGCCTGATATTTCCCTTAAATGCACAGCTCTTAGATTAACAAAGAATGTTTTGTAAACCTTTCTTTCACTTATGCATGATGTTTTTTCCAAGAAAATGCTCTAATTCCTAATACATACATTACTGGAAAGGAGTCCCTATCCAGACTTCAAGAGAGGGTTCTGGGACCTCGCTCAAGAAAGAATCTGAGGTGAGTTCACTAAGTAAACTGAAAGCAAGTTTACTAAGAAAGTAAAGGAATTAGAAGAATGGCTACTCTATATGCAGAACAGCCCCAATGACTGCTGGTTGGCTATTTTTATGGTTATTACTTGACTATATGCTAAACAAGGGGTGGATTATTCATGAGTTTTCAGGAAGAAGCTGGGCAATTCCCAGAACTGAGGGTTCCTCCCCTCTTTAGACAATATAGGGCAACTTATGGATGTTTCCATGGCATTTGTAAACTGTCGTGGCACTGGTGGGAGTGTCTCTTAGCAGGCTAATGTATTATAATTAGCATGTAATGAACAGTAGAACAACCAGAGGTCGCTTTCATTGCTATCTTGGTTTTGGTGGACTCCTTAACTGCAACTTGTTCTATCAGCAAGATCTTTGTGACCTGTATCTTGCGCCAACCTATCTCGTCTTGTGACTTAGAATGCCCAGCCTCCTGGGAATGCAGCCCAGTAGGTCTCAGCCTTATTTCACTCAGTCCCTATTCAAGATTGAGTTGCTCTGGTTCAAATGCCTCTGACATATATACCTTATTTTTTTGAAGGTATAACCTATAAAGGTATAATATACAGAGGTAGGGTATACCTCATTCATTCTAAGGCATACGTTGCTGGTACTTCATTCATTTTGTTTGCCCTGCAAAGATACACACACACAATATTAGGCTGCATGTTATTCCTTGACCACTCAAGTGCCCTCAAATGTTCTTTATTGACCATTCAAGTGCCCTCAGTGTAAATTACCATGTATTACTCTTCCAAGTCATGAACTCTTACAGTAAGCCTCTGTATTAGTCCATTTTCACACTGCTAATAAAGACACTCCCAAGACTGGGCAATTTATAAAGGAAAGAGGTTTAATTGACTCATAGTTCCACATGGCTGGGGAGGCCTCACAATCATGGTGGAGGGTGAAGGAGGAGCAAAGTCACGTCTTACATGGTGGCAGGCAAAGAGAGTGTGTGCAGGGGAACTCCCCTTTATAAAACCACCAGATTTAATGAGACTTATTCACTCTCATGAGAACAGCACAGCAAAAGCCTGCCCCCATGATTCAAATACCTCCCACTGGGTCCCTCCCATGATAGGTGGGAATTATGGGAGCCACAATTCAAGATGAGATTTGGGTGGGGACACGATGAAACCTTATCAGCCTCCAGCGTCCCAAACATTCACTGTTCCTCACCTGGGAGCAGCTCTCCCAGCTGTATTTAGTTTGCAGTATTGGACATGGTGTTAAGTGGGGATAGTGGTCAACACAATCCATAAACAGGATGAGGCTCAGGCATCAAGTGCAGAGAGTGCTGAGCTGCACCTCTGGATACCCTGCAGTCCTTACCATTACTGGAAGGTTCTTCGCATTTCCTGGCAACTGCCTCATGGTTATTGCAAGCTATTTCCCAGTGAACCTGAATGACTAGTCTCTGGCATCCCAGCAAGCCTGCCTCTTAAGTCAGAAATGAATCTGTGGCCTGCTTATTGCTTCCTCTTTGATCACTTTGGACATCTGAGGATTAGCAAGGACAGGAAGTGAAGGTTACAGGTTAGGGCTATGGGGCCGTGGACAAGTCTAAGAATAAGTAGTGGGAGACAGAACCAGGTTGACGCATAGTCCTTGATCTCAGGATGCTACTAGTTTAGTGGAAAGACAAAACTGTGGTGCACACAACAATTAAATAGCAATAAATGACCATGTATATTATCGGGTGGTAAGTGGGGGTCAAAGAACAGCAGTGGTCAGTTAAAGATGAGTGGTGTTCTGGGCTCAGAGAGCCACAGGAAAGCATTGGCACCGAATGAGGGTGTTGCACGCTTTATACATCTCATTTAAACCTCATAATACACCTTTGAGGTATGAACTGCTAACTTTAGTTTAAAGAGGGATGGATGCTGAGAGTGCTGTCTTCCTTCCATGATTCCTTCCTCCTCTCCCTTCTCTCTCCCTTCCTTTTGCTTTTCTTACTGCACAGAGAGGTAATGACAGAAATAAAGGCAAACCTACATTTGCCCAACTACAGAGCTAGTGGTCTTTTCTTCACTGTGTTAGGTATCCATGTAGCACCTTCCTGAGGTTATGAGATCAGGACCCAGGTCTGGTAGGAGCTTGAGGACACAAGGAGGAATATTTACACCACCAAGGAAGCTTAAGAAGCCCTGTGCACACCCTGCCACTCCCAACACCATGGGCTCCCAGAGAGCAGAAATTCTGTGCACTGGTTGACAGCATTTACTTAGTGAATAACCAGGAAGTGGAAATGAAGATGATGTCCATCGAGTTTTCAAAGTTGGCTTGAAATTGACATGACCGTTCTGTATTTCTCAATGCTCAGATGGCAGGCTCTCCAGCAGAATCACTGTGGGTACCTGCTACACAGGGAGGTTCCCGAAGTGGACTCACCTCGGGGAGGCCCAGGACTCTGCACGTTCAGTAAGCTTCCCAGGTGATTTTCATGCATTCTAAATTGGAGAACAGTTGAATGGGGAAAGGGCTGGTGTAACGGCAACTGGTCTTAACCGGAACTAACATTTATGAGCACTTACAGTGTGTGTTGTTACCTTAAATCCTCACAACGGCCCCGTGTTCGAGACATATTTTAACCTTAACTTTACAAATGAGCATATGAGGCACAGCAAGGCTAAGCAGCAGTAAAAATTGAAGTTATAATTCACAAGAAGGCAGTCTGGCTGGCAATCACTATTCTACACTCCCTCCTGGGTGACGGTTAAACAGAAAAGAATATCGGGAGCATAATGAATTAGTAAGTCCTTGAATTATATAAAAACTCCCTAATGTGCTTTTCTTTGTGTTTGCTCCTGGCCGTGGTTACAAAATACTACAGATTGATCACTTTGTTTTATCAACATGGGAATCCCACATGGAAACATTTGTGGGATTCTGGGTCATCAGCAATGCACTGACTGAATCACGTTCCCCTGTAGTCGAGACTTAACCATTTAACTTAGAAAAAGGAGGAAGAAGAAAATGAAGCAAAATTTGACTTTTGAAGACATCTGGTTTGAACGGAAAATGAACTCTTACAAAAATCAAGGTCTAGAAATCTATTTCTCCCTATAGAGAGAAAAGTACACCTTTGCATTTGTATTGGCTTATAGGAAAAGAAAAATATTACATCAGATAGATTTGGAAATAAGTACATCATTTTAAAATGTTCTACTGTTGCCTGTGAGTATATAACAGCCTGTACTAGAGAAATACAAGGAAACTCATAGTCTCATTTATTCAGTGAGTAACTTTTGAAGTCCTGCTGCATTGTGGGACCCTCTCTCTGAGAACTTTCATCTCTATGAATCCACATTTCAAAACACTCTAGAAGTTAAAGAAATGTACATAATCAGCTTCATAAGCAAAACTTGGAAGATGCTCTGTTATTTTATAATCAGGGCAGTAACAACTTAACTAATGATACAAAACCAAAACACTGTTTTCATGCTGATGAGTTGACTACAGGAGTGGAGAACTAAATCAGGGAGACAGCCCTCATATTAGTCAGAGTTCTCCAGAAAAAACAGAACCAATAGAATAGAAATAGATATCAAAGAGAAGATTTATCATAGGAATTGGTTCATGGTATGATGGAGCCTGAGAAGTCTTAAAATACGCTGTCGGCAAAATGGAGGATCAGGAATTCTGGTATTGTAATTCAGCCCAAGACCAAAGGCCTGAGAATGCCTGCTATTTCCTTCTTTACTCAGTCTCCAGATTCAAGTGATCATCTCTTCTGGAAACACCCTCACAGACACAACCAGAAACAATGTTTTACCTGCTATCTGGGCATCCCTTAGCCCAGTCAAGTTGACACATAAAATTAATCATCACAGTCCTGTATTCAAGTTACTGCAATACATATTCTAGGAACTGGGGACCTTAGGGAGAGACCCATCAGCACAGCCTTGCAAGGGGATTTGTGTCATTCAGGGCAAGCCAGGAAGGACAGGAAAGGTGTCCTCCAGCAGCGGACACTAGAGATGATGCTTGGAAAGAAGAGTGGGTACTCCCCGGGTGGCCAAACCTGGGACAGGATGAGAGCCACGTCATGGTGGCAGGAAACCTATGACAGTAAGATGCATGGAGACAATGCCCAGGAATTTGGTTTGTCCAGAGCACAGCACGCAGTGTGGAGAAGGAGCCCTCTGTTGTAGAATAACAGTGGCCCGGCCGGTCATGGTGGCTCATGCCTGTAATCCCAGCACTTTGGGAGGCCGAGGTGGGTGCATCATGAGGTCAGGAGTTCAAGACCAGCCTGGCCAACATGGTAAAACTCCGTGTCTACTAAAAATACAAAAATTAGCCTGGTGTGATGGTGGGTGCCTGTAGTCCCAGCTACTTGGGAGGCTGAGGCAGGATAATTGCTTCAACCCAGGAGGCGGATATTGCAGTGAGCAGAGATCGTGCCATTGCACTCCAGCCTGGGTGACAGAGCAAGACTCTGTCTCAGAAAAATGAATAAATTTATAATTAACCCTGGCCCAGTTAAAGTCGCAGCAAGAGACGGCAGAGGAGAAATCCTGGAGGGCTGCCTATCTCCCGCCAAAGGATCCGAGCCTTATCTTGCCCGCAGTTGGGAAGCACGGCAGGCGTAGAGATCTACAGATCTTGGTCCAGCCCTAGTCTACCAAGGTCACGCTGTGACTCATGCAACAGCTAGAGCACCGGCCACAGCACATCCAGGAATCAGCTACAGCCAACCAACCAATCAGTCAAGAAGATAAAGGTGGGGAGGTGCTAGGTAGTAATGATTAGTAAATGATGCCTGTAAACAGGAGTGGCTTCTTTGTTGTAGGAGTTGAGTCCTTCACTCCATTACGAAGCTAACCATATCTACCTTGTTCCAGTTCCTTCCCTTGAGCACTGGCCAGGTTTTTAGGCTACTGTAGTGTATTTCAAACTTCAGTACCTCAAAAGTTTCTCCTTAGAGAGAGAAATTCTCATGAACTCTCTTGCTAAAGTAAATACGTTTTCTTAGAGTGTGGTTTATGTAGCACCAAAATTAAGATCATCTGTACACCCTTTATGATTATAACACTTACCTAACTATGAAACTTTTATATATTTTAAATATAATAAAGCAATAAACCAATGTTCAAATGGACTAACTTAATCAAAAGTGATTTTTTTTTCTGAAATAATAGTGCCAAGGTGGGGTTTAGTAGAAATAACATGTTTCATGGTTCACTTGCTGCTCAGTTTATTGTTTTGATTTTTGCTGTGACAGGCTTCATTGTCAAATTCACAAAGAAATTGTAAGTTCATTGTGAAGTATAGAAATAAGAGTGGATCCAGCTTTTGCAAGGCCTGAAGTGAATTTAATTTTGGAGGCTTTATTTAAGTAAATGGATAAAACAATTTGAATAGAAAATTGCTGGTGCCCCTCCCAGGGTCCTGAGAGAAGCCATTTCCAGGGAAGGCCCTAAAGCTTAGACTGTTGGCTTCATTGTAAATCCATCTTTGTGAAAAGTACCTACCATCATGCCCAGCATATTCCAAGTATCCAATAAATATTACTTTCTGTTGACTTGCTTTTGAAACTAATCAAAATCTTTGCTATGGTGACATCCAAGGGACCACAGTTTGTCCAATGACCTCTTCTGCTAAGAAATCCCCCTACTGAATAGGCAGTGGGCCGGCCAGAGTTCTTGAGATCTCGTGAAGCAGATGGTTTAACCATTTACAGTGAAATGACCTAATAAGTCAAAGTGGTCAATGCAACCTAAAAATCCATCAACGTTCCCTGGAAATAAAGAGTCCATCTAGTCCCATAGATTGAGCTGGTTTTGCATGTAGACAACATCCGTCTTAGAAAATGCATCCTGAGCTGGGTGCATTGGCTCACGCCTGTAATCCCAGCACTCTGAGGCTGAGGTGGGCGAATCACGAGGTCAGGACTTTGAGACCAGCCTGGCCAACATCGTGGAACCCCCGTCTCTACTAAAAATACAAAAAAAATCAGCTGGGTGTAGTGGCGGGTGCCTGTAATAACAGCTACTCGGGGAGCTGAGACAGGAGAATCTCTTGAATCCGGGAGACGGAGGTTGCAGTGAATCAAGATCACACCACTGCACTCCAGCCTGGGTGACAGTGTGAGACTTTGTCTTAAAAAAAAAAAAAAAGAAAAGAAAAGAAAAAGAAAATGCATCCTGATGTCTGTCTGCATTTGTTTTCTCCTGCTGGCTGTGACCTTGATTCTCATCAGATATCTGCAGAGGGATTTGTTTTAAGAGCTGTAAGCAAGAAGGTGTCAGGACTCAGTGTCCGTTTAGACATTCATTCATGACAGGCATGTGTCTGAGACATGGGATCCTGGAGTCCCATTTTAATTTTAGTGCGACTGCTTTGGTGGTAAATAAAATATGGATTTGTACATTTTCTGGAAACACTTAACGCCATCAGGAAGCAGCCAACAGAAGCTGATACATAATGCCTGTCTTGCATCAGTCCTGATTAAAAATAGAATTTAATATTTAAATAGAAAACAAATTGACATACCTCTTAAGCAGCATCTGGAAGACCTATAGAACTCCTCAGTAATAAGTTATGCAAATATATACTTCACAGTCAATATTCTAGAGACACAAATCAACTCTTATCTCCTTCTGCCCAGCCCTTGTCTTCAATAAACAAGACAGCGAGCTGGTGCCGGGGGCGGCCATTAGGAGCATAGGAGAAAAAGAAGCTTTTGTTTGGATTTTACCCAAAGAAATGTCCTTTGGTAACAACCCTACAAATCCACATAGCAGGTACATTTTTTTTTCCCAAAAGATTTGCTTTAAATATTATATTTCATAGAAGAGTGTGTAAAACAAGAAAGCTCCTGAGCTCAAGTTTCAACACTGAGCTAAGGAATGCTGGAGACCCAGGTAGCGCGGAGAAGAGCCCTGGGAACCCAGAAGCATAATGAATAGAGAAGGAGACTCCATATGCCTCTGCACTGGGAAAGGAAAAGTACAGTGCCCAGGAGAGCCATTGGTGCAGAAAGCCACAGCCGACGGAGCCGCGGTGTTTGTTGATCAAATGGAGAAACAGAGACAGAAAAAGAAGCTAGTAGAGAGAATGCAGAGAAAACAGGTTCTAAAGAAACGAAGCCTGAACAAGTTATGAGTAGATAAAACGGGGGAGAAATCAGTTATAAAAATGCCTTTTCCCAAAGGTTTTATCCTGGAATCATGGCAAAATGACAGAATTAATAATTGGGTAATTGTTAATAATTGCTTTAGCTACAAAATGTGTGCTATGGTAACAAGAATAGGAATGCCCCCGAAAATGAAGTCTTCTAATGCCACAGCCTGGGACACCTTTTTATTTTGAGATAATATTGGTATTTTGGGGGTATAATTGTTTGCTTGCTTGTTTGTTTACTTGTTTTTGGAAAGACATTAGAGAAGAAAGAGGAATGTTGATAGGATTTAATTTAATAAACCTGGGCAGATTATTGCATTTTAATTTTTTTCTTTGCAATTATTTATGGAAAAAAAATCAAAGAGATTCCACATTCCTTTCCACTGCCACTCTGAAAGATTAAATCATGTTTCTCAGAGATGAATACATCCAGTTTCACCCTGGGATGAAAAAACAGTCTGCTTTTTGCCTGAACGATAACAAAACAATTTTATAAAGTCCTGAAGTGTTTAATATTGAATAAATATTTAAAACAATCCTCTTTCTATATGGCATATGTAAACACATATAGAATATTTACACCCTGGTCTGTTTATGTCCAATATAATCTATCCAGTATATGTGATTTGGGGGTGTAGGGTGGGAGGCAGGGAGCTATCTACCTGTGAGTGACCTCTCTTGTGTTTAAAAAGGTGGCTGGCTGGGTCACAGCCTTCTGATAATGAACTGCATAAAACAAGGATTAACTCATTGTTCACTGCTTTATCTCAAACTAAACAGACTGCAGAAGCATTTACATTTCAAAACAGGGATTTACTCAAAATATTCAGATAAGCTTGAGAACACCTGCTTTTTTAGCCTTTGCAGATAATACCTGTGTGGTTTTTCCTAGAAGACAGTCTCGACCTGTCTTATCACTAAGTAAATAATGTGTATGTCTGAGGAGGTGTAAGAGTAAAATTGTGGAGGGGATATGGATATTGGGGGAAGAAAGAAAGATAGGACATGGCAGAGAATTAAAAGTGTCGTGGTGCTGTTACTAACCGGAGCATGTGAATTTGTGTTCCCTTCAGGCCAGAGCTGTATTAGCTGATTTAATTCCTTTCACATTCACAGAGAGACAAATATCTTGCATCCCCGACATGGCCGCCTCACAGGTGAGGTGGGTGCTGATACACTGGGATGCTCTCCAAGCCGCTGCTGAGGCCTGCCTGGCTGCAGTCTGATTCTTCTTCCTCTCTGGCTTCCCTTTCCCCCATCGCCGCGCTGCTGTTCTGAATGGGCTTCAACTGGAATCTCAGCTTGAAATTGTCTCTCTGCACAGCCTAATGGTCCTGGGTCTCAGTTTCCACATCTGTAAAATTGGATTGTGAGTGGACTGAAGATAAAGCGAGTGGAAGCACTTGGAATCTCGGGGTGTGGAATGGGCAAAAGGCGGCACGTCTTTCCCAAGACAGATACTGGGGGGGCTTGTCCGTGGTCCTGGCAGGGGCCGATGGACTAAAACCTCAATCATGGCCACCACCTCAGGACAGGCGGGTGGTCGAGGCCAGGCCCAAACTGCAGGGCAACGCAGCCAGGAGCAGAATGGCTGAAATCCAGGACAGACCAGACCATGCCAGGCAGGAGGGAGGGGACAACCAGCAAAGTGGCTGGGGACCCCCCAGGGCTTCTTAAGCAAAACATCATCAAGCTGATGCTGTCGTGAGCTCAAGGGGAGTCCACCGCTGTGAGCCTGTGAAGACCTCCTTCAATTAATCTGCGAAGGCTCAGCATTAGGGCAGGTGGCGTGGGTCTGCTCTACCGAACAGCCACTCGGGGTGGGTTTTCAGAGGCCACCCACTCAGAATTCCTGGGGTGGGTCCTGGGGTGCGCGAGGTGCCCCGAGGGCTCTCTAGGCCTCCCTCAGGGTTCTCTTTGTTCTCCTGTTTCTGTCTGGAGCCTGCACACCACCCACTGGAAACCCCCTTCAAGTTTAAATGCTGGTGGCATCTGATCAAAACCGTCACCCAGGCGAGCCTCCAGGGCCCCGGAGAGGAAATGGCATTTTAAAGGGAGGACAGAGGCCGAGGCAAGTGAGGGAGAAGGGGGCCGGAGCGCAGCCGAGCCCGCAGCCCCGGTGCTGTCTATCAGGGACCCTCCACCTCCACCCGGGCTGACAAGGCACGCGACTTGGGCCTGGCCTTTGGCCGGGTACATCCAATTCTGCTACCTCATTTGAGAGTCAAAAGGACTCTTCGACTGAGACCTGAAGGAAATACTGGAGGTGGGAGAGAGCTCCTCTGGGGCGGGCGGTCCCTGGTGTGCCACCCTGTGCTCCCTGCCCCTGCCGGCTTCTATCGTCTTCTGGCATCTTTCACTCATCTGGGCGCTGGCATGTGATGCCGCCGAGGACCCCCAACCTGAGTCCCTTAGAACTTACTGGCGATGTGACATGGAGTATACCCAAGCTCGTGGTGCACACTTAGTGCCATAACTGGAGGCCGCACGGGAGGACTCTCGGAGAAGGCAAAAGCAAAAGATGAGTGGGGGCAGAAGTCTGTTCTGTAAGCAGCTCACACTGTCCGGGAAGCAGCAAGGCAAATTCAGAAATTACTACATTTTAAACATGTGCCTGAAATAGTCAACCTTGCCCAGCTTATTCTTCAGCAAAGCTGACAAACCTGCGCTATGGGAAGAATGTGCTCAGTGCCACAGGGACGTGTGATGGGGTCCACAGGACAGATGGCCCACCTGTGGGGGAGGGTCATAGACCCTGGAGCAACCACAGCCAGGAGAAGGGCTTGAGAAGTGCTCCTATGGCTTCGTATGACTTTGGACAAGCAAACAGGAATGGTAAGAGAATTTTTCAAGGAAGCAAAAACGTGAACAAATAAAAAGGAGCAGGAAATGTTTGCAGAACAGTGGCTGTTGAAAGTTGAATGCATCGTTAAACATTCTTTAAGTATTTTCTTATTTTTTATTTCTTGGCACTGAAGAATAAAAGTGTTTTAAAATAATATTTGCAATTTTTTAAATTAAAATCTTCATCCTTATTGAATGATGGAGTTTGGATTTGAAAAGGTTTGCACCAACACAGGACGGCCCCAGTGACTGTAATTAACAATCAATACCCTCCCCTGCCATTTTAAACCACACACGAAGTAAATCATCATCCCAGGGGCAACTTATTTTGAAGACGGGCAACTTGTTTTCTATCATTTTACGCAGCTGTCCAGGGGCTTGATTTAGTTTTGCTGAACCATTTGAAAAAAAAAGGACCACAGACATGAAATGTTTTCACAAGAAAAGAGGGATGCAACAATACTAGCAGTGAACTTAGCCTCTGAAGACTGAAGTTTGTCTTGTGTTTCCACCAACAACAACTGTGGGAATCTGTCCTGTCATTCTTCAGAAACCCCTCTTTTCTCGTCTATCAATTGGGGGTATATTGTTTGCCCTGCTGTCCTCACATGAGCAAATGAGATGATGTGAAATCACTAATTAAATTTTGAAACGCTGGAAAGATGAAGAGTAAGAATCCTCATTCGCTGTATTAAAAAATCACAGAAACCAAACATCCTGTAAGAATGCCTCTACAGGCCCAACCCAGGGTTTGGCACCTCCTGTGTCCTTACATCACTTATTTCTTATTGTAAATTTGTAAAACAATGGAAACTCCATCTTCCAAGGAGAAACATCATCCAAATGTGTGCAGCATGTGATGATTCTGGGGGAACACGAGATCCCAGCTCTGCCTTACTCCAGAGTCCAAGATTTACAACATGAGTGGCTTATCAAATAGCAAAGGTCTTGAGTGGCAGAACTAATTTTTCCCAGTGATAAGAGGCAAAAAAATTGCATGACTTTATGCGTCAGAGGAGGAAGAAAAATGTTATTCTACTCTTGCATAAACCTTGCTGTGTTCTTACATAGAGGGTACAGGACTGTGTTCTGGTTGCCACTCCCAGCATTGTTTATAAGGTAATAGAGAAGAATTGAGGGGGACAGTTAAAGTGCAGATAGGCAGAGAAAACTGAGATTACTACTACTACTAGCTGGCTATGTGCCCGGCCCTGAGCAAGAGCTCATCACACAAAACACTTGCTTCTTCAAAAGACAGCTAGAGGCTGACTACTATCGTTACCCGCAACACCTGCTACAGATAGGAAGAGAAAGGTACAGAGAGATTGAGTAATGTGCTCATTGTCAGAGAACTAATACAAAGGAGGTCTAGAGACTCCTGGACCTGGGCACTCTGATTCCAGAAACTGTGCACCTCATCATTGCATTCTGTCCCTTTGTGTGTGTGTGTTAATGTCCTCTCAAAGTACTGCCATCCCAAAGGACCACACACTGGATGGCTTCAAACAACAGAAATGTGTTCTCTCGCCTTTCTAGAGGTCAGAAGTCTGACATCAAGGTGTCCGCAGGGCCCTGCTCCCTCTGCATCCTGACAGGGAGTCTTTCCTTGCCCCTTCCTGGCTCTAGGTGTTGCTAGTGACACTTGGCATTCCTTGGCTTTCAGCTGCATCGTCCAGTCTCTGCTTTCGGCTTCACGTGCCATCTTCCTGTGTCTCTGAATTCGCATGGCTGTCTTCTTAGGACACCAGTCTTACTGTATTAAGGGCCCACTCTACTACAGTGTGATATGCTGTTTTTTTTGTTTTGTTTTGTTTTTTTTTTTTTTTTTGAAACGGAGTCTCTCACTGTTTCCCGGGCTGGAGTGCAGTGGCGTGATCTCAGCTCACTGCAACCTCTGCCTCCCAGGTTCAAGCAGTTCTCTGCCTCAGCCTCCGTAGTAGCTGGGATTACAGGCGCCCACCACCAAGCCCGGCTAACTTTTTTGTATTTTTAGTAGAGATAGGGTTTCACCATCTTGGCCAGGCTGGTCTTGAACTCCTGTCCTCGTGATCCACCCACCTCAGCCTCCCAAAGTGCTGCAATTACAGGCGTGAGCCACCACGCCCAACTATATACTCTTTTTTTAAAAAAAATTAAATTCTGGGTACATAGCAGATGTATATATTTACCAGGTACATGAGATATTTTGGTACATGAATGCAACGCATAATAATTGCATGAGGGTAAATTGGTATCCACCACCTCAAGCATTTATCCTTTCTTTATGTTACAAACAATTCAATTATACTGTAATTTTTGAAAAATGTACAATACGTTATTGTTGACTGTGGTCACCCTGTTGTGCTATCACATACTGGATCTTACACTTTCTGTCTAACTATATTTTTGCACCCATTTACCATCCTTACGTCCCCCTCACACTCCACTGCCCTTCTCAGCCTCTGGTAACCATCATTTTACTCTCTATCTCTATGAGTTCAATTGTTTTAATTCGTTTAGCTCCTACAAATAAAAACATCTGAAGTTTGTCTTTCTGTACCTGGCTTATTTCACTTAACATAATGACCTTCATTTTTTTTATGGCCGAATAGTACTCCATTGTGTACACATAATACAATCTCTGTGTTTATTCATCTGTTGATGGACACTAGGTCACTTCCAAATATTGGCTGTGCAATAAACATGGAAGTACAGATATCTCCTTGACATACTGATTTATTTGCTTTTGGGTATATACCTAGCAGTGGGATTGCTGGATCATATGGTAGTTCTATGTTGAGTTTCTTGAGGAACCTCCAAACTGTTCTCCAAAGTGGTTGCACTACTTTGCATTCCAACTAACAGTGTACAAAGCTGCCCTTTTCTCCACAACTTGCCAGTATTCGTTGTTGCCTGTCTTTTGGCATATAATCCCAGCACTGTGGCAGGATGAGGCAGGAGGATTTCTTGAGCTCAGGAGTTGAGGCCTGGCTGTGTGTTGGGCAACATAAAGAGAGAAAATAAATAAATAAATAAAATAATAATTAGCTGGCGGGGGATGGTGCACACCTGTAGTCCCAGCTACTCAGGAGGCTGAGGTGGGAGGCCTGCTTGCACCCAGAGGTTGAGGCTGCAGTGAGCTATGACTGTGCCACTGCACTCCAGCCTGGATGAAAAAGTGAGATCCTGCCTCAAATAAATACATTAAAGGCATTTTACTAGGGTAAGATGATACCTCACTGTAGTTTTGATTTGCATTTCTCTGATAATCAGTGATGCTGATCACCTTTTCATATGCCCGTTTGCCATTTGAATGTCTTCTTTTGAGAAGTGTCTATTCAGATATTTGTCATTTTAAAACTGGGTTATTAGACTTTTTCCTGTTGAGTTTTTTGAGCTCCTTATATATTCTGGTTATTGATCTCTTGTCAAATGGATAGCTTGCAAATATTTTCTCACTTTCTTTCCATTGTCATTTCACTCTGTTGATTGTTTCTTTTGCTGTGCAGAAGCTTTTTAACTGGATGTGATCCAATTTGTCCATTTTTGCTTTGGTTGCCTGTGTTTGTGGAGTATTACTCAAGAAATCTTTGACCAATTTAATGTCCTAGACAGTTTCCCCAATGTTTTCTTTCAGTAGTTTCATAGTTTGAGGTCCTAGATGTAAGGCTTTAATCTATTTTGATTTGATTTTTGTATATGGTGAGAGAGGGGTCTAGTTTCATTCTTCTTCATTTGGATATTCAGTTTTCCCACCACCATTTATTGAAGAGACTGTCCTTTCCCCCAGTGGATGTTCTTGGCACCCTTGTCAAAAATGAGTGCACGGTAGATACAGGGCTTTATTTCTGGGTTCTCTATTCTGTTCTATCAGTCTAGGTGTCTCTTTTTATTCTGGTACCATGCCATTTTGGTTATTAGAGCTCTGTAGTATGATTTGAAGTCAGATAATGTGATTCCTCCAGTTTTATTCTTTTTGCTCAGGATAGCTTTGGCTATTCTGGGTCTTTTGTGGGTCCCTATAAATTTTAGAATTTTTTCCTATTTCTTTGAAGAATCTCACTGATATTTTTATAGAGATTGCATTGAACCTGTAGATTGTTTTGGGTAGTATGAGCATTTTAACAATATTGATTATTTTAATCCATGAACGTGGAATATTTTTCATTTTTATGTGTCTTCTTCAATTTCTTGCATCAATGTTTTATAGTTTGCATTCTCTGAAAGATCACACATTTCTGTCTCTCTGGGATTTTCCCTTGTGCCTTATTGAGTTTGTTTGGTGAGTTCATGTTTTACTGCATGGTACTAATGCTTGTGGATGTTCATCAACGTGTGAGCATTGAAGAGCTGGGCATTTATTGTAGTCTTTGTGGTCTGGGCTCGTTGGTGCCCATATTATTTGGGGAGTCTTTCCAGTTATTTGAGGAGACTTGGGTATTGGTCACTGCAGCCGTATCTGCTTTAGGAAGCACCCCAAGCCCAGTAGTGTTATGGCTCTTGCAGACTCATAGAGGGACCCACTTGGTAGTCTTGGGTCAGATCTGAAAGAATTTTCTGGATTACCAGGCAGAAATTCTTGTTCTCCTTCTCTACTTTCTCCCAAACAAATGGACTCTCTCTCTCTCTCTCTCTCTCTCTCTCTCTCTCTCTCTCTCTCTCTCTCTCTCTCTCTCTCTCTCTGGGCTAAGCTTCCTAGAGCTGGAGAGGGGTGACACAAACACCTCTGTGGCCACCAGCACTGGGACTGACCCAATGTCAGCACAGCACTGGGTTTCACCCAAGGCCTGCAGTGACCACTGCCTGGCTACCATCTATATTCACTGAAAGCACAAGGGCTGTACAATCAGCAAGTGGCTAATCCAGCCAGGCTTGTATTCCTCCCTTCAGGGCAGCAAGTTTCCCCTAGCTTGAGATAGGTCCAGAAATGTCATCTGGGAGCCAGGGCCTGGAGTTGAGAACCTTAGGAATGTACCTGGTGCTCTAATCTACTGTGGCTGAGCTGACACCAAAGCTTCAAGAAAAAGCTCTTCCCACTCTTCCTTGCTCTTCCCTCAAAGAAGTCTGTCTCACTGGCCACCACCACTCTAAGACCATGGCAAATATTGCCTGGCTACCACCAATATTCACTCAAGGCCCAAGGGCTCTTCAGTAAGCTTGTGGTGACTGCTGCCCGTCCCAAGTCTCTCCCTCCAGGGCAGTGGGGTTTTCTCTGGCCCAGGGAAGGTCCAGGAATGCCACCCAGAAGCTAAGGCCTGAAACTGGGGACTCCAGGAGTCCATTTGGTGCTGTAATACCACTGTGGCCAAGCTGCAAGACAAAGTCCCCTTTGTTTTTTCCTCTCCTTTCCTCAGGCAGAAGGGGTTTCTCTCCATAGCCACTACAGCTGGGGATGTGCTGGATCACACCTGAAGTGAGCACATCTGAGTCTCATCCAAGGCCTGTGGTGGGTACTGCCCGGATACCACTGTTGATTATTCAGGGCTCATGTGCACTTTAGTCAGAAGGTGATGAATTCTGCCAGGACTAGATTCTTCCCTTCAAGGCACCAGGTTCTCTTCTGGCCCAGGGTTTGTCTGGAAATGTCATCCAGGAGCTAGTGCCTGCAATGGGATTGCCTTAGGACTTCCTGGTGCCCTATTCTTCTATGGATGAGTTTTTATCCAAGTTATGAGACAACATCCTCTTGACTCTCACTTCTCTTCTTTTTAAGCAGAGGGAAAGAGGCTCTCCTGGAGGTGTTACCTTCACTGCCTGTGGCTGGGGTAGCGGTGACACAAGCACTCCCTTGGCTGTCCCAGCTGTCCCATAATCACTGCACTCTCTCTCCCCCAAGCTTACAGATTCTCTCTCCACACAATGTGGCTGCTGCCAGGAAATGGGCAAGGGCTGGTGTGGACAATTCAAGACTTTCTTACCCTCCTCAGTGTCTCTTTCCTTTATATGATGTTAAGAACAGGTACTGTAATTGCTCACCGCTTTTTGGTTCCTGTAAAAGTTCTGTGTGTATTTTGTGTGCTTTCTATTCAATTCCATGTTCCTGCAGGAAGAATGATTGCTGGAGGCTTCTATTTGACCATCCTGCTCTGTCTCTTCTCTGTGTGATATACTCCTAACTAATGACATCTGCAACATTCTGAAGTACTGGAGGCTAGGACTTCAACATATGTTTTGGGGGTAGGGGACACAATTTGACCCACAACTACATGCTATATATTTTTTTAAAGGATTACTTATGGTATGCAGACTCACAGAGCTGATACAGGTTGAGATATATTCATATATATCTTTAATTATTTCCCTCAATGTTTATATGTATGTATATCTACATATAATATATAAATATATACTATATATTATATAAATATATATATTCAATTTAGATAGATTTTGGTGAATGATTTCAGGTAGAGGAAAAATGTATGTATCTGGAATCTTACTTTTACTTAATACTATACTGAGCAGAAAATAACGTCCAACACAAATTAGAATTGGCTTAGAGTTGCCTGAAGATAAGCGTGGGTTCAAGGGGGTCTACCTTTCTGTTTCCTAATTCTTTCCTGTCCTTTTTCGTTACCTGTCTTTCTCTACTGTGCTATAATCCCCTATAGGGGAGAATCAGTGCTCCCTTGGTTTCATAAGTCAAAACCTGCCACAGTGTTTAGTGCATGCTGGATACTCAAAGAGGGTCAAATCAGTCTTAGAGTTTAGAATTGTCCAGTTTCACAAAGCTAGGTAAATGCATGGAGTCCAATTCTGATGTTGTTAACAAGAAAGGTCTTTTGTGCAATTGAAAGACATTACCAACTTCCCATTAATAATACTCCACCACAAACATAGTTTGCTGATGTGGGAAATTTTTTAGTAGACCCTCAGAGATTTCTAAATATTTTACCCTAACTAGGGAGTCAAGAGTGGTTCACACCCATTTAACAGTGCTGCTGTTTCTTTGAGGTGACTAGAGTCAGAAAATGAAAAGGAAAAATCACATATTTACAGAATTAGCACAAATTGTGAAAATATTTATTCTGGATATTTACTGGAAAATCTCTGTTTCCTTGGGAGTCCTTGGATTGTGATTCACCTCTGAGATCTGTCTTTGTCATGCACCTATGACATCTGAAGTTATAATTTGGGCAACAAAAACACCACAGGCCACAGAATTTGGAGCCTATTTAACAACTGTGCTCTCAGGTTACGAACCCTGGCTTTTGCTATCCTGGGCCCGTGGGGCAGAAATCCAGAAGATAACTTTCATAAACCTCTTAGCAGGAACTCCTGGGCAGCACCTTTCACATTTCCTTTACTTTTGGAGATGTTCTTGTTTCCCTTTTTCACACATCTATGCATAAGAGCAACATTTGTTTTCATGTTGTTTAACAAATACTCATGTAGCACCTCCTATGTGCTAGGTGGGTGCTATTCGAAGCACATTTCCTGAGGAGAAAATATTGCTCGGTTCATCCCATGCCTGAAATAAGGTACAGAGATCCAAACCAGATCTGGTGGCTTCAGTTTAACTTCGTTTTGACATAATAGTTAAACATTTAAAGATCTGTTTTTTTTTTTCACCCCAAGCGATGAAAACTCTTTCTTCTCTAGGTTTCAAGCATTGACCCCTTGATCCAGTTATTGTGGCCATATGACAAATCTCCTCAATAGCTCACACCTTCAGGCTTCGGTATTATGTGGAAGTGCTCTGCAGGGATGGATCATTTCTGTTCTACTTGATGTCAGCTGGGGAGGCTCAAAGGTCACAGTCATCTGCAGGCCACACACTCCCATGCCAGGGGTCAATGCTGGCTCTTGCTGACACCTTAGCTGGCCTTAGGCTGGAACAGTTTCATGCAGCCTCGCTGTGTGGCCTGAACTCACTACAACATGGTGGTCAGGTTCCCAGGGTGGGCATGGAGAGAGAGATAAATAGAAGCTGGTTGCCTTCTGTCACCTGGCCTCAGAAGTCAAAGGCGCATCATTGCTGCCATGTTTTATCTGTTGAGGGGTCACAAAGGCCTCCCAATTTCAGTAGGTAGGAAAATAGACTCTCTCGATGGGGCACCACAAAGTTCTTGGAGAATATGTGAGCCTAGAAACACCCCTATGGTCCTTCCAGAAAAATCCTATCTCTTCCATCCATGAAGTTCCACCCACTATACTACTAGTGCTTCCAGCTTTATAAACAGTTAGACACAGTTAAACACTCCTTTGAGTGTCTAGGTGATTTTCCTTTTATTTAAATTTTTATTCAACATGGAGAGATTCTTCTGTTTTATATTTAATCAACCTTTGATGACCTGTTGCAGCCTCCCATGTGCCTTATTTTCCAACTCTAATGTGCACTAAAGAAATCTTTCTGACCTTCTGTTTCTCTGAGTTCCTGTTTTTTCTTCAATTCTTTTCTCAGTAATTCAACAAATTACCATGGCTTTTTAGGGTGGGAAAGTTTAGTGATTATATAATCCACCATTGTTACTTACAGATTGAAAACTGAGGCCCCAAGAGAAGGGACACAGGTAGCTGGGGGAAAGAGTTCAGTTAGAATTCACATAGCCTGATGCTTAAGTATTGGTGCTTATTTGATATGCCCCAATCTTTTTTGTTCTGTTTTGTTTTTGTTTTTGTTTTGTTGTTTTTTTTTTTTTTTTGGACAGAGTCTTGCTCTGTCGCCCAGACTGGAGTGCAGTGATGCAATCTCTGCTCACTGCAAGCTCCGCCTCCCGGGTTCACACCTTTACCCTGCCTCAGCCTCCCAAGTAGCTGGGATTACAGGTGCCCACCACCACGCCCGGCTAATGTTTTTGTATTTTTAGTAGAGACAGGGTTTCACCGTGTTAGCCGGGATGGTCTCGATCTCCTGACCTTGTGATCCGCCCGCCTCGGCCTCCCAAAGTGCTGGGATTACAGGCATGAGGCACCGCACCCAGCCGGTATGCCCCTAGCCTTTAACTTCTGTATTGTGAAACAATGGTGACACTAGAATTTTGTAAACTCTTTACATCTATACCTATCTATCTCTGTCATCTCTCTGTCTCCTAATGATCTATCTCAGCCAGGAGGTATATTTTAGTATTTTGAACATAGCATACATTGGGAAAATGTATTCCCTTGCAGATCCAGAAAGCATTTTTTAAATATCCTAAAAACCTACCAGTGGAATGGAAAACACACACACACACACGCACACACACATCCCCCACACTTCTATATTGCCAAGAAAGAAGCAAGAATTGTTTCCCAAGGTATATCATCCTGTAACACTCCGAACACGATTGTACGTTACACTGGGCATTTCGATGCTATGATTTCAGTGTCGTGGTCATATTACTCCATTTCCGGCAGTGCCCTAGCCCCTCTGTACTGACCTATGCAGGGATTTGCAGGGTGGGGTGAAGAATGGGGAGCACAGACCCAGAGAGAAGTTTCCTAAGCAGCCTCCTTTCATCTCTGAGGAAGCAGAAACAAATGGCCTTCTCGTCTCCTTGCCCCTCCCTTGCTCTCAGCCTCACAGGAAATGCAGAGCTGACTTTGACTGCAAGTTGCAAGGTTTTTATTTCCCAAGAGTTACCACAGATGCTTGTCTGGCCAGTTGAATGGAGCCTGCCATGTGCTGAACTAAAGTGATTTAAAGATCTTTTTCTGGCACGGGGAAAACGCCGCGGCACAGCTTCCAAATGCAGCACCCTGCACACCCTCACCCCTGCCTCCCCTTCAGGGTCAGGTTTCACACTTGCAAATTCACAGGAGGAGTTCAGAGTCTGTGTTGCTTGGCTGTGAAACTGCTTCCTTGGCCAGGCCAGTTACATCTTAGCTCGGGGCTTATTTTAAGGCCCAGTTCTGAAGCGATGGCACAATTCGTTTCAACACAACTAACGTGCTTCCGACTCAGTCGAGGCTTTTGGGTTTAGTCGCACCAGTGTTTCCTGCTGTGTCTCAAGCCAGGTCCCACGGCCACTGTCAAGTACCTACTGGGTGGACAGCAGGGGCCTGAGTTGTGTACATTCCTTCCAGCTTTAGGCAGTGGATTCTGTCGATACTTGTACAGTCTGCATTTTCTGGATGGTTAAACTTTATTTTTATTTTTAGGATATCTATGTCTAACATTTATATTCATCTATATAGATATATCTCTCTCATCTACCTATTTATCTACGACCTGTCATCCATCTAGCTGCCTACTATCTATGCACCTAGCTAATGCATCTATCCAGCCATCTCTCTCTGTATGTATCATTATCACCCACCAGGTTCTTGCCAACAGGGCTGCTCTTGTAACCTGAGGGAGTAAAACAGAAGGACCTGCCTTGACCTTCCATTTTTCAAGGGGACTGGACGCTAAGGGGCCAGAAGGACTTTGTTAAAACCTCATTCTCAAGAAACAGTTTCCTGACATAGCTCCTAGGGCAGTGACCTGACAGGGCATCTCTGTAAAACTTTCCCCAGATGTTGCTATCTTAAGCAAGGCACAGTTTGCTGGCTGTAGTGGCCACGAGCAACATCTGTAAGGCTGAGGAAACAGGAGCCAGGTGAGTCTCAGAGAGAAAGAGGGTGAAGGAGAGGGTAAGAAGGTAATGTGTGAGCATCCAAATCCTACCGTAATGTGCCCCCAGAGAGAGAGAGGATATCAGATTGCTGTCCTGAAAGAAAAAAAAAAGTTTTTCTTAATAAGAAAATGCTTTTGGAAATGTCTAGAAATGTTCATTCAAAACATATAAAGTTTTCCAACTGACCAAACCAGAGTCTTTTGACGACCTAACCTGTGTTTTCCACTGGCTGAGGTCTTCAGTGTGTAACCTGCAGCACCATGCACCCTGCTCCAATGCCTCTCTGATGCCCTCCAGTTTCCAGTGTCCTGCTTACATCTCCACTGTGTTTTCACGTTCTTGTCTGTCTCCAAATTGTAATTCTAACCCTGCCAATTGAGGTCTGGACTACTGCAAGGATTACATCATAGTTGAAAAGTGGGTCCCTTTTGTTTTGCTTTTACTTCAGCATCTTTCCCCTAGATGTGTTTACTAAAGACAGAGCATTTGGCTGGCTAAGAAAAGTGGGATCCTCCACAGAGACCTCCATGACAGGTCCTGATTAGCTTCGCAGTAGAGATGGCAGGACGACACCCTGAGTTCAGAGACCAAAGAAGCCAGACCTGGCAGCTGGGAGAGAAGCAGCCCTCGAAGGGATATCTGAACTGCAGCCCAAGCACTTGTTGACCCTCAAAGGCCGGTGCCTAGAGGACACTCCATGTGATTCCAAAGCTGAGCCTGAGACATCGAATCCACCTTGCTTTTCTCTTGCTGCACCTAAAGGCAGAGGTATCCTCGTAGTGACACCTCGACCCGCACAAGCGGATACTATAAGCAAAAGTAAACAGTTTGGCAAATGTCCCACAGCCCGCTTGTCCTGGGGTGTGTGCCTGAGCTGTGTGAGAAGTTGCAACCCCCTGGCTTTAAAAACCTCTGGAAATCCCCAAAGCCCTTTGTGACATGGAGACTGTGTGTTTTCTTCCCCCATATTTGTTTTTCTCTTCACCAAAGAGCACCCAAGTTAATTAAACCCCAATTAGGCCGCAATGAAGATCTAGATCTTGTTCATTCTTGATTCATGAACACATTAACTGGGGCTGGTGGATTCTGATTTCCAATTGCATGAAAGAAGAAAGCGGTTTCATGCAGCATCACAGCGCTATGTGTGCGGGAAATTAAATAGACGTTTGAAAATGACTTGGCATCTGATGATCCAGTTTTGTTTTGTTTTTTTCTGTGCCTAACAATTTTATCTTGATTGAAATTGGTAATTCTACCTGCAAACAACAGATTGAAGGTAGATGGAGGAGACCTTCAATTTGTGAAGGTTTCGCGTCCTGGAACAACTGGGTGGGGAGGACCTGCTAAAGGACTTAGTCCAGTCTCCTCTTTTTATAGAGGAGGAACCAGATTTGCCTAATGTAATTCATGTACTTAGATCCCCAAGAGGACTAGACACACTAGGCTTTCTTCTTTTTCTGGGTTATTACAGAAGGAGTTGTGTTGTTTTGTCATTTTCTACACAAAATGTCTTTGAACAAGTATTTAGAAACCTTTGCTCTGCCAAATATACATACATACATACATATACAATTATATTTAAAATATGTATTTATTTAAATATATTATGTATATTATATACAATATATTTAAATTATATTAAAGTGTAATAAAATTAGAATTATTAGACACAGAAAAAATAGATTGTTTTATGCTGTTTTTTGCTCTACCATATATGTAAATATATATATAAAATCCATGTATATATGTATGCATATGTTTTGCATTTTATGACCACTTAATCTATCCTACTCTGAGGAATTTTGATGCTGAGATATTGGGAGAAAATGCACTGTAAGCAGTGTATTTTGACAAACATTTTTAAAAAAGTCTCTGTGCATTTCAGAATCCAGTATGTATTTTCATCAAGCAACTTCCTAGCATTAGTGTTTATATACACTTTAATTTACATGGAGTGTGGAAAACACAGTAGTTACAACAAGGAGTAGCCACCAGTGCTTCCATTTTCACAAAGAAAATGACATTCTAAAAGCATAAAATTTACTGATTTTTCAAATCCTAATCCACGGTTAGATGGGAGCCTGTCTCCTAGGAAATATGCAAATGAAAAAGAAAGCAAAAAAAAAAAAGCATGCTGCAAAGTCAAGCCTAAAAATTTCAGAAACGATCTAGTTTTACTTAAAAAAAAAAAAAAGATAGAGGGACTCCAACTCACTAATAAGCATGAGAGCATTTCCCCTCTTATTTACTTGTTTATTAGCCTGTTTTGGTAAGGAAAGCTGCGCCAACTGTGCCCCAGGCTCACGTAATCTGGATTTGATCAACATCTCCAGACAATTGTGGCCGCAACTTTACACCTCCCCCAATGCCAGGATATAAAATTTGGCCCACCCCAACAACACACCACTAATTAAGCCAAGCCTGGTGCATGTGTTGAGAGAACAATGATGACAACCAGCCCACAGGGGAGGGAGTTTCAAATCACAGTCAACAACAGTCCCGCAACTCAGCCCTTAAAGGGAAATGAGCCCACAAGCTTCTCCAAATGACACCCGTAACAGGCAGGTCTCTTTGATTTATAATTACTGTACTTAGCTGGGTTTTCCCTTTCTGTGCCTGACTGCTGGATTCAACCACTCTTATCTGCATAATTTGGGGGTGGCGGTCTCATGCAATATGCACAGGCAAAGGCTCCCCATTTCCTCTTTGGCTGAAGTGGAAGAGCCCCTCCTTCATTTCCTACCCAGAGGAACAATGGTTCTGGGAGTGGCTGAACACATGGGGGTGAAAGAGGCTGCTGCCTGGAGCCAGGCCCCTCGGATTTGTTTTTGGCCATCCCGGCCTCCAAGTTATTCCAGCAGGAAGTTGACTTTATAGAGAAAACCCTGCCTAGTGGTGGCTCTTTCTGACTGCTTGTCCAAACATTATTGGGTAAAGCCTAACTCCAGGACTTAAGAAATGTACTAAAAGGTCCCAGGGAAACGCATTTGCCAAGAAAGGAAGCATGCAGGGAGGAATGCGGTGAATTCTCAGAGGATGTGCAAGTGCTCGGTCCATGAAGTTGAACCCTTTATTTATGTTTCTCACAGAGGACCAAGATGCATCCAGTTCTTCTTCCAGGATTCCTTTTGAGAGCAACCAAGACAACTCTCGAGTTCTACCTATAAAAGAGTGTCCAATCACTGGCTCTGTAAAGAATCCAGCTTTGGGAAAACAAAACCTTCCATTTTTAGTAGAAGGATATAATGTATAATTTTGTCGATTTCTCAAAAAAAACAAAACAAAATAGAACAAGTCATGAAACGAATGCTGATTACTATTCTACTATCCTAGATTTTTGTAACTCCCATTGGGAGAGTTTCTTATGCAGATCAAGAGCCGCATATGGCTGCAAGACACTGAAAAAAATAGACTAAACATCAGTGTAAAAACATATGAATAATAGTGTATGCATTGCAAAGGCCCATGTCTGTATAATTCATCCTTTATTCACAAAAATGTTGATAAAAGGACAGTATTCAAAACAAGCACCTTCATGGGATAAACGAAGAACTTAGTTGGCAGGGTATAAGAATACATATATGATAAGCACATATATGCATTCACAGACATATGTAATGTTCAAATCTATACATATAAATGCACATTTTACTTAGCAAAGTACATAAGTTTGTAAAATAAATGCATTGTGTCATCTAAATTACCACTCACTCTAATCTGATATAATATTGAAATGTATTCCTTCCATTTTTTCTTTCTTTTTAATATTTATTTTATTTTTATTTATTTTTTTGAGACAGAGTCTCGCTCTGTCGCCCATGGTGGAGTGCAGTGGTAAGATCTCGGCTCACTGCAAGCTCCGCCTCCTGGGTTCACGCCATTCTCCTGCCTCAGCCTCCCTAGTAGCTGGGACTACAGGCACCTGCCACCATGCCCGGCTAACTTTTTTTATATTTTTAGTAGAGACAGGGTTTCACAGTGTTAGCCAGGATGGTCTCGATCTCCTGGCCTAGTGATTTGCCCGCCTCGGCCTCCCAAAGCGTTGGGATTACAGGCGTAAGCCACCGTGCCCGGCCAATATTTATTTATTTTTCTTCTTCCCTTTCTTTCTTTCTCCCTCAAACACTAATTTTCTAATATATGCTAGATATGGATCCAGATATGTTAAGCGATCTAAAAATAACTCTTCTCCTGGAGCCTACTGTGTAAACAACTAATAATAAAACAAAGGATGAGAAAGAAACTCTCGGGGAGATGCACACACATTTTTAGGTGATGGCAGGAAAAAAGTGAGAGCATTGTATAGGATTTGGAATCAGATGTTCTGTGTTCAAATCCTATCTCTGCTGTTAACTGCCTATATGATATTAGGGAATTGAATTTTCTTCCATGAAATATAAGCAAAGACATTTGTGCTGTTCTCCACAGGAATAACATAAAAATCAAATGATTGAAGCTGTCAAAACACCGGATAAAAAGATATAACTTTATGCAAGGTACTTCCACACATATATGCCTAGGGAAAGCAGAACTTCAGTCCAGCATTGAAGGACAAGGAGAATTTTCAGGGTGGATGTTTTAGGCTGAGTTCGGCTAAGAGCTTGTACAGTACTGTGAAGCTCAACAGGAGACCCAGAGGCAGCAGGTGTGTGTTCAAATGGAAGGTCAGGGATAAAGACCCACGTGCACACACGTGTGCACACACACTCTAGTATAAAACGAAACAACATCACTCACATTCTTCAATGCCTGCTAAGGAGCTCCGCTTATTTTTGACAGAAGAAATTATTACTGGTGGTAAATCCGTATGGGTCTGCAGCAATCTCAATTCTTGTCTCCTCAGAAGAAAGAATTTGACTAAGCGGCATAAGGCAGAAGAAGAGACCAAGACAAATTTTACAGAAGGAGTGAAAGTTTATAAAAAGCTTTAGTCTGGACATGGTGGCTCACGCTTGTAATCCCAGCACTTTGGGAGGCCAAGGTAGGTGGGCGAATTACTTGAGGTCAGGAGTCCCAGACCAACCTGGCCAACATGGTGAAACTCCGCCTCTACTAAAAATACAACAATTAAGCTGAGCATGGTGGCGTGTGCCTATAATTCCAGCTACTCAGGAGGCTGAGGTGGGAGAATCGCTTGAACTTGGGAAGCAGAGGTTGCAGTGAGCTGAGATCATGCCACTTCACTCCAGCCTGGGCGATAAAGGGAGACTCAAAAAAAAAAAAAAAAAAGGCTTCAGAGAAGTATACTTGGAAGAGGGCCAAGTAGGGGGTAGCTGTCTTGGAGGTCAAGTGCCCCATTTGACCGTGGACTTAGGGATTTATATGGTGGCCTACTTTCAGTGTCTTGCATCCGTTTTCCGGTGGAATGCCCCAGAAGGTCATATACCAGTTAAACTTTGCTATTTTGCCCCTTAAGGCACAGGCCTGAGCCCATTTGCCCAATTCCTGAGATCCTATTTGGAAGCTGCTGAGCACCAGTTACAGGTGTTTTTATCTATTGGAAAACTGCCTTTCTCTGGCACTAGCTGCAACCAATTATTATTTGAGAGAGGCAGTGTGACAACTGCCTGACCCATCACCTGATGGTCACCTGACTTTCCTGGTGGGTTTGGGGGAGCCCTCTCCTGCGCCGCTGCTACCTACTGTAAAATAATGGCATTACTGATCTGTATTTCAAATTGCTAATGCCAGCAGTAGAGTGGAGATCAGTTGGAAGGGTGTGAGGTGGGGCAAGAAGAATCCACTAAGGGACATTCTATAGCCTCCATCAAAAAGTGGGGTCCCCGAATCATCAGCAGCAGCATGGTGTTTTAGTTCTGGGGGCTGCCATAACAAAGTCCCACAAACTGAGTGTCTTCAAACAACAGAATTCTTTTCTCTTACAGCTCTGGAGGCCAGAAGTCCAAAATCAAGGTGTCAGCAGGCTGGTTCCTCCTGAGGCTTCCTGGCTGCTGGTGGTTACCGGCCATCCTAGGTGCTGCTTGTCTTCTGGATACATCCCTCCAACCTCTGTCTCTTTCATCATTGGATGTCCTCCTGAGTGTCTGTGCCCAAAATCCTACCTTCTCATAAACACGCCGGTCACTGAATTAGAGCCCACTCCACTCTTGTGTAATCCCATCTTAATTTGATTGTATCTGCTAAGACCTGATTTCCACATGAGGTCATATTCCCAGGTGTCAGGGTTTAGGACTTCAATGTGACTTTTGACGGGACCCAATTCAATACATAACACCTGGGATCTTGTTAAAAGGGCAAATTCTCCTGCTCTGCCCAAATCTACTGAATCAGGAGCTCTGAGGATGGGGCCTGGCAGCTGTGTTTCCACCAGGCCCTGCAGGGGATTCTGACACTCCCTCACCTTTGAGGGAAGGTGGGGAAAGGATGGCAAGAGGGGAGCTCAAACAACTTATTTGGGGAAGAAACATTGTTGAGTGGCAGGATAAATGAGGGAAGGAGGTCACAAGGAGAATGACAAGTACCTTAATCAACATTATTTTAGTTGGACTCAAACATGATTAAGCGATTAATAAAATAATATTTAATTATTAAGTGTATTGGGGAATCTCAGGGAAGCAGGTGCAGGATGTGGAGCCCACAGTGAACCGCGGAGCGGCTGCCTGCCTATGTCTTCCTGTGGCTCTCTTCCCTCTCCCTCTTCCCAGGCCCCTTCTCCTCTCCCTCTCGCTCCCGCCTCCTCCCTCCCAGCGCTCCCTCAAGGGCGGCAGGGCCACCCAACACCTCCCACACCCACACCCTATGCCCTAACAGGCACCAGTGGCCCTGGTGCTGCTGTGTCCCATACACCTTCGCAGGAGAACGAATCCCTTGGCCTAAGCCAGAGACCAACTCTCAGGTGCTCCTCTGTGGCTGAGGGATGGGATCGTGAAGTGTGGGTGTGACTGCCAGGACCCACCCTGTAAGGAGGCGACCTTATTCTCAAGAAAGGAGGTGCTGCGGTCTTGCCAGGCTCTGCATGTGGGCCGGACTCCTCCCTCGGACCTCCAGTGGTCTCTCTGGGAATGAATTCCAGACCGTGGTAGTTTAGAAAGTGCAGGGAGAAGATTTTAGGAATTGGATGACTAAGTAGGAATCGTAAATTAAATCTTGCATAAGACAGAAGACTGCAGGTGGTAACTGAGTGGAGCTGGGATTGGAGATGGAGCCAGCAGACAGAGAAATCTGAGATGCCAAGGTCAAAATAAACTTTGAAATATAAGAGGGCTCAGGGAAGTGGCCGCAATCCTGTGATGGGCAGGGCAGGCGGGTGTGGGCGGGGCTGGCAGGTGCGGGTGGGGCAGGTGAATGTGGGTGGGGCACGTGAGTGTGCGCAGGTGTGGAGAGGCAGGCATGTGTGGGTGGGGCAGGTGGGTGGGGCGAGGCAGGTGGATGTGGGCGGGTGTGAACGTGGCAAGTGGGTGGGGCGAGGCAGGTGGGTGGGGTGAGGCAGGTGGATGTGGGCGGGCGTGAACCTGGCAGGTGGGTGGGGCGAGGCAGGTGGGTGGGGCGAGGCAGGTGGATGTGGGCGGGCGTGAACCTGGCAGGTGGGTGTGGGTGGTCTGTGGTTTTGGAGCTCAGGCTGCAGGCTGAGTGGGGCCCATGCTGAAAAAGAAAACCAAGCTGGGCTTGTGGGGGCAACTGATAGTAACTTTCCCCTAAGACAAAACACAGGGGAAGAAATCCACTGTACATCTATCTATAAAGCCAGAATAACTTCTTAACTCCCAGAAAACACGGGGCTCGGTGGGCATCGGGAGAAGCAGCCACAGCACTGCCACCCGTGAGGGCTCAGCAGGAGGACCTGGCGTTTGCAACTCGGCATCTTACCTTGGAATCCCGGAGGTCTTACCGCATAGCCTCCAGGGTCCCACAGACTTCTTAGTTTCTGCTGTTTAGTAAGGGTTTATAAAAATGTCTAGGTTAGCATTGCTTGGAACTATTCTGAAAAAGAAAATTTAAAAAGAAAAAAATGGAATTCAGAGAAACACAATGGAAAATGCTAGGGAAAGAGTTAAATCTAATGCCGGGAAGCTCTCGGCCCTTCCTTTACATAGAATCAGAGGAGAGGAATTCTTTGCTTTTTCACAAATCCAAATAATCCCTCTGGATTTGCAGTAAATTAGACACACAGTCCCTCAGCCCTTGACACACATTGTGAGGAAATTATTTGATTTATTTACTTGATATACTTAAAGCATTCCACTGGTCTGAGAGCAAATGGATGCATGAAGAAAATACAAATCTAACACTTAAACCAAATGCTGCAGTAAGAGCCTCCGTGCAGAAGAAATATACATTGACGGTGATTGGACACTGAAACTGAGGAAACCACTGATGTGAACCACATGGGGCTTTTTGGATGAGTAAACCAAAAGCCAATTATGATCGACCATCCCTGACTGTAATTTCATTAATCCAAAAGCTGACAATTCTCCCCAACAGAAGCTCCAATACAACGTGCTTCTGCCTTCTCTAAGAGCCAGAACGCATCGCCAAGGCTGAAATCAGAGATGAGGCTGATGGCTGTGAGTTCTGCCTGTGAGCTGCAGAGGACTGCACATTTTCAATACTCAAGTAGATGCAATTACCCTAGTTGCACATGAGAAGCTTGAGTTTAGAGAGGTCAAACATCACTTGTCCAAGATAATAAAGTTCATGAGGGGGCAATTGTGGCATCAAGTCTGACTTCCACACCAGAAATGCATTTAAATGATGGTGGGCAGGGGTGAGGGTGACATCTCTTTCTTATTTTTTTTTTAATTAGAGTAAGATTCACCTTACACACACACACTCCTTCATTTGTACACTTCTTATATTTTATCTCATTTAATGATAGCAGCAACCTTTTTGGTAGGTGATGTTAGCATATTTTACAGAGGAGGCAGCTAGGGACTGAGAGAGCCTTAGCAACTTGCAGAGGATCAAACAGTGAATGGTTGGGCCAGAATTTGAATCATAGTCTCCTGACACCTGGTCTAGCCATTGCTAGCACACACACTTTCTATCATGTAATCATAGACCCAGGAAATAGGATTTCAATACAGCATAATCTCATCCATATGTTTAATGAAATTTAAATATATTTTCTTTCAAGCTATGTAGAGTTGAATAATGACTAATAACATTAAAGGGCTGTACAGCATCATTTAGAATATACAAACAGTATATTTGTAAAGGTGCACATTTAGGCATATTATACTTGTTGCCTACCTAATATGAATAGTATTCTATGCCAGTTGACTTTTCTAGTGCTGCTAGGAGACATCACTCCCCAGAATTAATGTCGATCCGTCTGTATCAGCTGCCATCCCCTGTAGTACACCACAGAGCCTGCTTGTTACCCACATTAGAAGCCACCTGAAAGACAGAATGTCGCCCTCTGACTCTGTTTGGGCCTCAGGTCATGAGTCACCTTCTGCATTCTCTCCGGTTTTTGATATATTTGGCTTGTTGCTTTTCTTACACAACTGGAGGGCCTTGTACTGTACCCTGCAGTAAGCTAAGCTCCACAATTGCCTGAGCTGGCCTGAGAATCACCCAGATCCTCTCCAAGTGAAATCCATTCTCATGTAATTTGATATCAAGCAGAAGTTCAATTATATTTGTATAGCTTGATCTTTGGCCAGCAGTGGGTCAGGTGCCTTCCTGGGCACTTCTCTAATCCTTGCAGCAACTTGTGCAATCCATATTATTAATTACAAATGAGGAAACTGAGTCTGGAGCTCTGCTTGGTCTCAAAACCAGTATTTTCTCCCAATGAACTAGACTGGTTATTTTAGTGGGTACTTGGAAAGTTTCTTTTTTTGAAACGGATTATTCTCACTTTTCATAAAGATGTAATATATATTGCTTTCTTTCTTTCTTTCTTTTTTTTTTTGCTTTATCTTTTATTCCCTACAGGGGTCCTTAAAGCCATTTGGTCATGGAAGAAACTGAATCCAGGGCTTTTGAACTCATCAACAGTTTCAACTTTTCACCTTTGTCCAAAGAAAGCACCTACTCCCATGCCACTCCTCTCTTTGGATCTGCACTTTGTGTTTTCATTATGCACACACCTAAACACACATACACACACACACATTATACACATACATAAAAGGCATGCAATACACACACATCATATACATCCATAATATGCATGAAATACAAATACACACACATCATACACATAAACAATATGCATGAAATACACACACACATACACACACATTTTCTTTCCCCAAAGCAAAACTACACTCTGTCCTGACAGCTCATCTTGCCATCATGGGTGCAGAGGTTCTTTAGCCCTGCCTGTGTATCTGTGGTCTGCTGGCACTCCAGGCTGGAGCTCCCTTTGCTGTGGGCATTGGGTATTCATCTGTCTCTCTTTAGACCGGCCTGATTTTTACGAGTCTTCCAGGAACGGGCACACACTCCCATGCTGCAGAGCAAATGGGTCTATCTTAGAGGTTACTGTAGGACAGTGCACTGTTCTAGTGTCATTGTGGCTCAGCCATGGATCTTAGAAGTCATTGTAGGAGACTGCACTGCTCTAGTGGCGTTGTGGCTCATCCATGCACGTGTGCCCTTGTGCGTTCATCACAAGGTTTTGCTCCTCAGACGCCTCCTCTCTGCAGAGGTTGGTCATCCTTCTCGAGGTTCAGCACACTTCTGGATAAAAAAATCCATTTTAACTGTTTTAAACAAAATTATAAATGAGCACTCACTCATTCTGGCTCTCTAAAATAGTTCAAAAATATTTTTCGGAAGACAGTTATAACCTTTTTCAAAGACCCTTTTTTTTTTTTTTTTTTTTTTTGAGATGGAGTTTCCTTCTGTCTCCCAGGCTGGAGTGCAGTGGCATAATCTTGGCTCACTGCAACCTCTGCCTCCCAGGTTCAAGTGATTCTCCTGCCTCAGCCTCCCAAGTAGCTGGGACTACAGGTATGTGCCACCACACCCAGCTATTTTTTTGCATTTTTAATAGAGACAGGGTTTAGCCATGTTAGCCAGGCTTGTCTCAAACTCCTGATCTCAGGTGATCCACTTGCCTGGGCCTCGAAAATGCTGGGATTACAGGCATGAGCCACTGCATCTAACCTCAAAGCCTGTTTTGTAAAGGTTGCAAGTTTCCTATCTGCCTTCTCTGAAAATATTTTAAAATATGGTTAAATACATTATGTTTACCAATTATACCCTCAACTAATTAATGCCACTTTCTGAAGATACAAAGATGAATAAGATAGCTTCAAGAAATGTAGAAAGTAGCTTCCTAATGTTTTAAACTAATCTGAAATATATATGTATATAATATATACATATATATACATTTATATATGTAAAATATATATACGTATACACACACACACACACACATACATATATATATCTCAATGCTTTCGTGATCTGCTGGTCCAGAGGCCTGAGGAGGCCAAAGTGCAGAGAAGGTGGGTAAAGCTTTCCGTTCAGTGGGATCTCATAGGTCCCACGGAGTTCCTATTTGGATGTTAGGACTACTACCATGACGAACCATTGGTGACAGGAAAGGGACACACACATCCATGAATGTGGCAGTGAGAGCGATGGTGAGAGGGGCTAGTTGTATTTTCATCTTCCAGAAGCCATGATCTGAATTCCAGCTACTGGGGCCCTGCGACTTCTGCCTCATTCATTGATTCTGCACATGTACTGCCTCCTGGGGCTGGCTCCTCAACACCGCCTGAGTTCCACCACCAAATTGAGGCTTTAGCCAGCCATGGCATGGTTCTAGCAGACTGAATGCTCCTGTGTGGTGGGGTATGTCTTAGTGTGTTTTGGCTGCCATAACAAAACATCAGTCACTTCAGAGGCTTAAATGGCAGGCATTTATATCTCACAGTTCTGGAGACTGGGAAATCCAAGATCAAGGGCTGGAAGACTTGGTATCTGGTGAGGACCTGCTTGCTGGTTCGAGATGGCTCCTTCTTACCATGCCCTCATAGGATAGAAAGGACAAGAGAGCTCTGGTATCTCTTTGTCTTGCTTATAACAAGACAAACTGCCCTTATAAGGCCCTTATAATGTCTTGCTTATAACAAGACATTAGTGCCCTTATAAGGCACTAATTCTAACATAAGGGCTCCATCATCGTGACCTTACCCAATCTTAATTAACTGCCAAAGACCCCATCTCCAAATACTATCACATTTGGGGTTAGGGCTTCAACATATGAACTTTGGGGGAACACCATGTGGTTGATAGCAGGGCACATGGTAAGACCTGTGTTCGTCTCTTCACTCATTTCCCAGTAAAATGGCTTCGGCTAGTCTGCCCCAAAGTCATCTACCTGCCACCCAGTGGTTATCTGGCCTCAGGGACTAGTGTTCTAGATTTAGCATCATTTTCTGCTACTGGTCATTTTGGCAGTCAGCCATAGCAGTCACGAGCTCAGCCTTGGTGAGAGGGAGCCCGTGGAAAGAAATTGGGTTTGTGCTGACATTATTGGGCCACTGAGTCAACCTTGCCCTGGACCCAACTTGTAGACAGAATTTTATATGAGCCAGTTTGAGTAAGGGATCGAGTTGGGGAAAGAAAGGTCATTACTGGTGGCTACAACCAATCTAATTGACTAATCAGATTACTCTCATAAATGGCAACCTAAATGTGCTGTCCTGTGAAATCCAATGTAAAAGAAAGGGCTGCCAGAAATGGTACACGGGTAGAAAAATGGTCATTTTATCTGACCGTAGCATTTCTACTGTGTTGCGTTGTGAAGGCATCATAGCATTTCTTGTTACTGATCATTAAAAAAAATTATCTTGATATATTTTGAGCAGAAGAAGCTGAAATAAAAATGTGAACCTCACCTGCTGTTTCCAAGCAAGCTTACAGTTGTGCTACAGATTTTAAAGTTTGGAAAGCAGTATACCTTAAACAGAGGTTCCCCAAACTTTACCCGGGTGCAGGTTACATCAGAATAACAAGACATGCTTATGGAAAAGACAGATTCCTCTGTGCTACTTCAGAGCAAATAATTATCTCTGAGAGTAAAGCCTAGGGATTTGTATTTTCAACAAGCTCTTTATAATTTTTATTCACTGCCAGGATCGCGAGCAAATGTCTAGAGAAAATTGGCTGAGATCAAAGCCAGAGCAAGAGCCCACCAATTTAGCTATTTGGGATGAAAAGCCCTTCTCCTTAATCCAGGGTTGACATTTCACATGTCTATTTGTAAATTCTAGGATTGAACTAGAAAGGGCAAAGTTTCATGGTCAGGAGAACCGGTTCTACTTTACTGTCAGTCTTTAGCCTTCTATAACCTTGGAGAAATCACTTCTTTGGGGGCCTCAGTTTTCTCATCTGGCAAGTAAGAGGGAAAGGATTACGTAAGATTATATATAAGGTACATTCTTCATATAAAGCTCTCAAAAATCCATGATGTCAACATTGGGGAATGGTTATAAAACTTTTGTGTCCATAGGCAGATTTTTAAATTGTGTTTTAATTTACTGATTTTCACTTTTCTATTCTCACTACATTTTTATGGGTAGTCAGGAGGGCAATGGGAAGGATGTGTTTAGCAGTAAATGTTTCCCCAGAGATACCAATCAGTAGGAAACCAAGTATGAGTTAAGAGCTTTCCTTCTGAAATAGAAGTTTCACATCTTGAAAAGAAATTAACATGATTTTTATGGCATACAACTTTGTGTCATAGTTGAAACCTTGTTCACCAGGTGAACTTTTGTCTGAGTTATATTTTCCACTTTTGGAACTCATGTAATTTGAAAGTAGATTATACAAAAATCTATTAGAAGGCACTTTTGCATACTCAAATTTTCATAGAACAGGCTCAATGTTATTCTAGCTAATATGAGGTTATTACCTCGTGGGCTATATTTTCCCCCTGCGTGTTCCTACAGGAATCTCCCAGCTAGAGTACAATATATGATTTGGGAGGGTTCTGGTTTAGACCTTAAGCATTTGCTTCCAACCTTGTAAATCTGCTGTGACAATTCATCACGTTTTCCTGCTGCAGTCAAATCCCTGGTGTCAAAAACCCTGTAACCTTAGTGCCAATAAAAACAAGCCAACCAAAGTGTTGGGATTGCTTTCCTCGAAGTCGTCATTCCCTTCCTCAGGCCCAGCAGTAGGTAATGAAGTCTTAAAAGTCCTCAAATGAAACACTGTGATGAGATCTATTCGGGCCTTTATGCAGACATGAAGCTCTTCCTCTGCTGATGGGCCAGGCTTTCTGCCTATGGGGCCCACGACAGCCTTGGAGCCCAGTCAAACTTTGCATCCTCTCCCTGTCTTTTGTTCTCTTCCATTCTTCCTTTTGGACATCTCCATGAAAAAATCAAGTTACAGAACTGGCTTCCCTGACACTTCAAGGGGCTTTCAAAGACTAACATTAGGTTTTAACATTAATTAACAACATTCACAAAAGTTGTGGGCCTCGTGTTTCTGTGTCTTTAGGATGGTGAGTTGCTAGGAGGAGAGTGGCTTCCAGGAGGCAATCTCGATGATGACATGACTCACAGGTGAATCGCTGGGGGTGCAGTTCTGCATCACCTGCGTGGGCAAGAGCTTTGATCTTCTACCACATCATTCTCATTAACAATTGCAGAAGTTGCATATCTAAAGAGTTCTTCTCTCTGCTGAAACTAAGCTCCTTCACCTTCAGCACTAGTAAATCCACTGCCTTCAACTGCGGCTCCATCATCACACATTGTAAGGACTTTGAATGGCCTTCTACTTGCTGTCAGTCTAATGAAATGTGCGTGAGCGAGGACAACAAGCACCCTTCACACGCCACCGTGTGGGTTAATGTGAGGGCTTTCTGACCAGTGGAAGGTGTGAATTCATAACAAGATCTGGTGTGCGCAGCTTTAACAGCTTGTCAAATGTGTGAGTTGAAGATAATGAATTCAAGTCCAGCTGGGGGTTTTCTCTGGTTTGCAGGTCTATTTTCAGGGATGACATGGATAGAGGAGCCACGTGGAAACGCACAAGCAGGTTCGTGGGCTTGAATGGAATGGTCTTTTGTGAAAGGCCGGATTGGCTGTTGAGAATAACGATGTCTGTGTAACACCCTCGGCTTTCCCATAAAATTAAGCGGACTTCATTTTCACTGACTCCAACTGCAGCAAGAAATAACCTCAAACTAGCCATTTTGACATACAGACATGATTGAATCGAAAACCTTACCTGTGCCATTCAGCAGGGCAGCCCCAAGCCACACATAGCTGCTGAGCCCTTGACATGCAGCTGGCCCAGATTGCAAGTTGTGCAAGCATAAAACACACAGGGGATTTTGTAGACTTACTACACATACAATAAGTAGAATACTGCATTGGTATTTGCATGTTACTTATGCATAGAAATGATAGTACTTTAGATAAAGCTGATTACATAAAATATATTATTAAAGTAATTTTTACCTGTTTCTTTTGCTTTCTTTAGTGTGGTTACTAGAAAACTTAGTTCCATGAAAGCTCATATCAAATTTCTATTGGACAGTGCTGTCTTACATTACCAAATGTAACCTAAACATTGAATAGGTATCCTTTTTTTAGGTGATCAAGTAATCACTGGAGTTTTATATATTGCATTTTCTTAGAATTATATTTGCTTAGGAGTTTTTAGATGGTAGTTAATATATTAATTATTTTATAGGTCTTTAGTTCTAATATCTATATACCAGATTTTATATTTAAATTCACATTTAAATATATACTACTTTAAAAAAATAATCCTGAAGTGGAGTTAGACAGTGTAAACTTGGAAAAGTTATTTCTAATCACAAGTAGAATTCAACTTCCAGTTTCACTGTAGCAATTGTCAAATGAAAAAAAATTACCCCTAATTCATTAATGACCTATTTAATGCATAGGTTATTTGAAAGACAAATGTTTTAATACTCAAAAGTGAATATCAATTGGAAAAATCCTGCTCATTCTCTCTGCCTCTTTCCCCATTTCACTTCCCTTTTCCCTGTCTCTAGCAAGTTTGGAGGGCGTCTATGCCAGTGGTAGCCAGGAGAGAGCACACAGCAAGTGCATTGAGAAAGAAACACTTTGCACTTAAAAAGTGAGCCCCTTCATGAAATTCCTGCTGTGGGAGAATCAGGGAAGGGAAGGGATGGAGAGAGAATGTGTAAAGGAACAAACAGTCCCCCCGCCCCTCTCCAGAAAGGGCCAAGCCAGGAACAGGCTGGGCTGAGGCGAGGCTGGAGAACCACGTGGGTAGGGAGAGCTTGAATTCAGCCTGAAGTGGATTTGTTTGAAAACCTCAAGGAAGCTGTGTTTCCCAAAATGTGATTACACTTGTAATTGAAAGTGACTGGAAAGATGTAGAATCTTTTTAGATATTGCCAAGCATCGTGGAAAAAAGAGATGGGGAGAATTTGAAGGTAGGAGTTGGAGAAAAATAAAGCAATTTTCTTTTTGTACCATTTGAAATGCAGTTTGTAAATCATAGTGGTTGTACCAGGTAGCTGGATGCTAAAAATACATCATTCATTCCCTGCCCCAGATACCGTCTTTAGGTGGGAAGTGCCCTCAGGCTTGGACCCCTCTCTTTCCAGACTTTTCCCCTGAGGACTTTCCACACATTCCTTTGGGCCTCTCAATATTACCTCTTGAACTGGTCAGGTAGCTACAAAAACCCCATTACTTTCTTATGCAGAATGATATCACGCCTTGTCTTGGCTCATTGAAGTGTTTTCAAAAAAGCAAAAGAGCAATTCACTCTCTAGTAAGATGCTTCTGACCTTCTGGAGAGAGGGGTTAAACTGCACCTTTCTTTTAAAATAACAATTCTTGTATTTCTGATATAGAAGCATCACCCACAACTCAATATCACAAGAGGCAGTCAGCTCAGGAATTGCCTGGTATTGTGGATGCCAGGAAGCCCCTGAGGGAGGCACATAACTAAGGAAGGAGGTCTTTCTCACCTTTGGAAAGAGTTTGAAGGATGTGAAACCTTATGACATTCATGTGGGAAGAACAGAGCATATGTGCTTTTTTCATGACCCCAGCAGATAGGCAGAGAGGACAGGATTTTTAACTTTGAGCCATTCTTCCACTGATGCTCCAACATCCCCGTAGAGGGAAACGTGGAATAGCGATGGTCAAAACAACATATTACTCGCCCAGATAATTTTCTTCCACCGGACTTCTCTCAGTTTCTAAAATACAACTAATGGAGATTCTTTGTAAAGGATCATCATGTTCAAGCTTTTGAAATGAAGAATGTGACTTTCAGTGAGAAGTCAGCATCGCGTCAGTAAGATTGAGCACAACGCCCTTCCTTTCGTCATTTGTGACCAAAGTGAGCCATCATTTCTCCTTCTTTCTGCATTTTTGTACTTGGTGTAACTAAGGACATAAGTCATTTGCAAATAAGAAGGCTTACAAATACAGAGATGCAGAAAATTTCACAATACTTCAAATCGTAGCCTGCAGGTATGCAAAGAATTTAAAAAATGCAAACAGCCTTCCCTGTACCAAATGTAATATAATAAAAAGATAAGAATGTGATATCATTAATGTCCTAGTTCACAACTAGAATAAAATCAGTAATTTTTTTTAGAATTGTTGTTGAGCTTCATTGAGAAGGGTAACGGAAATGGCCTTTTGTTTTAGGAGTGGCTGCAGTAATGAGCAGTGTGATGATGGGGCAGGGAGCTGCACTTTTTAAAAGCCTCATCTGTTCGAGACCTCGC